>NC_000010.11:130351108-130662589 GCF_000001405.40 Homo sapiens | reverse complement strand
GGGCAGATGGGCAGAATTGGAAGAGGAGGAGTGGATGGCGTTACTTCTGGTCTATCATCAGCCAAGTCCTACCTCTAGTTTATCAACATGCCCCTCTCACTGGGTATCCTCTGCAGCTCGCTGCCCTTGCAGCTGGGGTCCATGCAGCCTCCTCTCATGCTGAGGCAAAACATAAGAAAAAGCTGAAGGCTGGGTGCTGTGGCTCGCACTTGCAATCCCAGCACTTTGGAAGGCTAAGGCAGGTGGATTACCCGAGGTCAGGAGTTTGACACCAGCCTGGCCAACATGGCAAAACCCTGTCTCTACTAAAAGTACAAAAAATTAGCCGGGCATGGTGGTAGGCACTAAGTAGTAGGGTTGTAATCCCAGCTACTTGGGAGACTGAGGCAGGAGAATTGCTTGAACCCCAGGTGGTGGAGGTGCATTGAGCGAGATCGCACCACGGCACTCCAGGCTGGGTGACAGAGCAAGATTTTGTCTCAGCAGCAACAAGAACAACAACAAAAAAGGCTGGTGATTAATGGACAAACTCTGCCCCAGTTTTCACTCTATTTTCTTACAAATAGTTGCAAAAGTTAAACCACATGACTCACATAGTCACTGAATATTTTATCCCTTTAGAAAATTTTAAACCCTATCTTTGACCTAGTAACATCTACAGGACAACCTAAACAATAGCAGGGTCTGTTGCTCTTAGCCACAGGTGAGCCCAGCACCCCTGGACTATTCGAAGCAGTGCAGAGTTGACGGTGTGTAGACTTAGCCTGAAATGGTGAGTCCTAATCCAGGAAAACTAGGCTGCACCCTGGTTGACTCTTCCAGGCTTGGTTCTTGCAGAAGTTGTGAGGTTTTGTGGTTGTGTACTGCGGCAACTCTGGGGGTCGTCCCTAGAGGTTTCTGCAATAATGAATGCCCTGCCCATGCCCTAGTTAGGCAGAGAGGCCAGATGCAGCAGAGGGACCACAGCTTGGAGTTGAAGGATGCTGTCCTTTGTCCTCGGGAACCTGGGAAGCCTGACTGTGCCTCCGTCCAGCCAATGACCATGGGCCCTCATACACGGATGAGCCATGGCTCTGCCACAGACTGCCCCAGAATCCCGGTCTCCGGAGACATACAACATCCATTCCTTCAGATGGAGTGATAAAGTGAGTTGTTAAATCCCACCCTTTCCAGAGAGTTAACCGAAGTACCAGGCCTGAGCTGGCTGTTTGCATGGCTTATCGACAGCTCACATCACTCGGAAGGCCCGTGTTATTTCCCCCTATCTGCATGGGAGGACACTGGCATCCCAGAAGTCTTTAATAACTTGTTCAAGGTCCGAAGGCAAAATAGGATATAAACTATATCCAAATTCAGAATTCTGCACCCAAAGACCCTGCTCCTAATAGCCCCTCTCCTTTCTGTTTTGAAGATGGACACACGTCTATTCATGAAGAACTAAACGCCCATCACCTAGGGGATGAACACAAGCCGTCTGTTCACAAGGGTGTCCTCTGGCAGGGGTTCCCATGCTGCTCTTGGAACGCGGTCCCCACATGGGTCTACAGCCCACCTGGATACCCTTGACATCAACTATTGGCTAGGAGAGATGTTCTTTGTGCAGGAAGCCACGTGGATGTTGAAAATCCCGTAATGGGGATAACACAGTATCTGCTACTTGACCTCACAGGCCAATGAAAGTGCTGGCAAAGCTTCAGGTAGAGCTCACTGCAAGCACCCACAGGCCTCCTGCAGGAAGCAGCCCAGGTGGCAGTGGCTTCCTGCAAACCCCCCAAGGGCTCTCCCTTGTAGTACTTACCACCTTGGGACAAGTATGGGCAAACTAGAAATTGCCAATTACTTTTTCCCCTTTATAATGAGTCTCCATTTAGATTAGTTGTGCAAAAGAAACTGCAAATAATTGAATTGCTGAGGACATTGCTTTACACATCCTAAAAGCTCAACAAATACCTTTTAATTGAATTGAACTTGGCTAAATGAACCTCATCTATGTTTCAAGCTAGAGCAAAAGGTGGCACCACTGACCCAAGCACACCAGGCAGCTGGGGGTGATGTGGAGACACAGGCACAGGTGTGCCCCACCTGCCTGCTGAATTCGCCCTGGGACCACACCCTGGGCTTACTTGGGCCCTCTCCATCTGGATCCTGCTACAACCTTCCATGACACACACATCCTGGGTATCATCTACCTGTGTTTACCGGGGACACCAGAGCCCAAGTCAGATGGCTGCAATGGGCAGCCGGGGGCTTTGGAGGGTCCTGGGTTTTCTGGAGCTCAGCCTGGGACTGTTACATGCAGGAGGTCCTGAGAATCAACTCCCTATGTGGGCACCTGCCCTGAGACCTCAGTGCTTTCATGCACTCAGCAGGTCCTGAAAGCAAATGACCCATTCCCTTCCCTTGAATCCTGCAAAGGACCCCTTCCCTTCCTTTGAATCTTGCAGTGGCTCCAGCAGATCCCCCTTGTTATTGGGGATCTGTGGAGACCCCCCCAACCTCCTTCTGAATGCCCCTCCCTGAGTGGCCACAGCTGGAGCCCAGTGAGCAGGACAGTGCGAAGTCAGGAAACCTTCCTGTGCTGTGAAATTGACTCACTAAGATGGTTCAGTTGATGCGTCAGCTTGAGTGGGCCACAGTGCCCAGATTTTTGGTCAAACTTTATTCTGGACATTTCTGTGAGGGTGTTTTTGGATGAGAATTTAATCCAAATTGGTGGACTTTGAGTAATGCACATTGTCCATCATAATGTGGCTAGGCCTCGGCCAGTGAGTGGAAGCTTTAAGAGAAAAAAGCCCGAGCTCCCTGGAACGAAGAGGAGATGTCTAAGCAGACAGCCTTCAGATGCCAATTGCGATGTTCCTGTTCCCTGGGTCTCGGGACTGCCCTCTCGGCCTGCAGGATTTGGAACGGCCACACGTACACCCTACCGGTTCTGTTTCTCTGGAGAATCCTGACTAATACACTCACTAAGGCCATGCGTGTGGGGACAGGAGTGAGTGTGTCCCCAGAACAAAGCTGCCTCTGGCTGAAGAGCTGTTCTTTGATAGTGTTTGAATGAACCCACATCTCTCAGTTGATGAACTGGGAAATATGTGTGCTCCAGGACGGAAATTGTGTTAAGGGGTAAAATCAGGAACTGCTGTTTCATGCTTTGAGGCATGGGAGAGGGAGGGAAATGCAATTTTATCCTAACTTTTTTAGTATCTGTTTTTTTTCAACAGGGTGCCTTGAAGCCAGTCATCTGTGGAATGTCCTTTGACAACACCCACAAGGGCACACCTCCAGAGACAGGAGGCAAGACTTCAGGGGCTGCTGCCTTCTGGATCGGGAAGGGGGTCCTGGGTGGGCCAGCTCCTCACAGTCTCAGCCTCCTGGGCAGGCTCACCAGTGCTTAGCTTCAGCCTCAAGAATGAGCAATGTCTCCAGCACACATTTGCACAAGCATAGGTCCTAGGCCTCCCCTCCCAGTCGCATCCCATCTTTCAATAGCATTTTTGCATCATGTGAATGGGTGAAAGGCCCCCAGCCCCTCCAGATGGCTCCAAGCCTCCTCCAGGGCCATGGACACTTCCATCTCTTGGCTTCCAAGCATGTTGCCTCCAGGTCTCATGCCCAGGATCTGCCCACTGCAGCCCAGATGTCCCCTGAACCCCCAGGCCAGTCAGCGACCGCCCCATTCCAAATCATCCCCAGGTCTTCAGGGTCTCCAGGCTATGAGTTCCCGGAGCGTGGGGACCTGACTGATCCATCTCTGTGACTCCAGACACCTGCACCGCACCAGAACCATCAACATGCCCATTAAATGTCTGCTGAATGGAGTGGGTGTGATAGCATCAACTCACGTTTGTGAGCATTTAGGAACTTACAAAGTGCTTTTGCCTGCGTTAGCTCATTGAATGGAATTGAGAACACCTTGGTCAGCCAAGCGACCACCTCTTTTACCCTGGCTATTTGTAAGTCAATGATGGCTTTGCAGCTTCCAACAGTGTCCTGGAATAAAATAAGACAGCTCCTCTTCCTCTCTCCTCACACTGGCCTCAGGCATCTCTAATAAGGATAGCCTGGGCTCTCGTTCCCTGCTACCATCCCCTCCACTGCTACAAAGAGAAACCCTGGAGGCTGGGACCACCAAGCTCGCTCTGTGCTCCCCACAGGGTCTTCCCTGGCAGGTGCTGCCATTGACATTCCCGGGCTCATCCTCTTGTGTCCCCACTTTTAGTTTATTTTAAACCTAGGCCAGCATGGTGGCTCACGCCTGTAATCCCAACACTTTGGGAGGCCAAGACAGGCAGATCACTTGAGGTCAGGAGTTGGAGACAAGCCTGGTCAACATCTCTACTAAATCTCTACTAGAAATACAAAATCTCTACGAAAAATACAAAAATTAGCTGGGCATGGTGGTGTACACCCGTAATCCCAACTACTTGGGAGGCAGAGGCAGGAGAATCACTTGAAACTGGGAGGCTGAGGTTGCAGTGAGCCGAGATGGCGCCACTGCACTCCAGCCTGGGTAACAGAGCCAGACTCCGTCTGAAAAAAAAAAAAATCTAGAGATGATTTTCCTCCTGTGGTATAGCTCTCTGCACTCTCATTTTGAGCCTGGCACGTACTTTGTAAAATTATCCCATTCTCTGTTCTGTTCAGTAGAGGGAGTGAACTTTGCAAAAGAAGCATCTCCTCATATTGAGTCTGGGAGGAAGTTACAAACTAAATTATATTTTCAATAAAGGAAAAAATAATGAACCCACACGTGACTGCAGAACGGTGCTTGATGTCCGTTCACTGCAGGAGCCACGGGGTAAGGTTGATCCAGCCAGAGGTCTGCGCACGATGCAGTGAGCGGCGTCTTCTCCTGCCCTTCCCTCGGAGAGCGTTCTGTTCCCAGATGAACTGCTGACCCTGATTTCCTTAACTCCCCTGCAGGAGGTTCCCTATTCCTGGAGTGCATCTACAGGTGCAGGCCGGCTCTGCAAGGACGAATGTGTGCTCTGCAGGGTGAGGGTCGGGGTCAACTGATGAGACTTAGCTATTTCACAGAGTCCCTAACATTCTACTGAGGCTTTGGAAACAATAATTCCTGCCAAAACAGCCTATCATTTAGTGGTTTCCAGCTCTTGAAAATAGATCCACTTCGGAGGAGCTGTTCCTCAACATGGAGAAAATCAGAGGAGCTCAGGTGGCAGACACTGCCCTCTGTGAAATGTGGAGTCCAAGGGTGGTGGATGCCCTGAGGATGTGTCCCCCCAGCCCCTGTGTCCCCTGAGCACCTGTGACCCCTGAGCACCTGTGTCCCCTGAGCCACTGTGTCCCTGAGCACCTGTGTCCCGGAGTACCTGTGTCCCCTGAGCACCTGTGACCCTGAGCACCTGTGACCCCTGAGCCCTCTGCCCCCCAAGTCTGTTACCCCCTGAGCACCTGTGCCTCCCAAGCACCTGTGCCCTCTGAGCCCCCACGGTGCAGGCCCTTCTCACAGCTACCCAGCACCTTGCTACAGGTGCAGCCCTGGAATGCAGGGGAGGTTTGCTGCCCTGTGGATGCCCCTCAGCCTCCAGTGTAGTGCTCCTCCTCACTTTCTCCAGGCAGATAGTCCTGGGGGCTTCTCATGGGTCTCCAGGAACAACAGAGTCTGCCTGCGGTGGGGGCCCTGGTGCTGCCTGTGGAGATGCTCGCCTGCTTCCTGGGATCATCCCCAGGGAACTCCCTGCTCCAAGCCCCAGTCCGCTTGCAGGGAGCCAAGCCAAGACAACACAGAGGCAGAGCCATCCCCAGCAGGGTTCTCAGGAGAGTCGAGATGTGATCCCCATGCAAGCGCTTCTGACCAAGCAGCAGAGTCCTGCTGGGAGATACGGGCAGCGGCGCATGGTGTTCCAGAGCTGCGTCTTTGCAGAAGCCTCCGTGCCTCTGGAGGGTGGCGAGGACGTGCCGCTTCCCCGCTCGGGGTCCACTCTGCCTCCACACAGAACCTTGCCCTAGAGACCTGCTGATGGGGACCCTGATCAGAAGGACAAGAAGCCCTGTGCCGCCCTCCTTCACACCGAGGAAAGAGAAAAAGACGATTTGGCCACCAGGGAGATATTTGTAAACCTGCCTCACCCAGGGCAAGCCCACCCTTGTGGTTTTCTACTGGGTGGGCTTTCCGCTATAAAAGGTAAACATCCCCCCACCCGCGTCTTTCCCCCCAGGAGGGGCTGACCCTGAGGCAGGATGGAGACAGGCAGGCGAGGAGGGAGGTCCCAGAAAGGGGAAGAAGCTGTTTCCTTTCTCTGGGCTTCACGTGAGTTGAGCCCCGCAGCAAGACCACCATGGCCAGGCGGGGAGGGAGCCTGGGAAGGCTATGGCTGCATGTCCGCCCCACCCCCACCTGCATGTCCGCCCCACCCCCACCTGCACGTCCGCCCCACCCCCACCTGCACGCCCGCCCCACCCCCACCTGCACGTCCGCCCCACCCCCACCTGCACGCCCGCCCCACCCCCACCTGCACGTCCGCCCCACCCCCACCTGCATGTCCGCCCCACCCCCACCTGCATGTCCGCCCCACCCCCACCTGCATGTCCCCAGGCGGCCTGGGAGGGCAGTAGCAGCCTGAGAGGCCCTGGAGGCAGTGTGGATGGGGAGATGGGGCCAGAGGAGAGGGGTGCAGGTTAGGAGATGGGGCTAGAGGTGTGGGGTGCAGGTTGGGAGATGGGGCTAGAGGTGTGGGGTGCAGGTGAGGAGACGGGGCCAGAGAAAGTGGCTTGTAGGGGCAGGGCGTGGACGTTGTGGTGGGGAGCTTGACTTAAAGGCCCTAGCAGAGAGGTGCAAAGGCTCAGCAGGTGCCTGTGAGACAAATGATGGGCAATATCAGGAAGGAGGTAGTCCTTTTGTCAACTTGGCACTGGAGCTCTGCGTCGTTGCTGTAATTAGGAAATCGAGGACACCCGCTCTCTTGTTAAGCTCGGGCGCGAAGGGAGCCGAGCACAGCAGGCTCCATTTAGGCTGAGGCTTTTCTCCGGTTTCTCATGTGGGGGCGGAGGAGGGATCATCAGGACTTGGTGGAAATTGAACACTTGTCAGCTGGAACCAACCCGACCCTGACCCCAGCCCCGACGTCATGGCCCTCCCTGCAGACACGTTTGAGGTCTGAGGGCCTGCTTCAGGTCAAGTCGGATCTCGTTCCTGTTGGCCCCAGGGCTCTGCCCCCTCTGCAGGTGTGTCCTCCAAGGAAGCTCCAGGTGTGGGGGATTTGTCTCCTGGGCCTCCTTCTCCCTGGGAATGAAGAGCTATTCGAGCCCAGGTCACCACAGGAGCCCAGAGCTGAAGTTAGGGAATCCTAGTGCCCATATGTCCTGCCGCGCACTCAGGCAAGCAGGCAGGGGACAAATGACAATGACCAACACGCTTCCCCAAGTCTGTCCTTCCCGGGGCTGCGGGACATCATCGTCAGGAACTAGAAGCACCAACTGGCTACAGAAAATCTGGGCTTAAAATCTGGGACTGCAGCAAATCCCAGACGCAACTGGACTCTGCCTGGAACCGCCACCCCCCGACTGGACTCTGCCTGGAACCGCCGCCCCCCGACTGGACTCTGCCTGGAACCGCCGCCCCCCGACTGGACCCTGCCTGGAACCGCCGCCCCCCAACTAGATAGACTGCCTGGAACCGCCTCACTGCTTGTCCCTCTCTAGGAATGACTCCCCAGCCGGGCTGGTGGCCTTGTGGCCTGGTGTGCAGTGCGTCTCTTCCTGGAGGGAGGCCTCGGGCTGTCTGGGTGGAAACCTTTTCCCGGCCAAGACTCAACCAGAAGTTCACAGGTGCCCTCCTTTTGCTAATACCTTGGCCAATGCCCCTAAGCCCGCGGATCTGCGGCCCCTGTGGGCGTTTTCCTGGACCCCTCTGAGGGCCCCTGCAAGTTCTTCAAGGAGAACAGGGCCTCCCATCTCAGAGTGAGGGATCTGTTCTCAGTTGTCAAGGAAAACAGTTTCTGCAGAAAAGACGGAGGCGCCTCCAGCTGGCTACCGGTCACTGATGTTGCCTCCATGTTCCTGCTGCTCTCCTTCCCCTTCCCTGCACAGCCAGGCCTCCAGCTGACTGCTTCTGCATCCACTGCCTGCGTGCTGGCTTTCCTCACCTCGCACTGCCAGGGTCCCCCACCGTCCTTTCGTGGGGTTCTCAGGAGTCCTCAGGGCCAAGAGAGGCTTGCTCGGGCCCCTGCAGACAAGCAATGAGCTGTTCTGTTCAGGCTGAGACATCCCCCAGCCCTCAGCTCACACCTAGTACAAAAAAGGATCCACGCACATTTCCAGCCTCCTTAAACCACAGAAGACTGGCTGAATAGAAACAGCACTGTGTATTTTGCCTATTTTTCTTTGCATTTTTATGATGACACCTTTTATTTATTTATTTATTTTTTGAGACGGAGTCTCTGTTGCCCAAGCTGGAGTGCAGTGGTGCTATCTCAGCTTACTTCAACCTCCAACCCCTGGGTTCAAGAGATTCTCCTGCCTCACCCTCCTGAGTAGCTGGGATTGCTGGTGTGCTCCTCCACACCTGGCTATTTTTTTTTCTTTTTTTTTGTATTTTAATAGAGACGGGGTTCACCATGTTGTCCAAGCTGGTCTTGAACTCCTGACCTCAAATGATCCACCCACCTTGGCCTCCCAAAGTGGGGGGATTACAGGTGTGAGCCACTGCGCCCAGCCTATGATGACACCTTAAAATGAAAGTCCTGTTTTCATGGTAGGTGCTGGACCCTATACCTTACCTACCATGCACAGTGATACCGGACAGTAGGGTCAAACCTTCAGCCTGTTATTTGCAAAACCACTTAAAAAGGGAAATAGGATGGGTGGCCTGTCCTCCCTCCATACTCTGACCAAGGTCTGCTGGCTGCCCAGGCCCAGCCTCTGAAGAGGGCCCCAACCAATGTCCCTGAAGCTCTTGCTCTTCCTTCACCCGTATTTGGAAATTACCAAGTGTCAGGGACACCCTCATCTAAAGATGCGGGAGAGGCCTGGAGTTCGTCACAAGCAGAGGTGTGCAGCCTCCTCGGCCACTGTCTGCAACTCCTCACAGGTAAGCCCCATCTACAAACGCTCTGTCTCTCTCTCACACACAGGTGGTCTGCTCCTACACACACATCGTCTCTCTGTTTCTCTCACACCCGTGCTCACGCACGTCCATTTTGGTGGCTTCCTGGAGCTTGCACAGCTGTCATCTGAAGGACAGCAAAGGCAGCAACCCAACCCGACACACCTCCCTCCCTGACTGCACAGCAGAGGCCCTGGCCGGGGCTGAGCTAGACGCACTCCTGGGTGCCACTCGGCCTCTGTAGTTAGGGCCTAAAGCCTAAGCTGAGCAGCAGGAGGTGGCCCTGACAGTGGCCTGGAGACAGAGGCTCCTGATGGTTGTGGGGCTCCAAGGTGGAGCATGATGGGCTCCTGATGGTGGTGGGGATCCAAGACAGAGCGTGACGGGGAAGGGACCCTGTGAGGCAGGCTGTCCTTCCTATCAGCGTTGTCCTCTCACAGTGCAAAGCAGGCACTGAATGAGGCCACCATGAAGGGTGCCTTGTGGGTCTATGCAGCTCTGGCCTTAGTATGCGACTCTGGCTATTTATCTATTTATCAAATAGGTACTTTGTTCATATCATTATTTAAAGGCAACGTGTGTGTATGCAAGCGTGTATGCATACACACCCTTCTACTATGCCTAACCCAGAGGAGGGAATCAACAACTGTTACTTGATTGACATTACATGAAATAACTGAGGCTGATTCTAGAATAAAATAGACTTTCTACTGAGAAATGCCATTGCTTCCCCATTCCTTTGGCAATGGGGATGAGTCACTGACGGCCATACTACATTCTTCTGAAGTCACTGCCCTGCATCTGGGCATTACATGAAATCGATGACTCGCCTGCACGGCCAGGTTGTTCAATTATACCCTCAGCCCTTGGCTAAAGCAATACTGACATTCAACAGCCTCATCTCTTTTTTTTTTCACATTTAAAAAAATTTTAATTATTATTATTATTTTTATTTTTATTATTATTATTATACTTTAAGTTTTAGGGTACATGTGCACATTGTGCAGGTTACTTACATATGTATACACGTGCCATGCTGGTGTGCTGCACCCACTAACTCGTCATCTAGCATTAGGTATATCTCCCGATGCTATCCCTCCCCTGCCCCCCCCACCCCACAACAGTCCCCAGAGTGTGATATTCCCCTTCCTGTGTCCGTGTGATCTCATTGTTCAATTCCCACCTATGAGTGAGAATATGCGGTGTTTGGTTTTTTGTTCTTGTGATAGTTTGCTGAGAATGATGATTTCCAATTTCATCCATGTCCCTACAAAGGACATGAACTCATCCTTTTTTATGGCTGCATAGTATTCCATGGTGTATATGTGCCACATTTTCTTAATCCAGTCTATCATTGTTGGACATTTGGGTTGGGTCCAAGTCTTTGCTATTGTGAATAATGCCGCAATAAACATACGTGTGCATGTGTCTTTATAGCAGCATGAGTTATAGTCCTTTGGGTATATACCCAGTAATGGGATGGCTGGGTCAAATGGTATTTCCAGTTCTAGATCCCTGAGGAATTGCCACACTGACTTCCACAATGGTTGAACTAGTTTACAGTCCCACCAACAGTGTAAAAGTGTTCCTATTTCTCCACATCCTCTCCAGCACCTGTTGTTTCCTGACTTTTTAATGATTGCCATTCTAACTGGTGTGAGATGGTATCTCATTGTAGTTTTGATTTGCATTTCTCTGATGGCCAGTGATGATGAGCATTTTTTCATGTGTTTTTTGGCTGCATAAATGTCTTCTTTTGAGAAGTGTCTGTTCATGTCCTTCGCCCACTTTTCGATGGGGTTGTTTGTTTTTTTCTTGTAAATTTGTTTGAGTTCATTGTAGATTCTGGATATTAGCCCTTTGTCAGATGAGTAGGTTGCGAAAATTTTCTCCCATTTTGTAGGTTGGCTGTTCCCTCTGATGGTAGTTTCTTTTGCTGTGCAGAAGCTCTTTAGTTTAATTAGATCCCATTTGTCAATTTTGTCTTTTGTTGCCATTGCTTTTGGTGTTTTAGACATGAAGTCCTTGCCCATGCCTATGTCCTGAATGGTAATGCCTAGGTTTTCTTCTAGGGTTTTTATGGTTTTAGGTCTAACGTTTAAGTCTTTAATCCATCTTGAATTGATTTTTGTATAAGGTATAAGGAAGGGATCCAGTTTCAGCTTTCTACGTATGGCTAGCCAGTTTTCCCAGCACCATTTATTAAATAGGGAATCCTTTCCCCATTGCTTGTTTTTCTCAGGTTTGTCAAAGATCAGATAGTTGTAGATATGCGGCGTTATTTCTGAGGGCTCTGTTCTGTTCCATTGATCTATATCTCTGTTTTGGTACCAGTACCATGCTGTTTTGGTTACTGTAGCCTTGTAGTATAGTTTGAAGTCAGGTAGCGTGATGCCTCCAGCTTTGTTCTTTTGGCTTAGGATTGACTTGGCGATGCGGGCTCTTTTTTGGTTCCATATGAACTTTAAAGTAGTTTTTTCCAATTCTGTGAAGAAAGTCATTGGTAGCTTGATGGGGATGGCATTGAATCTGTAAATTACCTTGGGCAGTATGGCCATTTTCACGATATTGATTCTTCCTACCCATGAGCATGGAATGTTCTTCCATTTGTTTGTATCCTCTTTTATTTCCTTGAGCAGTGGTTTGTAGTTCTCCTTGAAGAGGTTCTTCACATCCCTTGTAAGTTGGATTCCTAGGTATTTTATTCTCTTTGAAGCAATTGTGAATGGGAGTTCACTCATGATTTGGCTCTCTGTTTGTCTCAACAGCTTCATCTTTGATTGGGAAAAACAGGCCTCAGAGCCTGGCAGCATGGTGTGCATGCCCCCCTCCGGGTGCCCGCTGGAGGCCTCTGCAAGTCATTCAGCCAGGAGGAGAGCACAGGGCCTAAGAAGTCCAACCCTGTCACTCTTGCCACTTGATAGACAAAAATGAGGGGTAAATTTAGGATACACTGATATCTCTCAATAGCCTCAGGAAGGACCTTTAAGCCCACACTCCAAAGGGGCTTGGGGGGTGTCGGGGATCAGGGTGTGACGGAAGAGAGAACACCCGGGCTGGGTCACATTCCACTGCCACAGATCACAAGTGCATGAAACTCTCTGCCTGAATGTATTCCAGTTTTCAAGGCTTCATTTCCTAGGAGCCTTGAGAAAGTGGATCTTGCCAATTTCAACATAAACTTTTTCCCTTTTCACTTAAAATCTGCTCTCTTCAGGATGTGGACAGAACTGATGCAGAATTCTGCCCATTTTCACCCTTTCTTCCTGGCAACAGCCTGGGCTCCAGGCACACCTGTGGGCTGTTCAGGCATCAGAGGAGCAGCACTTGGTCTGTGGTCAGGCAGGGACCCCTTCCTACCCCGGGGACCCCGCCCCCAGCCCCCTCACCTGCAGCATCAGCTGTGTGCCCTCTTCCTCCAGGCAGGACACCTGGGCCCTCCTGCTCTCCACTAGTGTCATGGGAAGCACTCGGCTACTCCCCGTACAGCAGCTGGGCATGCTGGCTCTGTCAGGCTGCCTCAGATCCACCGGGGCAGGTGGCTCCCCAGCCAGGCTTGTCAGTGGCATGGTGGGGAACTCCACACCCAGCATGGCCTGGTGCCAGGGCAGGGCTGCACTCTGGGAGGAGAGGCACAGCCTACTTTCTAGTTTCCAGCCATGGATGAGGTTCTTCTCCCAGGGTGCTGGGAACAAGATGTTTAGGATTGCACGTCAGGCAGAAAAAAAAAAATTGCCAGAAGTTACAGGTGAAAACATAATTAATACATGAAATGTATACATGGGTTTGGCCTAGAAAGGCAGGACATTGGAGGGGGGAGGTTTCCAGGTCATAGATGGATTCAAAGATTTCCTGCTTGGCAGTTGGTTAGAATTAATCTTTGCCTGAAGAGTTCGAAGTGGGCGTAAAGAAAGCTTGGGTTGAGGTGGGGGGTTGTGGAAGCCAAGGTGCCTGTCATGTAGATGCATCTTCCCTGGTGCGAGGGAAGGAGAAGAGTCGGGGAGGCCTCTGCGCCTCAGCCTAGGAACCTGGGTGGATGGAGGTATCATGGGGAGTAGGGGTATTGAGGATCGTCTTGAGACTTGCACAAAGTCAGAGAGCCCAGGAGCAGACCCAGGGCTCTGATTCCCAGACCCAGGATCTGAACACGGCGACAGAAACCACGTCCAGGACCTGCTTGTGTGACATTCATGTCCTTAGGGCTTTGGGGCTGTTTAGTGCTTAACGCATCGCAATTCCTTTTATCCCAGAGAACGGGCACTTTTCAGGATAACATGAATTGAATTCATTTTGTCTGAGAATGCCTCACCCTAAAACCCACAGAGAGGACCCCACACGGTGCAGAACCAGGAGTGGGCGCTGCTGCTGACAACGTGTCAGCTACATGGTGCCCGCACCACAGGAGGGGGGCCACAGGCTGCTCTCCATCGCTCCTTCGCTCTGTCCCTGGGTCAGCTGGGGCCCTCGAAGTGGGTCTCACAGGGGCTATTGGCAAGGGAGTAAGGAGGCTCCCAGAACCCGCCAGCCTGGTGCCCCACAGGGACCAGCAGGTGTGGGACCCAGGCCACCCTAGGCCTGAATGGGCAGGAGGAGGGAGCAAGTTCCATCCCAGAGATGTCACCAGGAGGAGGGAGCTGGGAAGAAGCACCTATTCTCACTCTGCCCTGCTTCACCTCCCACGCATTGGCTGACAGAGGACGGGGGAGCCCCTGAGAGCTTGCTGGCCACCCTGGAGCTACTGTCCTGTAATTCCTATGATCATTCCCCCAGCCACTTCGCTTCCCATAAGAAAGGATTCGTCCCATAACAAAATAAACGACAGACGCAAAGCCTTGGTGAAGGGAGGTGCGGATGGGTTGGAGCACTCTCTACTGGGCTACCGCTGCTTTCCCCCTTGGACTCACCACCAGATCGCCTGGCCCAAACAGGAGCCCCGGACTTTGATCTCCAGTGACCTGCCCTGATCCACACAGCACCCAGGCTGGATGTGAAGCTCCCGCTGTTTGCTATAACAGAATCCTCCTCATTCTCCCCTCCCTGCACACACATGTGCACATGCATGTGTGTGAATTTCCTGGATACCCACACAGCTATGTGTTTATAGGTACCCCCAAACTATACAACTATGCACACACACACGCATGCATATGTGAACATACACATGCTTGCATACATACACAGGCACACACATAATAGTCATGCATATACATATCCATGCACATAAGCACATACATAGACACTCATGCACACATGCACATACACACATATATACACACATGTATTTGTACACATACAACATACACTGGCTGTGTCATAGGGAAATACACAGGCTCTGGAGCCACCTGAGCTGAGGGTGACCAGGCGAGTGAGCTCAGGCCAGGTTTAGACCCTGACAGTCCTCAGTTTCGGGAATATAAGGAGATGTCACCGGCACCAGCTTGCAGAAAGGGAATTAAAAGAGGAACGTCTGGAAGAACCTGGGGCAGGTGCACAAGAAGTGTATTTTTATATGCATGTGTTCGTGTCTGTGCACACACAAAGCCTGGAAAAATGAAAAGTCCAAGGGGAGCCCTTGGATGGCCGTCCAAAGGCCGCCATGCCTCAGTGCAGTTCTCCTCACTGCAGCCACCGTAAGCGCTTCCAGTCTGAGGTCTGGACACAGACAACATTGATTTTCTGATGGATGGGCAAAGATAACACATTTGATCAATAACAATGGAGCTCCATGGCCGAGAGGGAAAACACAACAATTAGCCTAGTGCCTTTGTCTGAGAAGGGCTGGAAAGTGAATGTTAAGACTGTCATTGGCATGGACCACAGGCAGCAGGAGAGAAAGAGTCTATTCTTCCCAGGCAATTCAGATACCCATCCGTGCTCCAGCAGCCACCTGAGCCCCTGGAGCCCATCTGCAGGCTGTAAAGAGGACGGCCTTGGGGAATGAACAGGAGGGTGTTCAACTGACTCAGAGAATCCAAGACACAACACGAGGGCTGTGGTTCTTGACAAGATTCCAGAGAACACAGCTAGAGACCACCATTGTCCTTGGAGCAGCCAGCCCCAGGAGCAGGAGTGGCCCTGTGGAGCCGAGACAGCTGCTGCTGTCTCAAGGCCTGGCCCAAGGAGACCGGCCAATGTTCCCTGGGCAGCGAGGGCAGAGGGCATAGACTCCTGGCCAGCTCTCCTGCTGATCCCCAGGAGGTTAGGATGGCCACCTCTGCAGGCTTTTGTTTACAGTTTTGGCTGAATATATTTTAATCACTTTTATTGAGGCGAGATCTACATACAATTAAATTCACCAAGTTTGTGCAACTCATGAGTTTGGACAAATGTACACAGCAGTTTAGCCACCACCACAGTCAAGATATAGAACAACTCCATCTTTTTGTTTCATTTTGTTTTTTGAGACATAGTCTCACTCTGTCGCCCAGTTTGGAGTACAGTGGTGCAATCTTGGTTCAGTGCAACCTCCACCTCCTGGGTTCAAGCAATTCTCCTTCCTCAGTCTCCCGAGTAGCTGGGATTATAGGCATGTGCCAGCACACCTGACTAATTTTTGTATTTTTAATAGAGATGAGGTTTCACTATGTTGGCCAGGCTGGTCTTGAACTCCTGACATCAAGTGATCCACTCACCTTGGCCTCCCAAAATGCTGGGATTACAGGTGTGAGCCACTGTGCCCGGCCAGAACAACTCCATCTCTGCAGAGCATTCTTCCTCTCCCTGTGTGTCAACTGCTCCCCTAACCCCACTCCTAGGTAACCATTGCTCTGTCTTCTGTTGCTAGAATTTTGCCTTTTCCAGAAGTTCATGTAACTGGAGTAATTCAGTAAGTAGTCTTTGTGCCTATGGTTTTTTTCACTCGGCCTAACATTACTGAGATCCATTCCTGTTGTAGCAGTAGTTGTTCTCTTTGTTGCTGAAGGGCATTACCATTGTCTAGCTAGACCACCGTTTGTGATAAAAAAAAAAATGCAGTTATTAGAATACACACAATTACTCCACCACCATTCACTGGAAATGCCATTCTTTCCCCTTTTAATGTCCTTCTCAGCTTCGTTGAAAATCAGTTAACCACAGATGTGTGGGTCCATTTCTGGATGCTACGTTTGTCCTTTTGATGTCTGTGTCCATCTGTGTATCGGAACCACAATATTTTCTTTGTACTTTTAGGCAGTAAATATAAAAGCAGTTGGATGATTCCATTTTGTTTTGCTCTCTCAAAAACTTTTAAATAAATTATTTGTTTCTTTATAAATTTTAGGAAATGAAACCTGTAGAGATTGTAATTGGGTTTCTATGAATCGACAGATCAATCTGAGAAGAATTGGCATGTTGACAATACTGAGCTTCCTGTTATATGAGCGTGTTATCTTTCTCCATTTATTTAGGTCTTCCTTAATTTCTCACAGGAGTATTTTGCAGTTCTCATCCTACAAATCTTGCATATACAGCATGTTGTTAGATACACTCTTACATATTTCATACAGAGGGATATGTGGCTATATATGCGGATGTTTAATGTAAACATCTTTTTATTCACTTTTGTTTTTCACTTTTTGGATTCTCTAGTAAATAGCATATCTAAAGTTTAACTTTATTTATAAAACATAAAAAGTATAATTCATTGTTTTGTACATGAGTCTAGTATCCCGTGACCTTATTAAACTTACTCATTGATTTTAGTAGCTTTTTGGTAGATGCATTAGGATATTAAACAAAAACAATCAAATACTCTGTGATGAAAGAGAGTTTTACTCCTTGGTTTCAAATCTATATGACTCTTATCTTTTAATTTCTTTATCTTGTCTTATTGTACTGGTGATTTGGAGTAGGATTAAGTAAGACATTAGTTCTAAGGGTTTTTTTTTAATATACTTTAAGTTTTAGGGTACATGTGCACAACGTGCAGGTTTGTTACATATGTATACATGTGCCATGTTGGTGTGCTGCACCCATTAACTCGTCATTTAACATTAGGTATATCTCCTAATGCTATCCCTCCCCCCTCCCCCTACCCCACAACAGGCCCCGGTATGTGATGTTCCCCTTCCTGTGTCCATGTGTTCTCATTGTTCAATTCCCACCTATGAGTGAGAACATGCAGTGTTTGGTTTTTTTGTCCTTGTGATAGTTTGCTGAGAATGATGGTTTCCAGCTTCATCCATGTCCCTACAAAGGACATGAACTCATCATTTTTTATGGCTGCATAGTATTCCATGGTATATATGTGCCACATTTTCTTAATCCAGTCTATCATTGTTGGACATTTGGGTTGGTTCCAAGTCTTTGCTATTGTGAATAGTGCCGCGATAAACATACATGTGCATGTGTCTTTATAGCAGCATATACATACTGTTAATTGGGTCAAGGAAGTTCCCTTCTATTTCTAATTTTCTGATAATTTTTTTATAAATGGATATTGAATTTTGTCAAAGGTTTTTCTGTATCTATTGAGATGATTATATGGTTTTCATTTCTACTCTTATTACAGTGAATTCCCTTGATTGATTTTTCAATGTTAAACCATCCTTATATTCATAGAATAAAAGTCACTTGATCAGGCTAAAGTAATCTTTTGACATAGTACTTCATTCAACTTGCTATTATTTGGTTGAGAATTTTTGCGAATGTATTCATGAGAAATATTGTTTGTGTTTTCTTTATAATATATTCTGATTTGGGCATCAGGCTAATGCCAGCCTCATAAATTGAGTTGGGATGTATTCCTTCTTCTAATTTTTTCTTATTTCTCTTGTGATTTTTTCTTCGACATACACACACGCAAAGAATGTTTAATTTCTAAAATTTTGAAAATTGTATTGATTTCTTATATCATTTACTTGTGTTCAGAAAATATGCTCTTTACTTTTTCAACACTCTCAGATTTATTGAGGCCTTAGGACCCAGCACGTGGTGCAGCTTCAGTGCTGTGTTGGAGCCTGCTCGCCCAGGCTGGCGGGTGCCAACTGTGCCCATTGCTCCCCAACTCCTCACTGAGCGACACTGTGCTGGTCACTTGAAATTGGCCATCATGGAAATATTTGCAACACCAAGATGGACAAGCACTCTGCATCTGCATCTCGGACGGCAGGTTATTTAAAGAGCTGGTTGTTAAGTGGTTCTCAGCACACCATGATTTATCTTTTCGAATGTTTCACGTTCCTTGATTAGTTCTGTATCTATGTGTACATACGTTAAGATAAGCCTGAGTCCATGAGATGTTCCCAGAGCTTCTTCATTACCATAGGGCTCTCCCAGGCTTTCCTCCTGACTTATTTGTCAACTTAGCTCCCATTATCTACAATTTATTTACTTATTTATTCAACCCTAGTATGCACATGGGCTGCTTTAGAACGGCTAAACTGTGCCCATGTGAGAAACAAGTTTACCAACAGTGCTTATGTACAGTTGTGGGCTTGGGTGGTTTCTTTTTTTTTTTTTTTTTTTTGGTTGTTTTTGTTTTTGGTTGTTTTTGTTTTTTGTTTGTTTTTTGTCTTTAGCTTTCTAGTATCCAGTTAAAACACCATTTTCCAAATTAGGGAGGTTAGTTATTTTTTCCTCACCATGCTCAGTGTGGACATGCCACACATTTGTGATAACATAACCAAGCAGCTTAACTTCAAAATGCATTTTAAACATTTTTGTTCCTTTCTCTTGAGTTTCAAGATATAACCTTGGGGCAAACTGCAGAAGCCTTTTTTCTTAGCCTTAAAATAGAGTCCACATCCCTCCCTTTCTCGCCGTATATGCTCCCTTCACATCTATCTAACTGTATGTTAGTATTAACTGTGTGTCTTCTTAGAAGTTCCAGTGGCTAATCTTGAGACAGACCAAGCCTGAAACTGCAAGTTTCAGAGATGACTTCAAGGTGGCTGATGAACAGCCCGGCCATTGTTGAGATGATGCCAGCCTGCACTCCTGGTGAACTGGGACCCAAGACAGCCACCAAAGCGAGGCACAGCGACATTGTACTCAGCCCAGTCCCTCACGCTTTCCTTACCAAGTTTTTCCTTCTTAAAAACCCGTGCCTTCCCCCTAAAAATCGAAGCAGTTACTTTGGATGGGAATCTGGCTACTTCTTCTGTGCTAGTTTTGGTTAATAAATTTGCTTTCTTTCCACCAGACCTCGCTTTTGTTACTTGGACTCAGCCTGTGGCAGGCTTCCAGACCTGCTTTGTTTGGTTACAATAACGTTAGATCTATTTGCCACAGTCTGCATCCCATCCTGGGATCAATATCCAGGTTAATTTTCCAAATTTGCGTACGGCAAAGTTCACTATTCGTGTATATGATGCTATGGGGTTTTGAAATGCACATAAGATACTTACCATGTTTGATGTTCTTCATTCTTTTTGGAGGATCCAATTTTCTATCTAGTGACATTTCCCTTCAGACTGAATAAGTTATGTCAGCATTTCTTACAACAGATTCTCCTGGAAGCAAATTCTTTTAATTTTCCGTTATCAAAAATGGTTTTATTTTAATACTTGAATAATGCTTTTACTAGATACAGAATTCTGAATATTGTTTATACCTAGAACACTAAAAAGAGTTTTTTATTTGTTTATTTGCATATTTGCTTTCAGCACTTTATAGATGTTCTATTTTCTTCTGTCCCTAAGTGGTTTCTGACAAGGCACCAACCCTTAATTGCATCGTAGTTGTGACTAAGGTGTCATTTTTCTCTTGCTACTTTCAAGATGTGCCCATTATATTTGCCTTTCAACAGTTCGATAGGGATTGCATGGGTGTCTTTGTGGTTTTCTTTCCTGATGTGCAGTTAGCATCTTCCTGTTTTATATCAGGTATAGAATGTTTTTGAACAGTCTATCTTCAAACATTTCTTTTCTCGGCTTCTGGCAATCCAATTATATGCATTTGAACCTGTTGATATAATCTAGCAAACAATTCAGGCCTTATCTAAAATACTAAAAAAAGGAAAAAATGTTTCATTTGCTTTTTTCTTGGATAATTCTATTAATAGCTTCAAATTCAATTACTCTTTTATCTGTCATATTCATGTGGCTTTACACCCATCTCATGAATATCTTCTCTCAAAAATTTAACTTTTCAGTACTGGAGTTTTCATGTTTATTGTATCTATTTCTTTACTGAGACTTTCTGTTTCTCTGTAGATCTTTAATTAGAAATATGACTAATTTGAGAGATAAAAATCAGTGGGGGCAGGTTTTTTGGGAGGAGGGCACAGTTTTGTATGTCTTACTTCAGGAACCCTATTCTCACTGTAAAGGACGGAGAAAAATTTCCTACTACTTCCCACAGGAGAAGGGGAAAATATCCATGAACTACGCACAGAGCCCCTGCTCCCCTAGCAAGGCCTACCCACAAGGGAAACAATTTCACCATAGCCTGAATGGGGTTCACCAGAGCCTAATCCTAACTGAACTGGGGAGGAGAAATATCCCTGAGTCTCACTAAAGGACTGAGATCTAATCATAGGACTACAGAATAGCTCTCCCCCACGTCAGCAGGGTGACTGTAATGATGGGACTACAGTTAAAGGAACTGTAAGACCCAGGCTCTATTGAAGGAGTTTCCAGGGAAGCCTAAAAACAGGAGAGACAACAATAAGGCCACAGGAGGAAACAACAGCCTCTGACATCTACAGCTACAGCAAACCATAACCACAGCCTCACCACCAGCCAGATACACATGAAGACTCACACTGAAGGCCGATCTCCCTGACGGGAATTGTGGACACCATGCAGGAACAGATGAGTAACAGATGGGTAATGTAAGCAGAGAGACAGAAACTCTAAGGAGAAATCCAAAGGAAATGCTGGAAACAGAAAACACTGTAACAGAAGTGAAGATGCCTTTGATGGCCCATCAGCAGACTGGACGTAGCTGAGGAAAGAATCAGTGAGTTTGAAGATATATCAATGGAAACTTACAAAACTGAAACGCAAAAAGAAAAAAGAAGGAAAAAGATGAGAGAGAGTTTGTAATAACTGTAAGATAATTACGAAATGTATAACAAGAATATTGGAGAAGAAAGAGAGAAAAGAACAAAAGAAATATTTTAAGTAATAATGACTGATAATTTATCAACAGTTGTCAATCTACAGAACCAAGAAGCTCAGAAACACCAACCAGAATAAATACCAAAAGATGTATATCTTGGTATATCATTTTCAAACTTCAGAAATGCAAAGATGAAGAAAAAATCTGGAAAGACATCAGAGGGGAAAAAAAATCTTACCTATAGAGGAACAAGGATACGAATGCATCAGACTTCTCTTTAGAAACCACGTAAACAAGAAGAAAGTAGAATGAAATGTTTAAAGTGCTGAAACAAAAAAATCACCAACACAGAATTCTGTAACCACTGAAATTATTTTTTCAAACTTGAAGGAGAAATAAAGACTTTCTCAGGCAAACAAAAATTCAGGGAATTTGTTGCCAGTAGACCTACTTTGTAGGAAATATTAATAGAAGTTCTTCAGAGAGTAGGAAAATAACACAGGCCAGAAACTCAGATCTGCATAAAGAAAGCTAGAGCATTGGCTGGCATGGTGGCTTATGCCTGTAATCCTAGCACTTTGGGAGGCCAAGGTAGGCAAATTACCTGAGGTCAGGAGTTTGAGACCAACCTGACTAACATGGGGAAACCCCGTCTCTACTAAAAATACAAAATTAGCCAGGCATGGTGACACATGCCTGCAATCCCAGCTACTCGGGAGGCTGAGGCAGGAGAATTGCTTGAACTCAGGAGGATGAGGTTGCAGTGAGCCAAGATTGCGCCATTGCACTCCAGCCTGGGCAACAAGAGTGAAACTCTGTCTCAAAAAACAAAAAAAGGAAAGTTAGAGCATTAGAGAATAAATAAATGCAGGCAAAATTAAAATACGTCTTGTTTTCCTTTATTTAGGATAATTATAACAACCTCTTTAAAATATAGTTTTAACATTTTTGTCATTTGAGTTCTTGCTAAATTATTTATCTTTTCTTCCCTCTTCAGAATGTATTTTATTTTCTTGTTTTTTCATATGTCATTTAACTTTGGACTATATTTTAGAAATTGTGAGTATTGAAGTGTTGGCATTCTGGATTCTGTTATTTTCTCTGAAAACCTGTGTTCTCTTTGTTTTGGCAAGTAATTTTCTTGGCTGAGTTTGAACTTTAAACTCTCTATCTTGGGATAGCTTCATTCAGATACTTTGCTTCTAGCTAAGCTGCATGAGTCTGCTCTGCACATGTGTGTTTCAGATTGTTATGGTTTGGATTTGTGTCCTTGCCCAAATCTCATTTCGAACTGTAATCCCAATGTCAGAGGAGGGGCCTGGTGAGAGGTGATTGGATCAAGGGGATGGATTTCCCCCTTGCTGTTCTCAAAACAGTGAGTTCTCCTTAAGTGAATTCTCACAAGATATGGTCGTTTCAAAGTGTATGGCACTTCTCCCTTCTCTCTTTTCCTCCTACTCCAGCCATGTGAAGATGTGCCCTCTTCTCCTTCACCCTCTGCCATGATTGTAAGTTTCCTGAGGCCTCCATAGCCATGCTTCCTGCACAGCCTGCAGAACTGTCAGCTAATTAAACCTCTTTTCTTTATAAATTATCCAGTCTCAGGTAGTACTTTATAGCAATGGAAGAGCAGACTAATACACAGGTCAATCAGAGTTGTGGGTAGAGAGGGTGGAGTATCCCTTCTCTGCCTCTTCAACAATTTCTCTGCTCTCTGCAGTGTCTGCAGTGTCTCAGATTGACTTTCTCGTTTCCTAGGCAGAAAGGCTATAGGTTTTTCCATGTGAGACTGTGCTGCCACTGTGCTTGCTAGGCAGACTGCATTTAGCATAGGCTAAACCTCATAGATTCATAATCCACGTCTCCACCCCTTAAGTAAGGAGTCCTCCCCTACTGCTTTTAGTAAAGCTTAACTACCTCTGCTTACTTTCTAGCACAGCACATTTGAGTAGAAATGTTTCTTTGTATTGCGTTCTGGGTTTATAGTTGTTTCCTGAAGGAGGATGTTATCAGCTAGAGCTTTAGTCCCTCATACTCAAAAGCAAAAGACCACTTTCATTTTTGAAAGATGTATTCATTAGTTATAAAATTCTCATTTGAGAATACTTTACTTTTAGTACTTTAAAGATGTCATTCCATTTTCTTCTGGCTTGCATTTTTTTCTGATGCAAAGTATGCTGCCATTCTTATCTTTATGACTGAAACAGTTTGGGAATTTCTCCCCACCAAATCTAATATTGAACTTTGATCCTCAGTGTTGGAGGAAGTGCCTAGTGGAAGGCGTTTGGGTCATGGGAGCGGTTGCCTTGTATATGGCTTGGTACTGTCTTCATGGTAATAAAGGACTTCCCATTCTATTGGTCAACCTCGAGATCTGATTTGTCAAAAAGAGGCTGGCACCTTCCTCTTTTCTCTTTCTTCTTCTCACCATGTGATGCCTGCTCCCCTTCACCTTCCACCATGAGTGGAAGCTCCTGAGGCCTCACCACAAGCAGAGGCTGGCACCATGCTTCCTGTACAATCTGCAGAACCGTAAGAAATTATAACCGTTATAAATTATAAAACCTCAGGTATCCCTTTGTAGCAAAGGGATTAAGACAATGACGCCTAAATAATTATGTAATATGTTTCTGTGTTCCTCTTATGTAAACTGCTTTTAAGATTTTCTTTCTGCAGCAATCTGATTAATATGTGACCCCGTGTTGTTTCCTTCATATTTCTTCTGCTGGAAGTTTGTTCATCTTCTTGAATCTATTGGTTTATAGTTCTTAACAAATTTCAAAAATTTTTACTATTCTTCAAATAATTTTTCTACACCCCCTTCTCTGTTCTCTGTGTGTAGGACGATTACATTTGTTTTGGACCACTGGATATTCTCTCACAAGTCCTGATGCTCTGCTCATTTTTTCCATCTTTCCTGTGTGCTTCATTTTGTTTAGGTTTTATTGTTATATCTTCAAGTTTACTAATCTGTGTGTGTGTGTAGGTGTGTGTGTGTGTTCACAGTGTAATCTGCTAACTTTCTGTTTCACATTGTGTATTTTTATTCTCCAGAAGCTCAATTTGGATTTTTTTCTTCATATTACATTTCTCTTGCCATCATGCTCATGTTTTCCTATACATCTTGAACAAATGTGTGTGTGTGTGTTCTGTCTTAATGCTTTTATCTGCAAATTCCATAATCTCTGTTATTACTGGGTATGTTTCTATTAACCGAGTTTTCTCCTGGTTATGGGTTTTATTATTATGCTTATTTTGTATAAACGGTACTTCGTTGAATGCCAGGCATTATAAACGTTAATGCTATTGAGTGCTGTTTATCGCTTCGGGGAATGTAGAAACTTGGTCTAGCGCTCTGTGATACTGCCTACAATCAGCTTATTCTTTTGAAGTCCACTTGTCAGCTTTTTTTGGCAGAAGATCCACGGCAGCCTCTCATCTAGGGTTAGCTTACTCTAACTTCCAAAGCAGCATCCTTCCATGATCTCTGCCCAACACCCATGCATTACTCTCTCTAATTTTGCTGGTGGCGGTATAAAATTTACTATACGTGTGTGAACTCTAGGAATCTTTTGTAGTTCTGTTTTCTAGTGGTTCCTTTCCCAGTCCTGTGGAGATTTAGCCACACACAGTCACAGATTAATATTGAGGCAAAGATATGAGAGGACCCCCTGTAGATCTCTGGAACTCTCCCTGCAGTTCCCTTATCTCTGGTAGTCTGCATTGCAAATTCTAGCTGCCTTGGCCTCTCAAATCTACAGTCTCTGTCTACTCAAATCAGCAAAATTGCTGGTCTCTGTTTGATATTCCCTTTTCTGTGCTGCGGCCTGGAAATTTCTTCCAAGCAGTAAGCTATGTAATTGTATGGCTGGCTTAGTTTCTTTCCGGTCTTTCCAGTGTTATTTTCTTCCTGTGCTGACTATTGTTTAAGGTTGGAAATGGTTGTCTCATGTATCTTATTTCGTTTTCTGGTTATTCAAGGCAGCAGGTTGCTGGGTGGAAGCAGCATTTCTCAGCAGGTTGTTTTTCACAGTGGAATAGATTAGCAATTCTCCAAATGCTTTCTGTATTGCAACATGGTAAATACCATGATGACGTTGGGTGCTAGGTTTCTCACTGTTGGCAAAGGGAGAGACAAATATGAAATGTAGCAAGGCTGGGAAGAATTCCATTATACTGGATGGGAATCAGAGTTATAAGCATGAACTCATGGTTTTATAGACACAGACATAAATATAAGTAGAAAGACAGACAGGCAGGTATGCACGTTTCTTATTTTGTTTGCTTAGAGACCTGAAATGAATGACACCATTAGTAATGAGCCCACTGGTGTATAGATCTTTGTTTCTAAATACTGTCTCCCACTAAAATAATAAGTCACTTAGATAAGTGACTAATTCCTAGGCTGAGTCAGGAAAATAAGTTAAGCCTGCAACATATTTTTGTGTAAGAAAATAAGGATATGATCAAAAAGTGTTGGGAGCATGTCAAAGCACAGAGAAACCAGGATAAAACGCTTTTTACTGATCATACATGAGACAATTTGAGCATCACAATAAGGATATTAAAGGATTTTAACCCATTTGATAAGAAATAAATTAAAACAGACAAATAATTGGTCAACATTATATCAGTAATTTATAGATTAATAAAATAAGGAGATACTAATAAAGTAAATGTGGCAAAATATAAAAAAAGATGAATCTGAGTAGAGTAGATGACAGTTCTTTGTGCTGTTCTTGCAAACTTTTATAAATATGAAATCATTTCAAAATAGGAAGTTAAGAACATTTAGATCATTAACATGAAGTCCTAGTAACAAAGACTTTTAAAGGGAGGAAGTCGCATTCTTGACTTCCAGTAATTATGCTATGGTTTTGCAGCTGAGCTTAAAACTCACCGTATCTTTCATTCATCATGGAACATACTCATGTCAGCTCTCTCCTCAACAGGCAGTCCCTGGTCCTGACAGTGCTGGTATTGAATGGGGGGCCTGGGTGTGTGTGATCTGATCTTTTGGAAGAGGGATTTGACTCAGAGTTCACAGAGTAAGAGCCTCCTGCGCAGCATTAAAATGTGCAAGTCATGTTAAACTGATACATCCGTAGAAATCCACCACGATCTCTAAAATGTTTATGAGAGGGTGTGCAGCATGTTTCTGTGACAAACGAATTTTTAAAATCTTAAATGGCATAACTGGTTCTTTGTAAGGGCATCTTACTATTGAAGTTCTAGTTTTTCCCCTTGAAAATCTTTCCACTTTTCTTTTCATAGACTTGCGAGCATTTATGAGGTTTTATAAACTAACCAGTGTATCATTCACAACACTTCCATTGCACTGTCCCTCATTCCAAGTCTTATTTACATATAGGATGATTTTTATCCTTTGCCAAAGGACCTGTAAATCCAGCTCTTTGATATTTCCAAACTCCAGTCGAACTTGGTGGTGTACGTGAAGGAAACCACAGCCCACGGAAAAGATGAGATCTGCTTTGATTATGGATCTTCTGTGAAAACTCAGCAAGCATTTCACTTATAAAGAGTCAGGCAAGTCAGATTCAAGTGTTCACACTGGCAAGTAAAAAACAGCACTTTGGGTACCATTCACCTGTCTCCAGGAAAATACCACCTGCCTGGCTTTGAGGCATGGGAGAGGGCTGGGAAATTAGAGAACTCGGCAGCTTTTGAAACACCAGCCTGGACTTGGGAGAAGCAGATAATTTCCTGGCTGTCTGGAGGAAACCTGATCCTTCCAGAAAGTCCGTTAATGGAATGAGGGCAGAACCAGATGGAGTCTGGTTATGTGGCTGATGCCTGGTGAACGCTCAGAGCCCGGGCTTCATAACTGAAGCAGCCGGAGTGGAATAAGGGTGAGATAGGGAGAGATCCAAGCACAGCGGGAGTGATGCGTTGGGAGCGGGGAGTCCTCATTCCGTGGAACTGACTGGTTTGCATTGTAGACTATTTAACATCCTTAACCTCTGGTCTCTAAATGCCAGTAGAGTCCTGGGCCTGTGACAACCAGAACACCCCTACTCATCTCCCATACCCTCCTGGGAGTGTTACTGCAGCAATGGAGAACGGTCACTTGAGCAATTTGGAGCTATAGTGACCTGACCGGTCCACATCTTAAGCAGAGTCTTTCTTCCCTTCAGATGCTAATTGCACACATGGTCACTCTAGGGTTGCTTCAATCAGTTGCTTGTTACAGCCCATTAGGAGAGGAGGTAAGATTTTTTAAGGACTTTGTAATTAGCATTATATTGAAGAACATTGAATAGATTTTCCCTGGAGTGTCCAGACTCTACATGGACTGAGAATATAGACAGGTGATCAGTGGGGTTTAGGGGTATGGCCCTTCACCAGGACATAAAGCCCATTCTCAGCCCATCTTGTGAGCTGTGCCAAGTCAGAGATAACCAGCTCCACACACAGTTGTGTCTTTCCACAAAATCAGACTTTTACTGACACTATTTCAATCACAAAAGCCATGAGCTATGAGGAGTTCCCCAGGAGGTAATTCTCCTTAGTACTTCCTGTTCACTCGGTAGCGAGAACCACAGGCATACAGGCTCAAACCACCGCACGAGTCATTCAACACTGCAAACCATACATGATAGTCAACTTCATCAATATATAAATATTCTAGATTAAATATTCCACAAACAAACAAAGTAAAATTAACATCAAGAGAAAAGAGATAGGAAAAAAGGTTAACAAACCAGTCCAGGGAGGGTGACAAAGAGGAAAACAGCCTTCTGGTCTGGGCCAGGGGGTCCATCAGTCTTGCAATGAAGAGTCTTTGATGTGTCAGAGCCTTCGGCAGCAGATGCCAGCATTGATCGCAAGTGACAGCAAGACAGTGTCAGTGAAGAGCTGCTTCAAGTTGCCGAAACTCTGCTCTTTTATGGTCACAGAATCTTCTAGTGGGGACTGATAGTGGAAGAGTGTGCTGCTTTTACGTGTCCTTATCTGGCTGGGTACAGTCTTTATCTTGTATTGGCTTATTAAGCAAAACATCTTGTCCTTGTTGGCAAAGTGCCCTATGAAATGTACAATGGAATCTGTTTCTAAGATGGAGTTACTTATGTCAAGGGTGCCCAGGAACAACCAGACCTATGATGGTGGCCCCACTGGCTCTGAGCACTAGGCAAGGAGTGGCCACTGGAGAGAAGAAAGCAGCTCTGCCACAGGAAGACCTTACGCTGCAGGAGGATCAAGAAGGGAAAGATGCAAGAACTAGGAGTGAACAGAGCAGTGGGTGCACACAAAGCCAAGACTATGGGAAATCAGGAATCTTATCAGGACAGTGAGGGAAGAGGTAAAAAGCTATAATCTCACAAAAGGATTCCCTAGAAAAATCCCAAATCCCCCACAGGACCACACATTCCAGGGAATTTAGGGCAACCATGTTTAGAATTCATTGAGTGACAAAGGATCTCACGTGGACACATTCACATCTAGAAGGAAGGTTAGACAACATGTGTCTCTTACCATGGCATAAACCAGAAATAAAATCCTAACCCCCACAATGAACCAAACAAACCCCCTCTTGGCCAAGGGAACCCCACAGAAACTTGAAAAACTGAATTTCCGGCCGTGCCATGACAGGGAGGGAGGTTGGACACGCTTCATTCTACCTTCTCCCTTTTGGGGTTTATGCACAGTTGATCAGCGTGAATATTAAGATGGAGATCATAAGACTGACAAACTGACACTCTGTGGCAATAAAATGCCTAATTCCAACTGGACGCTGGCATAGCATCACATGACAGGTAGCAGATCACAAGCCCTGAAGGAAACCTAAATATTTTACCCCAAAATATATTTCTTTGACATATTTCAAAATGGCCCTACAAAGCTGTCTCTTGTGGGGGAAATTTGCATCTGTAGAGAATCTCCTTCCCTTTTTAGGTCTTTCCCAGATCTAGGAGAGACTGAGAGATTTAACTAAGAGTCTGACACTTTTTAAGATCCAAAAAGAGACATTTACCATCCATTCTCTCTGAAGGCTGCTACCTGGAAGCTTTATTTACATAGCAAGAACCTTGGCATCCACAACCTCCCTTGTCTTAACTCAAGCATTTTGTTCTACTGACTTCAGCTCTTTAGACAAAGCTTAACTCTTTCAATCAGCTGTCAATCAGAAAATCTTTGAACCCACCTATGACCTGTAAGCCCTACTCCTCACCCCTACCTGGGAGATGTCCCACCTTTCTGGGCTGACCCAATGTACACCTTCCTTGTATTCATTTATGCCTTCACCTGTAACTTCTGTCTCCCTGAAATATATTTTAAAAAGCTATAACCCAACCACCTCAGGCACACATTTTCAGGCCGTTTTGAGACTGTACCCCAGGCCATGGTCACTCATATTGGCTCAGTAAAAAAAACCTCTTTAAATATATAACAGTATTTGGCTTTTTCATCAACCATGGGGATATTTCTGAGAGGCTGAAAGCAGACGCGGAGTTAAAGAGGCTGTCGTATTTCTTAAGAGAAGACGAGGGGCTGTGCTGAAAGCTCCAGAGCATTCTGACAAGGGACAGAATGTGTTGTGCCCTGACGTGCACCCAGGAACAGAGAAGCTTCATAATGCAGCAGGCTCCAGACCCACTCAGCTCCCACCTCTGATCTCTGCCCAGGCATAAAGGGGCAGAATGGCTCAGAGTGAGAAAGTGACGTCCAGGGAAATAGAACACCAGGTCTTGCTTAGCTATGCTGTGGGGAGGTCCAGATAAATCCAGCAGGTTCCCAATCTCCTCTGGGGAAGGCCAGTGCAGCAGCCGTAACTTAGGACCTTCCTGAATGTGCTGATACACATCATTGTTCACACAACACAACGGACTTCGATGGCTTGTCATTAGCCAACATGTCCCCACATTTGACACTCTTGCCATGGCTGGCAGCAAGGGCACAGTCTCGCTTTTGGAAGAGGAAGCCTCCTAGGCAGCTCCCCAAGATCTTGACTGAAACTGTTAGTCTCTGCAAGAAAACCAGAGGCTAATGTGCCACCATGTCAGGGAATGCTAGATTTTCTCATCAGGCTCGAGAGAACACCATGGAGCAGAAGTGCACATTCTGAGCAAGGCCATGCCAGGCTTGGATCTCACCGCTCCTCTGAGAACTGGGACAGTCCACAGCAAACATCACATCAAGCAACATCCCTGTCTAGGGGTATTATTCGATCCATCACATTGTGCCAACTCAAAGGTGCGTGTGAGTGTGCGGGTGTGTGAACACATATTCATAGCTATAAATATGCACACATATTCATGTGTGTAGAGTGTGCACAACACATACATATGTACATATTTGTATATGTATATGTTAACATACATAAATGTACATGTGCAGTTTTATGTGTATGTGTGTATACTATATGTACTAACAAAGGTATATGAAATCTGACCTCCTTATGCCTATTTTAAATTATTGACAATGACTCCCCTTCCCAAATTTACCATGAGGCAGGAACAAACTCCCTTTGCCTGTTCAGCAGAATTTGCAGATGACCCTACAGAAAGGGGATTAGAATTGTACCTGCGAGCTTGAAATCTTACAGTGATGGTTGACAGCTTTTTTCCTCCCTCCAGATTTATGGTGTTTTAATGAGCAAACCAGTGTCAGAGAATGTCATTATCCTCTCCTTTCACAGCCAAAGGAAGGATGGACCACAGCATAAGTTCATACAAACAAACTAATTGAAGCAATTTGCACTATTGCCCAAATGCTTGGCTTTTTAAATCCGTCTGTTTCAGTCTCAGTTGATTCAGAGAATATCCACATGTGGCATTATTTTTCCCTAGATAATAAATGAACTTGCCCTGTCCCCGACCCTGCCAGTAGCCGGAAGAGAAATATTGGAGAAGCAGTTGACAGGAAGCGACCACGGTCATGACTCAGCTACACACTCCTCTGCGTGCCTCTCAGCCTCCTGCTGCAATAACTCTGTTTCATAAATATTTAATATTTTAGCTATGTTTTCTTAAACCAAAAGTTGACCCTTATTCAAAGTAATCATATAAGTGATCAGTATTTGCACTGCCTGAGGACACAGGAAATTTGCATCTGGCTTCTCTGAGCCAAAATTAAACATTTATACATTTTATTCACACTGCTTGTCATTAGGCCCAACTTACTAGGGCTCTCTGCATTCGGTTCCATACTAGAAAAATACTTCCTCTTTGAAAAAAAATTACCCACGAAAATTACACTTGTTCTAGGAATGGTAATGTGCCCCTCTAAACTTCTCTAAAAGGTCTTTTCAAGGAAGTAAACATTTCTTGGGAAAATACGCTGGATCTTTCTCAGAGAATTCTACACCTAAGAGGGCTCACATGTCACTAATCATACCCCAGCACTGTTTGCTTGCTTTTGCTTTTTTTTTTTTTTTTGAAATGATTCAATTTTTAATACCAACTTTGCATCTACTCTATTATTTTCCTTTTTCTACTGACAACCAAGAAGGAAGGCAAAGCAGATAGAGGGGCAGAAGGAGAAGGAAAATAAGAAAGAAGTTGGCAGATGGAAATGAAGACTGAGAAAAGTTGTAAGATTTCTAACAACACCATGAGAGTGAATTTGAGTCATCTTTCAAAAGCTGAAGTTGAATTATTTGGGTCTTTTTCAGCCTAAGATTTAAGTAAAATATTTAACAGGATGATGGGACCAGCACCCATGAACTTAGAATAGTCTTTTCTTTGGCACTTTCTTTTCACATTTGGAATTTGACAGCTTCCAAGACAATGGGCTTGATTTGCCCTGTTTTATGTGGTCCCCCAACCTCTCAGTTAATTTCTTGGGGTCCTGAACGATGAATCTCTGCAGGAATTCCTTGGGAAATTACATGATTGGCCATTCACTTGCCTGTATTTTATTTTTAATCTTTTTTTAAACTTTTACTTGGCTTTTGATTTTTTTAAATTTTTATGGATACAAAATAGTTGTATATATTTGGTGATCTATATGGTAATTAGATACAAGTATATAATGTATGATGATTAAACCAGGGTGATTGGAATATTTATCACCACAAACATTTACCAGTTGTTTGTGTTAGAAGGATTCCAATTCCACTCTTTTAGTTATTTCAAAATATATGATAAATTATTTTTAACTATAGTTGCCCTGTTGTGCTGCCATACACTATCAGGGGTAGCTAAGGGAGAAAATACAGTCATGGGTTCTTAGTTTCAGTTTATGATTGGGCAAGTAAAGCCTCTTTCTCATTCCTCTTTTCTGCATATCACTAGAGACAGAAACTAAAAATCATGGCTTCAGGCTGCTAAAAGCCCACAACAAAACAAAACAGAAAAACAACAACAACAAAACAAGGCAGTTGGACAAGCTCGCACTCGATCTTGCTCTTTCTGTTTAACTGTATTATTTTACCCATTAACACTCCCTTCTTTATCCCTCCCTCCACACGACTCTTCCCAGCCTCTGGTAACCATCATTCTACTCTCTGTCTCCAGGAGTTCCATTTTTATGTTTTAGCTCCCACATATGAGTGAGAACACGTGATAACTTGTCTTTCTGTGCCTGGCTTATTTCACTTAACACAATGTCATCCAGTTCCATTCATGTCGTTGCATATGACAAGATTTCATTCTTCTAGTGTCTGAATCATATTCCACTGTGTCTGTGTACCACGTTTTCTTTATCCATTCATCTTTTGATAGACAATTCAGTAAAGTTGTAGAATACAAAATCAATGTACAAAAGAAGTAGCATTTCTATATACTAAAAATGAACAATCTGAAAAAGAAACCAAGAAACCAATCTCATTTACAATTGCAATAAATAAAATAAAATACTTAGATATAAACGTAACCAAATTAAAAATCTCTACAATGAAAACTATAAAAATAGATGAAAAAAACTGAAGAGGACACAAAAAAGATGGCAAGCTGTTCCATGTTTATGAATTGGAAAAATCAATATTGTTAAATATCTGTAGTACCCTAAGCAACCTAAGAATTTAATGCCATGTCTATCAAAATACCAATGACATTCTTCACAGAAATAGAAAAAATAATCCTAAAAGGAATGTGAAACCACAAAAGGACCAGAATAACCAAAGCCATCCTAAACACAAAGAACAAAGCTGGGGGCATCATATTATCTGACTTCAAATTATACTACAAAGTTATAGTAATCATTGTTTTAAAAAATTTACTTAGATGTACAAAACCAACTAATGTCAATTTAATGAATTATTATAAAGTGAACAATGCATACACATCGTCATGCAATAGAACATTGTCGTCAGCATTACAAAAATTTCCTAAGTGCCCTTTTTCAGTCATAACTCCTCCCTCCTTCTCCCTTAATAGTAATCTCAATTTTAATTTGTATGGTCCTCACATCCTTGCTTTTTCTTTATAAGCACTACTAGATTTTTATCGTTAAACACTGTGGTTTAGTGTTGCATGCCTTTTTTACTTTATGTAAACGTAACCATCCCGTATATAACCTTTCCTTTCACACAGTATTACATGTGTCAGATTCATTCACATTGATGCATATGGCTGTGGTTTCTTCATTTACTCATTACTTCTAAATCTGGGTTGTTTTCATTAGCTATTGCAAATGATGAAGTGCATGGTATTCTTATGAAGGGGTGGGTTGCCCCTCCATACCTGTGGGTGTTTCTCGTTAGGTGGAACAAGAGACTTGGAAAAGAAAAAGACACAGAGACAAAGTATAGAGAAAGAAATAAGGGGACCCAGGGGACCAGCGTTCAGCATACAGAGGATCCCGCCAGCCTCTGAGTTCCCTTAGTATTTATTGATCATTCTTGGGTGTTTCTCAGAGAGGGGGATGTGTCAGGGTCATAGGATAATAGTGGAGAGAAGGTCAGCAGATAAACACTTGAACAAATGTCTCTGCATCATAGACAAGGTAAAGAATTAAGTGCTGTGCTTTAGATATGCATACACATAAACATCTCAATGCCTTAAAGAGCAGTATTGCTGCCCCCATGTCCCACCTCCAGCCCTAAGGCAGTTTTCCCCTATCTCAGTAGATGGAACGTACAATCGGGTTTTATACCGAGACATTCCATTGCCCAGGGACGGGCAGGAGACAGATGCCTTCCTCTTGTCTCAACTGCAAGAGGCATTCCTTCCTCTTTTACTAATCCTCCTCAGCACAGACCTTTTACGGGTGTCGGGCTGGGGGACGGTCAGGTCTTTCCCTTCCCACAAGGCCATATTTCAGACTATCACATGGGGAGAAACCTTGGACAATACCTGGCTTTCCTAGGCAGAGGACCCTGCGGCCTTCTGCAGTGTTTGTGTCCCTAGGTACTTGAGATTAGGGAGTGGTGATGACTCTTAAGGAGCATGCTGCCTTCAAGCATCTGTTTAACAAAGCACATCCTGCACAGCCCTTAATCCATTGAACCCTAAGTTGACACAGCACATGTTTCAGAGAGCACAGGGTTGGGGGTAAGGTTACAGATTAACAGCATCTCAAGGCAGAAGAATTTTTCTTAGTACAGAACAAAATGGAGTCTCCTATGTCTACTTCTTTCTACACAGACACAGTAACAATCTGATCTTTCTTTTCCCCACATTCTTAAATACACTTTCAAATGTATAAACTATCATGGGGTATACACTTAAGGTTGGCACTGCTGGGTCTTTGAGCATGTGAATGTTCAACTCGCACAGACATGCTGAGCAGTTTTCCAGAGTGTTGTTCCAATTTACATCCATATCCAAGCATATGTTAGAGTTCCTATTGCTTCATATCCTTGCCAATGCTAAGTACATTCTTCCACCCTTGTGGTTTTATTTAGTATTTTCCTGATTTCTAATGAAGTTGAGTAAGTTTATATGTTTGTCAGCCACTTTATCCTGTTTTTACTTTTTTCCCATAAGGCATAATTTTTAAAGACAATTTCTGCCTCAATTTTTAGTGAGTGCCAACAATGTAACAACTTTGCTGTAAATCAAGTGATGACAGTGCAAATCTTTAATTTTGGACTCAATTCTGTAACATGTGTTTAAATGTCTGTCTTTGTGCCAATACAACCTTTTCTCAATTACTGCAGTCTAGCTATCTAGAAAAGCAAGCACTTTCGCTTTGTTCTTTGCCTCGGGGAGTGCCTTGCCTACTTTTGCCTTCCTTGAGATACAGAATAGAGAAGAGGAATAAAAGCTTCAAGAATTTGTCTAAGAGCAAGCAGGTGATGAGCACACCCTCCTCCCGGAGCCTGGCTAATCAGCTCTTATCTCATTTAGACCATCCATTTGCACAGTCCACAGTAGGTGATGGTGTTCCTCCACAGAGGTGATATTCACGAGGCTCAGGCACATGCTCACCACTTTTCTATTCTTTACTCTTTCCTGCATCTCCCACATTGGGGTCATTTTTTCCTACCCTTCAGTATTTCTTTCAGTGCACATTTGCTGGTGACATATTTTGTGGTTGTGTTTTCCTGAAACCTATTTAATCTTCATCCTTGAAGGACAGTTCTGCTGGGGCAGCAGTTACTTTCACTCCATTGTTTTCTGCTTTTTTTGCTTATTTGTCAGCTAGATGAGGAGCCAGCTGTCATTCATTGATGTTTCTTCTGGCTGCCTTCAAGAGATTCTCACCATCTCTTGCTTCAGGTTTCTCAATGATATGTGGAGGTGTATCTTTCTTTTATGCATGCTGTTTGAGGTTTGCCAATTGATGTTATTTACCAGTTTCAGAAAATTCTCAGTCACCGTTCTTTCAAATTTCACTTCTGCCCATCATGCCCCATCCCTTCTTCTGTGTCTGCAATTCAGTGTATATTAAATCGACTTTCTATGTCCTCTACTTCTTTTACCTTCTTTTATGTATGCAGGATTCTTGTGACTTGCTGTGATCCATTCTGGAGAGATTTTTTTCCGAATAACTTCCAGTTTACAAATTACTTCTTAAGCTGTGTCTAGTAAGCTATGAAGCTAGTTCATTGTATTTTTAATTTCAGTTTTTATATTTTTATTTCTAGAAGTTCCCACTTGTTCTTTTTTAAGTATGCTGTCACTTTCTATAGTCTTCAGCTCTCTACTACATTTTTTTATTTTTTCTTGTATCTCCTTGAACAAACAAGTATAGTAATTTTGAAATTGGTGTCTGATAAATCTAGTTAAAATTGAAGATTCCTTAGGATTGTCTATGTAGACCATCATGTCATTTGCAAAAAGAGAGTGTTTTACTTCCAACTTCTTTTTCTTTTTTTTTTTGAGGCGGAGTTTTACTCTTGTTGCCCAGGCTGGAGTGCAGCGGCACGATCTTGGCTCACTGCCACCTCCGCCTCCCAGGTTCAAGTGATTCTCCTGCCTCAGCCTCCTGAGTAGCTGAGATTACAGGCGCCTGCCACCACGCCCAGCTAATTTTGTATTTTTAGTAGAGACGAGGTTTCACCATGTTGGCCAGGCTGGCCTTCAACTCCTGACCTCAGGTGATCCACCCGCATTGGCATCCCAAAGTGCTGGGATTACAGGCATGAGCCACCACTCCCGGCCTTACTCCTTACTTCCAACTTTCTATCTTTATTCGTTTTTTCTTTGTTTGTTTTGTTTTTGTTTTTTTGTTTTGTTTTGTTTTTGTTTTTGCCTTATTGCCCTCACCAGAACTAACAGAAAAATGTTCGATAGACATGCTAAGAGCCAACATCCTGGGTTCTAATCTTAAGGGAAAAACATTTAATTTTTCACCATGAAGCTGCCGTGGCTCTAACTCATGTGAACACCGCCTCGGCCTCCTTCTTATCCTGTCCCTGCTTGTCATCCTTGACCTGCACATTTGGAGGCAGCCTCCATCCAGTTTCCATTTTCACGTCCTGGGTAAATAAGGCCCCACACCCTGAACTACTTGACCACTTTACTTCTGTTTTAAGCCTAGTAGACCTGATAATGCAACCCTGGAGTCCCTATGCTTAGCTCCCTTCAAATTAACCAGTCCAATCCTGTCCCAGGAAACCCACCCACATGATGTTCTGGACCCCATAAAGGCTGCAGCTCACATGTTATCCCTCTCTCTGTCTTGCCCCCACCGGTTGACTGCGTATGTCTCGACAGCTCCCTGTGTTCCATGGGCCCTTCGAGGCATGCTGCCCGCTTTTCCCTGGGACCTGTGAGTAGGAGAAATATTTTCATGGTTCCAGTCTGAGTGGCCCTCACAGTGCTGTACCCGACTACACCAAACCTAACCTAAATACCTCAGTCAACACATCACAGCCTAAGTGCAATGGATGTTAAAAGTTCTTTATGTAGATGCCTTTTATCAAGTTAAGGAAGTGTTTTTCTGTTCTAAATGTGCTGAGAATTTTCATCATTAATGAGTGTTGAATGTTGTCAAATGCATTCTTTGCACCTATTGAGATCTTGCATGAATTTTCTCCTCTTTTCAAGTGGTGAATGACATTGATTAGTTTGCAAATGATCACCAACTTTGCATTTCTGGGATCCACTTCACCTCTCCAAGATGTGTGTATGTAGGTATATATGTATGGTGTATGCATGTAGCATGTATAATGTGTGTATGTAGTGTGTGTATATGTATGATGTATTTGTGTGTATATGTACATATATGCGTATGATGCTGCATTTTGTTTGCTAATCCATTGCTAAGAATCTTTTGTCTAGATTGAGAAGGATGTTGGTCATTTTCTCTTATTTTAATGATTTTGCATGGTTTTGACTTTAGACTATGCGAGACTCTTAAAATGGCTTTGGAATTGTTCCCTCATTTACAATGTTCTGACAGTGTGTGTAAGATTGTTATTTTTTCTTCCTTAAATATTTAATAGAGTTCTTGTCGGTGTCCTTGTCCTTGCACCTGAACAGCGACCGTGTGACATTATAACTTGGCTTCAAGTCATGAGAACTCAATCAGTCCATGTCCAGTGGAGTGTTAGTGCTTCCACAATCGTTGACTAAGCCCATGCCTGGCCTTTGTCACTGTTGGAGGTACGCAGGAGCAGGCAGGGACCATGCTGCATGGGGCTCTGCAAGAGTCAAGCACAGGCTGCACGGGAACAGCCAGGGTGTCCACTTGTGCCTTCCTGGGGAGCTCGGGAGACCCTCCTGGGAGAAGTGATATTTGAAAATACTGCTTTGCTATATGGTGGTCTGAAACGCTTTAGGCACCGTTAAAGATTTAATTTCATTTTCTAGATTTTTTAATACTCTTAAAATTCTCTAATTCTCTTTCAATGAATTGTTTCAGATGGAAAAAGTCTATGCTAAATACTAGAGGCAAAAAAAGAGAGTGGCCTCCTTGAGACCTTCAGAAGGGTCTCTTAGCCAGAGTGGAGAGTCAGGGGGTGAAGTGCAAGGGTCAGACTGAGCAGCTGGCCAGGTCCCAACCTTTCAGACGCCAGCTAAGGCAGTGGAGCCTGACCGAGAGGGCTCTGGGGAGTCAACAGGGGGATGCTGGGGCTTCTGGTGCATGCACTGGGCAGAGGGAGGAGCCTGGCCTTGAGATGCAAGTCAGAGAGAATGCTCAGGTCAGCAAGGAGAGAGAAAGCTGGTTCAGGCTGGGAACGGTGAGTGGGAGGGGCCTTGGCACAGCCAAGTGGGTGGTCCTGTGGACAGCTGGGGAAATGCCTATGCAGGGGAAACAGCAGGGACAGGCCTGGAGATGTAGACCCTGCTTCCTCTGTGGCAGAAGTCCCCAGTGGCCATGAGAGTGGATGAACACCCACAGTGAAAAGAGGAGGAGGCTACCCACAGAGCCCATGGGAATCCCTACACTCAAGGCCCAGGAGGAGGAGGAGACGCTCTCAGAGAAACTCAGAAGTACCCCCCAAGAGACACAGAAAGAGGCCAGTGTTGGTAATGTCACATACACCCAGAGAGGGTCAATGTGATTGAGGAACAGAGTGTCTTCCTTCACTTTCCTTCTGACCAGCACCTCTGATTGCCCCAAACATACCATTACCACAACTCCCAGAATGTTCCAGTTACCTCTGACTAGGGCCGGAGATGACAGGGAGCTTGCGGCTTCAGCCCCACAGGGCACGTTTGCTTCCAGCTTCCGCTACAGACACGCACACAGATGTCCACCAGCAGCTGGGTCTCCTGCAGCCCCAGGGGTCATGGGTAGACCCTGGAGATACTTACCACCTTCCAGGTAACCCAGCTGGTCATAGTCACACTCAAAGAGGCACCTTCCACAGGTGAGTTTGTGCCAAAGAGAGGCAGGCAGCCAAGGAGCAGGGTTGGGAACTTGGCAGAGCTCTGGAGCTAAGACCGCTTTGAAGATGGAGCCCTTCCTTTCTTCCTGGAGCTCATCGAGGACAGGAGGTGAATATAAGCACATCTTTTTCTCAGTAATCAAAGTTTGATTTTAAATTCTGTAGCCTGGGTGGTAACTCCTGGAGGTTAAGTGCTTTCTAGTTTGCTTTGCGTGTGATAGCTGGTGGCAATGGCAAACAGGGCTTGGGGAGAACAAATGCAGTTAGGAAAGGAGATGGTTTGAAATGCAAATTCCCCATCCACCTCCCAAAATATTCGCTCCTGCACTGTCCGTGTAGTCAGCGAAAGATTCAGAGAGAGAGAGGGGCGGGAGCACCATGTGCGGAAGCCAAGCGTGGGATGTGAAGATGACCCACATGGCGCCAAGAAGAGCCACTGAGCATGAAGCCAGCTTTGATCTCCAGCTGCTGGATGCCCAGAGATGTTTTAAACTCTTCTAAACCTTTAGTTGTCTTATCTCTGCAAAGGGGAGCATAGCGTCTCACCTAGTTAGCCTCAGTTTTGTGAAGACGAAATGAGATGACATAGATAACTGGTCCATGCGCTGCACGGTGGAGTGAACGTGCTGGTCTTATGGAGGGATGGGCCACCTCTGCTCAGGGTGGGTGAAGAGGAAGTAAATGTCATCCCACACTTAAGTTCAGAAGACCAAAGGCACAGCAGCTTGATGAACACGTGCAGCTTAGCAGAGGTTTAAGTGGTCAATAGGTCAAGTTGGGTCAACAGTGTGATGGCATCACAGAGAAGTTCATGGGCCTGCAGACCAGCCAGATAGACACAAGACACCAGGGATGACAGGTGTAAAGGAGTCAGGGCCCCACTTGCTCCACTCCACAGTCCTCTGTGACACTCTAAGCATCGAATGAGCCAGAGATTGGAGGAGTGGCTTGCACTGGGTTGGATTCAGATTTGGGCACCAGCGTCTAGGCACCTGGACTACCTCCTGAGAAGAGTGATCAGGAATCGAGGGGTCAGAAAACAAGAGGAGCAGGAAATGGTTGAAGAGGTGTCTAACTGGCATCGTCTCCTGGGACATAACTGCTGAGATGATTGTCAGAGGCGAGGCTGGGCTTGTTCTAAATGGCTCCTGAAAGCAGAAATTCCAAGACTGAGAGGCCGAGTCACCAGGGAGATAAGAGTTTCATCATCTCAACTAGGAGAAGCTTAATAGCAGAAAGTAGCTGAACCTCCACAGGACCCTTGACAGGCAGCTCACGCTCAGTCTCAGCCTATATCCAACATGGCAGAGAGATTTCCAATTTCGTTTTAGGGTAGGTCAGACTGAATGATGTCTAGAACCTTCCAGCAACCTCCAAGTGCTGGAAGATTTGCAATGGGCCATTCACAGTTCCCTAATTGCTTCCCAAGTTCCTTATAGGGATCTGTAATATCTTATATGCAAACCAGGTGGTTACAGACACATGTATCATATTTTTCTGAAGAGTGGCACAGAGTACTTTGGAAAATAATCCAATCTCATGTGGACTGTGTCTCAGTGGGCAAGTGACAGACATGAGGATGGGGTCACAGTGCCTGAGGCATGAGCTGAGAATGGCCATCCCTGTTACTGAGAGAGCTGCTGGCAGAGATAATCCAGGGCACCAGAATTGACATGAAAAAGCAGCAAACCAGAAACCACAGGCACAGCGGGAAGCCTCCTGCCAGCCCACTGCCGCCAATGGGAATGGTAGCCCTGCTCTGCCCTCAACATGGCAAAATAAAATGAGAGCGCAAACCGACCATTCCCTTATCCTGAAAGATCTGGAACAAAATCTGTGCAAGAACCCATCTCAGATCCAGTGGCGGGTAAGCAAGGAATGCAGCTCTCCACAGACAGGAATCAACAAAGAAACACCTCCCCAGATGCATAGTGATTTAGTCACCAAAAGAAAAGTAATAATCTGTGTAATCAGAAACGTCCTCCTAAGAACCAGGCTTACCGTAGTATCCAAAGGAAAGTTTACATTGCAGTTTTGAATTTTTTTGTAAGGTTTCAAATGGCAGAGCACTCTGCAATGAGGACTACTGCTCTCAGTTGAAAAACACGATTTCTGAATTACAAAGGACAATGGAGGGAGAGAGCAGAATTGAACCCTGGCAAAAGTGTCATCAGTGAACTGCAGGACCAGCTGGAGGAAGCCTCCCCAGACTCCAGAGGAAAAGCATCAGGAGAAAAATAGAAGCAAAATATAAAACAAAATCACATGATATGTGCTCTTAACACTAAGTGGTGAAAAGCGCAGGCTGTGGAAATGCAGTCCCTGGGGTTCAAACACAGGCTCTGCCGCTTACTGACTTCGTGAGTTCCGGCGAGTTCACCACCTTCAGAGTCTCTGTGTTCACAATTAAAATATGAGGTTGCTTGTTGAGTTGTTCTGAGGATTGAAGGGGGTAATGGAGTCCACAGCAATTGCCAAGCACATATTCAGCACGTGATAAACAATAGCCTTTTTTAACCTCAAAAAAGAAAATCCTGCCAACAATTACAATGGAAAACGTATAAAAAGTACATCTGAACACAACATGGCAAAATGTGTAAAGTTGAAGACTTATGAGAAGCTATTATAAATGTGCTCAACATGTAAAGCAGTTTAACCAGGAAAGGGTAAGAATCAGGTTGGTTTTGGATGTTTCTTCTTCAGAGGGTGTTGACGACGTCTTCTCCGAATCTCTGTGGGCACCTCCCTTACTGAGGTCCACAGGCCACCCTGGTTCACCCAGCGTTACAGGACGCAAAGGCCGGTGCCCAGTCCTGATGCCACTGCTGCCTGTGTAAGGCTCCTGCCTCCTTCACAGAGGACATGGAGAAAACACACGTGGTTTCTGCTAAATCATGGAGTATTACTGAGCATTATGGAGCACAGGTGAGCATGGCCCGCACTAAAAAGCAAATGGATAATACTGGCCGGGCGCGGTGGCTCATGCCTGTAATCCCAGCACTTTGGGAGGCCGAAGCAGGCGGATCACCTGAGGTCGGGAGTTCAAGACCAGCCTGGCCAACATGGAAAAACCCTGTCTCTACTAAAAAATACAAAATTAGCCAGGCATGGTGGCACATGCCTGTAATCCCAGCTACTCGGGAGGCTGAGGCAGGAGAATCACTTGAATCTGGGAGGCGGAGGTTGCGGTGAGCCGAGATCGCGTCATTGCACTCCAGCCTGGGCAAAAAGAGCAAAACTCCATCTCAAAAAAAAAAAAAAAAAAAAAAAGAAAGAAAAGAGAAAAAGGATAATACTGGCCATTGACGATCAAAAAATAAACGTATGATAAATGCTGCCATGGTTTTCCACAAAAACAGGTAGTGTCTAAAAAAATTATTTTTAAACAATAAAGAAGTAAATAAAATGAGCCTCTAATTTAAGAACCTAAGAAAAGAATCATGAAATAAAGAGAAAAGAGAAATCAATACAGTTAAAAAGAGGAAGAAATCCATTTAAAGTAGTAGAGCTCATGAATTTTGTTTGTGGGCTTTTAATTATGGCAAAAACTGATGATAAGAACTAGAAAAACATGGGAGTTATAGTCAAGCAGAGGAAAAGAGAAAAGGAAAATGTAAAACCCGGGTATGAAAACGGGTGAAATCACAGGCAGGGAGCAACTTTTACAAACTGTCATGAGAAAATACCTTCAGAACTAGGACTAACTCTCTTCGTGTTCATGATTTTAGTAAATACTCCAAACCTGTAAGTTTAAAATCTGCCTAAATGTTAGCAGCACGAGGCCAGGGATCTGGGGCTGTTTTGTTCAGAAACAACACGGAAGTCTCTGCAGAGTGCCTGGCCCTGAGCAAGTGGTCAATGAATGTTTGTTGAATGAATGAATGAGTGAAGAGAGGGAGACAGGAAAAAGAAAGGAAATCTGCAAAAACTTAAAGATATTTTTAGGAAAGCAAACATTTCCAAACTTATTTAAGACAATGCTAGAAAATATAAATGAACCAGTAGCCATGAAAGAAATAGCCCCAAAGGTTAGACTAAGGTTACTTCCGTCATATAATATATTATGCAATAATGAAATATAGAATGAGATAGAGCCATATATATTCACATGGAAAGGTTTCAAAGATTTATTATTAAAAGAAAAGGGCAAGTTGAATAATATACATTCAGAATTATTCAATTTTATTAAAAATGCAAAGAGGAAAATTTTATATTTCTATATGTCTTATACGTGCTTTGAAATAAATAGAAAAAAATTTGTAAGAATCCATAGCTGGTGGCTGTGTTCACTTCTGCTGATGGAACAGGAAAGGGAGAATGGAATAATCCAGAGAGATTTTTGCTTTATCTGTATATTTAAAATTTCACGTAACAAAAGCATATTCATATATGGCTTACAGTTAAAAATTAATTTAAAAGATGAAATGTTTAAAGTTGCCCAAGAGCTAACCTCATAAAATATGCCAGGTGCAGGCATTTTTATGAGCAGGTTATTTCAAAACCAAAAACAGATCATTCTAATGCTATTTAAATTATTTCAGCACATAGAAATTTGGAAAGCTTCCCAGTTCATTGCACGTAACCCTGACACCAAAAAAAATTTTAGAAGCACAAAAATAAAACTATATAATAATCTTAGGTATAAATAAATATTTTTAAATTCTAAACAAGTACTAGCAAATATAATTTTTCTAATCTCTTAATATATCAAAATAACAGAAATGACCAAAATATTTTTTCTAGAAACATGAATAAATGTATTAATATAATTCATCATAGTAAGTAAGTCCAAGAAAAACAAACTATATCATTATCATAATAACTGCCTGGAAGCCATTTGGCCAAGTTGAATATTCATTTCTGATTTTTATAGATTACTTATAAAATGAGGATAGAAGAATATTGCTCAGAATATTTTAAAATAAAATAAAAAAGATTTATTTCAAACTATTAGCCCTTGCTATTTGTATATAGTAGAAAAATACAAACTGTTTTCTCCTGCTATACTCTCAACACTCAATACAAAATGCTTCTCTGGCCAGATGTGTGGGTTTTTTCCCCATACACCAAGCAATTCACCAGTGGATACCAGTTGAGCATCCTAAGATTTAATTCATTTCTGACACTGATCCGAGTTAGCACAGGCCCAACAGGCCAGGGGCTCAGTCCCACAAGACTGCCCCACCCCAGATGCCAATCACAAGTCCAGGCCTCCAGTACTTCTGACTGTTCAGCTATAAATTGAGGATTCTCACTACCACCTCCCTTGGCCCTGATTATTTGCTAGAAAGTCTACTGATGGCTTATTATAAAGGAATTTACAAAGGATACAGATGAACATTCAGATGGAAGAGATGCACAGGGCAAGGTATGGGAGTGTGGTGGGGGCACAGAGCTCCCAGGACTTCTTCCGTGCACCACGACCCTCCACCTCTAGAGACCACCACGCTCTTCCATGCATCACCTCTTCCACCCACCACCACCCTACACCTCTACATTCAGCAACTCAGAACTCTCTAGGTTTTTTATGGAGGCTTTGTCACGTAGGCATGATCAGCTATGAACTCGACTTCCAGACCCTCCGGACTTCCCCCTGGAGCTCCAAGCTCCTAATCCTGGCTCGGTCTTTCTGCTGACCAGTGCCTATCCAGGAGCCCACCAAGGGCCACCTCATTAGAGCAAAAGATGCTCCTATCACCAAGGCAATTCCGAGAATTTAGGAGCTCTGCAGCTGAAACCAAGGCACTTCCGAGAATTTAGGAGCTCTGCAGCTGAAACCAGGATCAAAGATAGAATATGAGGGCAAAAGATGCTCCTAGAACCCCTATTGCTCAGGAAATTACAAGGGTTTCACAAGCTCCATGGCTGGAATCAGTGACAAAAACCAAATGTAGATTCCTCTTATAAGTGACAGTATCACACAACTAAAGCAAAGTTGTTCATCATCACTACTATCTCTGAAATCAGTGCAAATTTTAAAATATAAAGAATTTCTGTTGTGATTTTTATAGACAATATGATTTAATGTCTATTGAAATTGCATTAAATCTACAGAGTTAATTGCAACAGATTTAACACTATAAATTTAATGCAATTTCAATAGAAATCAAACATAGTTTGACTTGACAAAATTTTTTAAATCACTTTGAAAAAGAAAATGTATCGGAATATTAGAGAAGAAGACAAAAAGAAGAGTAATAAAGGCGCTTGCCCTATAAAATATCAAAAAATGCATCATGAGAATACCACATAAGTGTCTCACACAAATACAACACACGAGGTATGGGGGAAGGGGTTCAGGGTATTGGAATGAAAAATAAATTAAGAACAAATCCAAGTACATACAACTACTTAAACTATGGCAGTGGGATTTCAAATAAGTGGGGGGAAGATGACTTATTCGATAAGTGGGTGTTGAGAAAACAGGAAACCATAGGGAAGTAATGTCTAGATCCCTCTTGTATGACCTATATTAAAACGCATCTTTGGTGGGTCAAAAACTTAAATGTGAAGTAAGCCATAACTGTATTAAAAGAAAATGCAGATGAATTTAACATGTAGAGGAAAGGAGAGTCTAAACATAATGGCAGGTAAAAGAAACAACAGCTACACTCGCCTGTATAAAACACAAAACTCTGTATCGGAGAGTACCATAAACAAAATTTGAGTGAACAAACTCTGGGGAAATATTGAAGGCACACCTGACCAAGGTTTAATATTCCTAATACATAAAAACTTATAAGAAATCCATTTTAAAAGCTTACTGTGGAATAGAAATACATGCAAAGTCGATTCACAAGAGAAAACTAGCTCATAAACATATGAAAACATTCAGTCTCAAGAGGAATGAAAGAAATGTAAACCGTAACAACATAACAGTCAAGCTGAAAAACAGATTGTTTCACATTCTTAATATGCTAATAAAAACAGTAATAGAACCCAAATAACACTCATGTAAAAATAAAATTCAACGTTTATAATGCATTTGATACAATTAGACACCCATTCCTGATTTACAGAAAGAAAAAAAAAACAACTTTTGAAAGCTTGGCATATTAAAATAGTTCTACTACGTGTAGAATCATAATTTATAATTAAATACTAAAAGCCTCTAGTAAAATAAGGAAAAGCCAATCCATTAACTCTCACCATAACTACTTAAATTGCTTCAGACGTATGGCCAATGCACTAAATCATGAAACAGAAAAGAAAAAAAGGGTAGATTTACCTTGAAGGGAGATTTCTTTAATCAAAGAGAGAGGCAAAAATTGCAGCAAACTGAAGTGATCATGCAAAGTCAGAAATAAAATTATAAAACCTAGATAAAAATATTTAAAACAGCTGGTGGCAGATACCTGGAAAGCAGGAAACAGTGGGCAAAAACCAGGGGATAGTTCATACTATTTTAAAAAAATGCAACTGACAGGAGTAAGAATTGTGAATTGGTGGCATTTGAGGACAGAGGGAGCTGCCCAGCACCCAGGCTGTGGCTGCAGAAATGACAGGCAGCCCACCCTCTGACCGCACAAAATCAGAAGTCAAAACAGGAAAGTGCTGGCAGTCTCAAGGGGAGACTGGGAGTGAGTGCTCTGCAGGAGTAAGAAAAAATTTAAATATGAACCTCTCCCAGATCAGGGGCTGGCAGCTAAGCTGTGCCTATGTGGGGAACACTACAGGGACTCAATGGAAAAGCCACAAGATCAGGGAGGGAGCTCGTCTTGGAAATTGGAGCTGCACAGGTGAGATGTGTGAGTTTACTGCTTTAAGTGAGAACATTCCCGATCCTGCAGCTCAGGTGGCAGAAAGCTAGCGCCTCCTGGGCTTGGCATGTCACAGGACAGAGATTTAGAGGGCAGAGCTGCTGGAAATTCAGAAGGAATCTCCAGAAATAAGAAAACCCCAGAAAAGCCGAGCCCCCAAATTTGAGTATAATCTTAGCCCAAATCTTTGAAGGATTGCTAAATTATTCAAGCAATGGTTAAATACCAAATACATAAAGAGCTATGACAAATTGGCTTTAAAAGTAATAATAAAATATAAATATTGACAAATGCAATTTACAAAAGCTGCATAACTGCAGCTGAAATACTTGAAACCAGAGTACAGATTTCAGCAGCTGCATAATGCAATAAAAGCAAAGTTTGTAATTTGAGGCCAGGCAGATTAACTACAAGGTAGAATAAAAATAAATAAACACTCAGAACACAACAGATTCCAGAATCACTACACCATACCATCTACAGTGTTTAATTTTTAAACCTAGGTTAGTAGACATGCACATAAGCAGAAGAGTTCAATCTATACCCAGGAAAAGGAGGCAGTCAATAGGCAGTATTGGTGACTTAGATGTTGGTTTTAGCAAACAAATATTTCAAAGCAACTCTTAGAATTAAATAATAAAAAAAAAATCTCAACTGAGAAATGAAAAATATAAAAATGAAAAATTCTAGAGTGGAAAAATATAATAACTAAAGATTGATGATGACACAGAAGAAAGGGCCGGTTAACTTGTATGCAGATAAAAAGAAATTAATGAGTCTGAAGAACAGCAAGAAACAAGATTGAGAGCCTCAGAGACAATATCGAGCAGTCCATAATATATATTGTTAGAGTCCCACTGGAAAAGGAGATAAAACGGGACAAAAAAAAAAATCCTGTGAAGAAATATGATACAAAAACTTTCCAAAGTTGGTGGGAAATGTTAACTTACAGATCCAAAAACGGCGGTGAACTCCCAGTAAGCGAAACACAAAGAAACCACTGCTAGTTACATACCAATAAAACTGCTGGGACTGCAGGGCACGGTGGCTCATGCCTGTAATCCCAGCACTTTGGGAGGACGAGGCAGTGGATTACTTGAGGTCAGGAGTTTGAAACCAGCCTGGCCCACATGGTGAAAACCCGTCTCTACTAAAAATACAAAAAAATTAGTCGGGCATGGTGGCACGTGCCTGTAATCCCAGCTACTCAGGAGGCTGAGGCAGGAGAATCACTTGAACCCAGGAGGCAGAGGTTGCAGTGAGCCGAGATTGCATCACTGCACTCCAGCCTGGGAGACAGAGCAAGACTCCATCTCAAAAAAGAAAAAATCTGCTGAAACTAAACAGAAATTTTTTTTTCCTAAAGCCAGAAAAAATAATTTGTTACATACAGAAAAACAATAATATAATTAACAGTCAGCTTCACTAGAAACTGTGGTAGCCTTAGGAATTTTTTTACACTCTGATAGAAAAGCAAATGTTTAACAAAACCTCTACATTTAGCAAAACTCTCCATCTTTAGTGTAGATGAAATGAAGACACCTTCAGATAAACAAAAGCTGAGACAATCAGTCACCAGTAGACATACACAACAAGAAATGTTAAGGGGCTTTCTTCAGGCTGGAGAGAGAGAACACCTGTGAGAACCTTAGGTGCACGGGAAGAGGCGCCATGGGCCTCCACATCTATGAGTTCCACATATGTGGATTTGACCAACTGTAGATAGAAAAATAATGAAAAGAAAACCTGCCTCTCTAGTGAATATGTGTGGACTTTTTTGTTATTATTTTCTAAACAATACAGTATAACAGCTATTTACATAGCATTTGCATGGTATTAGGTTTAAGTAACCTAGAGATGATTTAAAGTATATGGGAGGATGTGCGTAGGTTACATGTAAGTACTGTGCCATTTTATATTATGGCCTTTACCAAAGATTTTGGTTCCAAGGGAGGTCCTGGAACCAACTGTCCATGGCTACTAATGGATGTCTGTATAGAGCAACAGAAATATGAACTATATGGCTAAATAAAAGTGGTTACACATTTTTTCCTTTCTTCTTTTCTTTGAAACATATATGATTGTTTAACTGAAAATCATAACACGGGATTGATTTATAATGTATATAAATGTAACATACATGGTAACAACAATAATAAGGATAAGAGAAATGCAAATCTGTTTTGCAAGTTTCCTCTACTTTACCTCGAGTAATTCCATATTAACACTGAGTAGACTGAGATAAATTAAAGATGAATACTATAATCCCAAGAGCTTGCCACCTACAATTAATTCAGAGTTAACGTAGCTAGGAAGACAATAGAATTTAAATGAAAAAGTCTAAACTTCCTGATTAATAAAAAGTATGACTAAAACAAGAGGCAAATAAATAAAACAAATAGAAAATAAGTGACAAAATGGCAGACCAAAATAGAACTATATCAATGACTACATTAAATGTAAATGGATTAAACACTTTTATTAAAAGGCAGGTTTTACCAGTCTTAAGAGAAAAAAACAAACAAACTGATATTTACAAAAGTTGTCATTTAAATGCAAAGATACAAAGAAAGTAAAAGAATGGAAAAAGATACACCATGTAATGAGTAAGCATAAACATGCTACAATGACTATGTTAACATGAGACAAAAGAGACTTCAAGACATGGAGGATTGTTAATAAAAAAGAGATATTTTACAATGACAACAAAGCCAATGCATCAGGAAGGTGTAACAATCATAACAACAATGTGTCAAAATCCATTTGCCAAAAACTGAGAGAAATATAGGGAGAAATAAATTTACAGTGAAAGTTAGAGGATTTAACACAATTTCTTCAATAATTGATAGACCAACTTAAAAATGAGTAAGGATACAGAAGATTTGATATTGACATTATCAACCATCTTAACTTAACAGAAAATTGTAGAGCACTACCTCTAATCACTACAGAATACGTTTTTTTTTCAAGTGTAGGAGGAATAGTCACCAAAATAAACTATATGCTAAGCCATAAATTCTGTTGTAATCAGAGAATATTTTCTACAATATTTCAATCTTTCAATTTTAAAAGATTAAAATACTGTAGAAAATATTCTCTGATTACAACAGAATTAGGTTAGATAACTACAACAATAAAACATCTTTAGAAATCCAAATATCCATAGATTAAACACTTGAGCTTTAAATAATCCACAGGCAAAAGAAGAAATTAGAAAAAGAATTGAGATAATACGTTGAACCAAATGAAAATTAAAAGGCAACATATCAGAATGTGAGGAAACAGCTAAGGAAGTGCTTAGACTAAAATCCAAAGCTTTAAAGGTTAGTGTCAGTAAAGAATAAAAATTTTAAATTTAATAATGTAAATTTCTACTTCAAGTAGGTAAAAAAAAGAACAATTAAACTCAAAGATAGGTAGAAGGAAATAAATAATGAAAAGAATCAATGGAATCAAAACAGAAAAAGTCAAGGGAAGTTGGTTTCTTTGAAAAAGACCTATAAAATTGAGAAACCTGCACAACAAAAAGAGAGGACACAGGTTACGAATACCAGGAATAAAAGAGGAGACACTACTACGGGCTCTATGGATATTAACGTGATAATAAGGGAATGATAAAAACAATGTTATGTCTATAAATTTGATGCCTAAGGTTGAAAAACACAAATTGTCAAAAGTGGCACAAGAACACACAAAAATGAGCAAGAGTGATGGAGGGAAAAACAGAAAATTTCTAACCTCATTGCAGGAGCTGTCTCACTGGGGTGGGTGAGATTGTGTAACACATTTGTCACAGAAAACTCGCATCCTACCAGCTGAAAAGAGCACCCTCCTCCCACAGGGACTGAGAATAACACCCTCTGATGCAGGATGAACCTTCATGAAACACAGTCAGCAGCAGTGTGGAGGGCCACCCAGTCTATCCCTGTGGGAGAACAGAACTATCCCATCCCCTCAACACCACCTGGGGACAGCAGAAGGGGCCTTGACCCTCCTTTATGTGGCCAGGCAGATGGCTGCCATTGTGGCTCTGCAGGAGCTTCCCCATTACTTCATGGTGCTTTCCTTAGCCTGGTGCATCCTCACTCTGACTCCGTAGTCATGAGGCCGAGGTCTGCTGTGGGGGCTGCAGGGACAGAGGATGACACATGGCGCCATCCCTCAAGAGGTCAAGAGACCACCGGACAGCAGACCCACACACCAAGACAACAGTCCTCCTTGTCCAGCACTGGTGAGTGCCATCCGAGGGCCACCAAGGAAAAGGAAATCAGAGAACATTCTGGAGGAGCCTCCTCCCTCCTCTTCTTCTCCCTGGTCTTCAAGGAAAGATGGTGTCAACTGAGTCAACCTTTCAAAACTGCCTTTCTTTTGGTTTATTTGTGTTTTTCACCTATCAAAAGCAAGGGTGCACTGGTAGATGTTGAACAAGAGGTTCTTTTGCAGTGTAGTGGGGTAAGGGTGGGGAAGCTAGGGATTGTAACATGCTAATTTCCAGGATAGACATACTCCCACCATGGCCATTATCAAGTTACCAGGGTAACGTCAGCAAAGGTGGAGCTGGGAAGAGACATGCATAGTCAGTTGTGGGACCCATACGAGCCAGCTCTGGCAAAGCACTACAATTGGGCACACAAAACAAGTCCTTTCAACCCTGGCTGTTCAGTATAAAAACTCCTATAATCCATTTGGAAAGCAACTTGGAGATATTTATCAAATGCCTTCAAAGTGATCATGATTTTTAATTTAGTAATCTTATTTTTGGTCATCTATGTAACACAAAAATAGAAAGAATTATTAATTGTCATTGCTTTATAATAACAGAAATTGGAAATCACCTAAACACTTAAAGATAAGTAGACAGGAAAATCATTACAATTATTTTTAAAGATGTTTCTGGGTTGTTTATTGAAACTTTAAGAAGGTTTATGCTCTGGTGACTTCATTGCGTGGGGACACCCTGGGGGCTGTGGATATTGACCCTGCAGAACAGGCTCTACCAGGTGCATGGACTTTCTGCTTTGCCTCAGTGCCTGCCAAGGGGAAGGGAGAGGAGGTTCCAGAGAGGACCAGGCTGATGGCCTCGGGAGAGCAACTGGAGAGAGAGGAATGGGATTGAGGAGGAGATGAACTGGAGCCTGAGGATGGGGCAGGACCAAAGACAGCTCCTTCCACCCCACACCAACCTTGCCCCTACTGGTTTGCTGACCATGCAGGACAGCACATGCCAGCTGGTTGTTTACCTGTGGAAGACCACGCCTTTTGTGCCATCCCAGCAAGTGTTTAAGTCTAAATCATGGCAAATAAGTGAAACGTTTTTAACTGGAAGAGTCATCTTCTATTTTGCATTGAGCTTGCAAAGGGATCTGAGTGGTATTTTCTTTTCTTCCTCTATTCAAGGGCACATGTGCAGTGGAGAGAAGTGATTCTTCATCTTATTCATGTTTTCAAAGTGAAAAAAAATTAGGCGCAATTGTAGACCTCCTTGAGCAATAGGTTTTTGTTTGTGGATGATGAAAATGGTGTCCATGTTAAAATAGGCCAAACGCAGAGAAGATGTGGCCCATGGTCAGCTCCCGTTTGTAGTGAGCAAGTCTCACTTTCACTTGACACACAAGATGCCTTGGATGGGGAGGTCCAGCAGCCTTCCTAAGACCACAGAGCTGGTGAGGACCACAGCGCTCCCAAATCTATGTTCCCACTGCTAGAAATCATGCTTTTTCTATTGTGAATAAGTGTGAAAGTCAGAACCAAAAAGAGATATACCCTTATTTAGGTATGCCCAGTGTCTTCGCTGCTGTTTAAAAGTAAATCACATACCAAAAACAACAACAAAAGTTACAAATGAAGGCCCAGAGCCCACTCAGATGACAGCAATCACAGCAAACAGACCATTTCCAAGCACTCCCGGCTGCTGCAGCCACACTCAGCTGACACTCAGGTGATGGGTAAAAACTCGTCCCCTGTGCCTGTGACCAGGACTGGGTGTCAGATGAAAGGTACTCAGCCAGTGAGAGAACGAATCTCCCTTGTAGCTCATCTGGGGTCCCTGACAGCAGCCTAAGACACAGCTGATGAGCAGAAACAAAAGGAGTAAGAAACCTCAGCCTCAGGAACCCATGGCTTGCAGAAGCAGAGACTCAGTGTGGCTCCATGCTGGCTGCAGTGATCGAGAGCCTCTGCCTTGCTTTGGTGGCACCTGAGGCTGGGGCTGCCCCTTAGCTTTGGAGCTCCGGGGCTGGTTCCCCGCCAGTGCTGGGCAGACGAATGAATGAATGAATGAATGAATGAACAAACTAATAATGAAGGAATAAATATGGAGGTTCTCTGTCAATAGAGCCAGGCAAGCCAGCCACTGGCCAAGAGGAGTTTCTGAGGAACCCCACCCCACACAGCCCAACTCAGTTTTCCCCACCTGAAGGGGAGGCTTGGGAAAGAGGCAGCTTCATGCCAGGGCTCCCTCCACCTCAGAAGATTCTCAAACAGCAGCCACTGCCCTATGTGATCCAGCCATGAGGCCAGAGCCACACAGCTCCATGACCTCATGCCTCATGACGAGGATGCTGTCAGGGATGTGGGAACTCACGCCTCGTGACGAGGATGCTGTCAGGGATGTGGGAACTCACGCCTCGTGACGAGGACACTGTCAGGATGCTGTCATGACGAGGATGTGGGGAAGGGGCTTTGTGGTACAGTCCCTGATCATCAGGTCACGCTGTTGACCCTGGAGCTAAGTCCCTGGCAAAGCTGTCTGGCCTCTGGAACGCTGGTCTGGAAGGAAGCTGCTGCCAGCAGCTACTCCTCTAGAGGGCATGGAGACTTGGGGACGAAACAGCTGGTGCCTATGAACCTATGCACACAATGGGATGTGACTGAGGTCTGTCTGCGGGGCAAATGCAGGGAAACTCCCTTTCCTCTGCAGCTGGGTCCAGTGCCATCCATCGTACAGCGAATGCTTTGTGTTACCTTTCCTTATTACGCGCTAGTTGACAGTCCTTGGAGCAAGTCAGACTTGACTGTTTCTTCAAATTCCTCTTATTGGAAAGAGTCAGTTCCAGTTGAGCCATCTCCAATCCCATGGGGCACTGGCCCCTAAGAGAGGTGCCAGCTGCTTTGCCAGAGATGTGTATGTATGCAGGAAATGTGATTGAATGGTCAAATGAGGGGGTCTTTAGGGACTTCCCAGCAGCATGGATGCCCTTTCCCCACACCCTGGCCATCAGAGCATGCAGGGAACACACCCCTAAGGGCAGTTCCAGAAGAACTCAGCCAGCTCCACCTGGATAGAAGGGTGGGGTGGCGGCTACTGGGAGAAGCACCAGGGGGAGGGGGTGTCCCCTGTGGTCAGCTGAGCTCACTGTGAGCAGAAGCACGAACTAGTCCTGAGGCACAGGCAAGAAAGAGGAGGACACAGGAGCCCCATCCCACAGCACAGAGGCTCCATGTGGGTTCTCAGTGGGGAGAAGCTGCATGTGGCACTCAGACCCTAAGTCCCCTCTGGTTTGCCTGGGGTGTGTAACTCTGATTTAGAGATAACCCGGCTCTTCAGGAGCACAGGCTTGGCCATTCCCAACTCATCCTCTGTCTTCTGTGTCCTGTGCGAAGAGTACATTCTAAAAGCACAGTAATTAAAACCATTGGAATTCATTCATTGAGCTTATACTTATTTGGTACCTACCAAATGCAAGACACTGTTCTGATTGTGGGGGACAAAGCCATGAAGCTTATATTACAAAAGAGATGATAGGCAACAAATACCAGAACCAATAAATAGGTAAGAAAATTCAGTGTGATGAATGCTGTCACGGAGATGAAGCAAAGGCAGAGAGTGACTCAGAGAGCCAAGCTGCCTTGGCGAGGGCAGCACGGGAAGGTTTTCTGGAGAGCAGACATTGGAACTGAGACCTGAATAATGGAAAAAAACAACAGGCAGCCAATGAAACTGAATGGGAGCTCAAACGCATGAGCACACAGAGCATGATAAGGGCACATCATCACCATTTATGGGCAGAAGGTTTACTGGGTCTAGGGAGCCGGGGAAGTTGGCTGGTAATTGGACTATGTTCTGCTTTTTCGAGTAATGCACAATCTAATCCACATGTGAGTTAATGATTTAAGCGCAAAGAGCCATCACAACAGAGCCCTGGAAAATGCCACGTAGAGATTTATCTTTTCCAAGGTGGAAGGTCTGCTCGGAGCAGGGACTCAGGAGAGACAGTGTGACGTGGTGGTTAGGAAGACCATCAGCATCAGGACAATCTGGTGGATTTTCCAATCTCAGAAACAGGATGTGTGGAGACAAGCAAGAACTAAGAATGGTGGACGTCCCTGACGGTGTCAAGGAGCCACCGTGCCAGAAGAATTGCCCATCCCACCTTTATTCTTGTTGCGTGAGACCAGCAAGGCCCCCAACTCCTTAAAGCAAATATGTATATAAAATAAAACTTAAACATTTAAAAACCTCAAAATTAAAAAGTCCTCCAAATTTTTGAAATGGAAATTATCATAAATTCAACCTCACAGGGCTGGGGGAAGACTTATTGAGCGACCTAACTCACAAAAACCATTAACAGCATAAATCAGAGGGTTAATAAATTTCATGAATGAAGTGTCCCAAAAATCAATGAGAAAAAATTAGGAGAAAATGAATATGGATAGGCAATTAACAAAGGAAGGAATACAAATGGAAAATAAATGTATGAGAACATGTCACAGCTATGTCATTAAATTAATGGGAAATTTAGCAAGATAACATTCTTGTCCCGCCAGCCAAGGATTTCAATGACTTTAATATCTGTTGTTGGTGAAGCTGTAGGGAAATAAAAATGGGGGCAGTAGAAGTTCTAGGAGTCACCAGAAACATCAGGCCTACAGCAGTTTGGGTTGGGGGCTGGGCACTGCAGCGGGGAGTGTGCGCGGGTCTTACGGAGATAGCTTGGGGGAAGCACCTGAGAGGGGACCCTCGGAGGCTCTGTTTTGGGTGTACACCATGGGCTTGGAAATGCCCCAAGAGCTGGCTCGACAAGAGACAAATGGCTTTATTTGTATTTTTTTAAGCCCCACTGTGTTTTAGATCCAATACTTTAAAAAGAAATATTGCCTCTCAGTTCTGAAGTATTATTAAGAGCTTGTTGTCTCTTCAATATAAAAGCAGCACCTCCAGAAATATCTTCCTATTAGAGGCATTGATTTTTCCAGGCCTCTCATATCTTTGCTAAAGGACTTTGCTCCAGAAGCTGGTATTTCCGCACTGATGTCCTGACACGCAGATCAACAGGTGTCTGGCTGGGTGCTGGTTCTATCAAGAACAATAAACTGCAGGCACATTCCTGGCTAATAGAAATCACCTTCCAGCCCTGCTCTGAGATTGAGATTCCAGACGCCTGGCGACCGAGCTTTTACAGGGCAGGAGCTCCCGGCTCCATGCCTGGTGAAAACATATTTGCACACGGTGCATGGCAGGGCTGCTGCCTGCTCCTTGGCCTTATTAACATCACAGCTGACAAGGGTCCCGCTGGACTCTGTGCCTCGGCAGCCCTATTACCATGCTCCAGGCTCCTGTCTGCCTCTCTCCTTCCTGCCTGAGGAAGGTATTTATGGCTCCACGGGATCGTAAATGTTATGACAGTGAAAAAAATCAGACTGAGATCTCTTGTCTGACTCAGCACTGTTGAACATATATTTAGATCTTGAAATTAAAATCTCATGCCTTCAAAAGTCCTTGAGAAGATAGCAAAGGACATCTCGGTGCTGCGTTTCATGACAGAAAAGTGTTCAATCATGCACACATTATGCCACATAAAAATAAGCTCCTTTGTTAATTTGAGTCACCAGAATTTATTAATCATCTATTGTCTGTGGGACTTTGTTCTGGGGACCATAATAGCAGCTGAAATAAAAGAGGCACAATAGCCAGACTCTGCTTCCTGTGGCAATTGCAAGCCAGCGAAACACATGAACAATTAAACTCCATTAAATTCCAGCACAAGGTAAGACAACATAACGTCTAAGTGGAAAATCATGGAAGCCAAGGAAATGGAGCAATTAATTCTCAAACGAAAGGGACGTTCTGGGCAGAGAGATCACAGAGTAACCTTTTCTCTGCAAAGCTGCTCTTCCCAGCGCCCCCTATTCCAAAGACAGGCACAGTGTGCACCTGTCCCCGCTGCCAGGCCCCAGCATCACTCTGATCTGTTCCTGTCCCCCAGAGCCCATGTTTAGTTTATCCCTGGGTCCTCCCTCCCCAAGCTGCTTCTCTCTATCCCGGTGCCAAGCATCCGCTCCTGGTTTCCACTGCCTGTCCCGGGGATGGCGCCCCGCTCCAGTCTTGTTCCCCGAACGCACCAAAGCTAAAATGAATATTACAAATGTAAGTAGGAACGTGTTCTGGACTAGAACCAAGTAAGGGCTCCACGTTGCCCTCAAGCTAAAGTCTGGAGTTCTTAACAGGCTTGGGAGGTCTCCTCACGCTCCTCTCCCCACTCACACCATCTTCATCATCATCCAGCTCCTCACTGCACCCTGCTCTGCTCTGTGCGATGGTCTCCCAGACACCAGACTGGGCTCCCCCTCACTCCTGCAATGTCCATGCAACCCTCCCATCTCCCCATGGAGGTCAACTCCTCTGAGACTCCGAGGCTGGACTGCGAGGCGTCCTGCTCCTCCTACCATAGCTCCTGGCACCTTACCCAGACTGTCATTCCCATGCTGTGTGACGATGGCCTTTGAGCCAACCCAGGAGCTCCACAGGGCAGGGACAGCATCTGTCAAGGTCACCTTCTCCTCTCCAGCACCTTGCCCCGTGCCTGCCCCACAGGATATGTGGAAGCCCTTTCCATGGCGGAGACATCTACCTGGGATGTGAAGCATCAAAAACTGATAATCAGGAGATAGTGGAAAAAGTGTCTAACATGTGCAAAGGCTCAAAAGCAGAAAATATGTAGGCTTTTTAGAGAATTACAAAAAATAGGGATATGTTGAGATAGTAGGTTGGAAAGGCAGATTGAGGCCAGGTCATAGAAGGCCTTGAATGTCAGGCTAAGGAGTGAGGAGAGACTTCTACTGCCACAGACAAGATTTGCTGTCCGACCCTAAACAATCTAAGGAGAAAATCCGAAGAAACATACCAAGCAACAGTTTTCAGGATGTCAGGCTTGGGGCAATGAAGAACAGCAACATGTGAGAGTCAGGTGTGTTCATGAGGTGAGCCCTGGGATGCTGCTCCTCACTGTCTTGAGGGAGCCCCAGGCCATAGCACAAGGAAAGGGAGGCCCAGTGGGGCCTGGTGGTTCCCAGGAGTTCAGGAGACAGAACTGCAACTCTGGAAATCCAAGGTGGCCAGAATTTGAGAGGCGGAGTGCTGACCGAGAGAGAACTCTAACGTTCTGCAAAAAGAATGCCCTGAGATATTCAGCAAAGTACTGATGAGTATGGAGCGGTGGATGTGGGAGGGGCTTACATGAGGTTAGGGAAAAAGCTACCCAAAAAGATTAGAAAACAGTGCTTCACACAGGGCCGTAACTCGTGCTTGTTTCCACCAACCAGATTTAGAAACCATAATTCATCGTACATTGGGAAAAATATTCAGGAAGGTCTCGCCTTGATTGTGGGCAATGGTTATTCTAGATAGTGTACTGCCATGGACCCACTTCACAAATCAGAGAAGCAAGACCTGGAAGAATCAAGCTGTTTCCCATTAACTTAACTGTGTCTCAGAACAGCATTCAATTATATTTATGGTAATATAAAAATATCCACTACAGTCCAATTATCCCTGATGAGCATTGATGCAAAAATCCTCCCCAAAACACTAGCAAACTGAATTTAACAACATATTAAAAATATCATTCATCACGACCAAGTGGGATTTATCCCTGGGATGCACGGATGGTTCAACATACATAAATTAAACAATGTGATACATTATATCAACTGAATTAAGGACAAAAACCATATAATCGTTTCAACTGATGCTGGAAAAGCATTTGATAACATTCAACATCCCTTCATGGTAAAACCCTCAAAAAACTGGTTATAGAAGGAATATAACACAATACAATAAAAAACTATATACAACAGACCCACAGCTAGTATTACACTCAGTAGGGAAAAACAAAAAGTCTTTCTTCTAAGATCTGGAACATAAGGATGCCCGCTGTCACCACTGGTATTCAACATAGTACTCGAAGTCCTACCTAGGGCAATTAGACAGGAGAATGAAATAAAAGGCATCTAAATTGAAAAGGAAGAAGTCAAATTATCCTTGTTTGCAGATGATATAATCTTATATTTGGAAAAACCTAAACCACACCACCAAAACAACTATTAGAATTGATAAACTAATTCAGTAAAGTTGCAGGCTGCAAAGTCAACACACAAAACTCAATAACATTTCTGTATGCCAACAGCAAACAATCTGCAAATGAAATAAAGAAAGTAATCCCATTTATAATGGCTACAAATAAAATACCTAGGAATAAACTTAACCAAAGAAGTAAAAGATCTCTATAATAACAACTATAAAACATTGAAACAAGAAATTGAAGATGACATTTAACAAATGAATATTAAGAATAAATATTAAGATGTCCATGCTACCCAAAACAATCTACAGATTCAATGCCATTCCTATTAAAATACCATTGACATTCTTCACAGAAATAGAAAAAAAAAATTAAAACATATGTGGAACCACAGAATACCCAGAATAGCCAAAGCCATCCTGAGCAAAAGTACAAAACTAGAGGAATCATATTACCTGACTTTAAAGTATACTACAGAGCTATTTAACCAAAACAGCATGGTACTGGCATAAAAAGAGACACATAGACCAATGGAGCAGAATAGATAACTCAGAAATAAATTTATACATCTACAGTGAACTCATTTTCAACAAAAGTCCCAAAAACATACATTAGGGAAAGGACGTCTCTTCAATAAATGATGCTGGGAAAACTGAATATCCATATGCAGAAGAGTGAAACTTAACCCCTATCTCTTGCCATGAATCAAATCAAAATGGATTAAAGACTAAAATCTAAGAGGTGAAACTATGAAACTGCTAAAGGAAAACGTTGAGGAAACTCTCCAGGACATTAGTCTGGGCAAAGATTTCTTGAGGAATATTCTACAAGCACAGGCAACCAAAGCAAAAGTGGACAAATCAGATCACATCAAGTTAAAAGGCTTCTGCACAGCAAAGGAAACAATCAACAAAGTGAAGCAATAACCCACACAATAGGAGAAAAATTTGCAAACTATCTGGCAAAGGATTAATAACGCTTGAATATATAAAGAGCTCAAACAACTGAAAAGGAAAAATATTTAATAATTCAATTAGAAATGAGCAAAAGATATGAATAAACATTTCTCAAAAGAAGACATACAAATGCGAAACAGGTATATGAAAAGGTGCTCAACGTAACTGATCATCAGAGAAATGCAAATCAAAATTGTAATGAGATACCATCTCATCCCAGTTAAAATGGCTTTTATCCAAAAGACAGGAAATAACCAATGCTGGCAAGATTTTGGACAAAAGAGTGAGCTCATGCAGTGTTGGCGGGTATATAAAGTCATACAGCCACTTGGAGAACAGTATGGAGGCTCCTCAAAAAACTAAAAATACAATTACCATACGATCTAGCAATCCCACTGCTAGGTTGATAAAGTTTGGCTGTGTCTCCACCAAAAATCCCATCTTGAATTGTAATCCTCATAACCCCAATAATCCCCATGTCTCAAGGGCACAACTAGGTGGAGGTAATTGGATCATGGGGGGCAGTTTCCCCCACGCTGTTCTCATGACAGCGAGTGAGTTCTCAGGAGATATGATGGTTTTATAAGTGTCTGGCATTTCCCCTGCTTGCACTCACTCCATCCTGCCGCCCTGTGAAGAAGGTGCCTGCTTCTCCTTCGCCTTCCACTATGATTGTGAGTGTCCTGAGGCCTCCTCAGCAATGCGGAACTGTGAGTCAATTAAACCTCTTTCCTTTATAAATTACCCAATCTCAGGTATTTCTTCATAGCAGTGTGAGAATGGACTAATACATAGGTATATACCCAAAATAAAGGAAATCAAAGTATATCAAAGAAATACCTTCATTCCAATGCTTATTGCAGCATTATTCACAATAGCCGAGATATGAAATCAACCTAAAGTTCCATCAACAGTTGAATGAGTAAAGAAAATATGGTGCATGTTCACAATTGAATACTATCCAGCCATAACAAAAGAATGAGGTCCTTTTATTTCCAGTAACATGGTTCAAACTGGAGGACATTATGTTAAGTGAAATAAGCCTGGCACAGAAAGACAAACTTTGCATGTTCTCACTCATTTGTGGGAGCTAAAAATTAAAACAATTGAATTCATGGAGATAGAGAGTAGAATGATAGTTATCAGAGCCTGGGAAAGGTAGTGGGGCTTGGGGGCAGGTGGGAACATTTAATGGGTACAAGATGTCATTAGATAGAATAAATAGGAACCAGTATTTGACAGCACAGCAGGGCGAGTACAGCCAATGGTAATTTAATATACATTTTAAGATAACTAAAAGAGTATAATTGGAATGTTTGTAACACGAAAAAATGATAAATGCTTGTGGTGATGGATGTCCTATTTACCCTGTGTGATTATTACATATTGCACGTCTATGTCAAAGTATCTCATGTATCCCACAAACACATATATACACCTACTATGTAAATCAAAATTTTAATAGTTATATCCAGCACCTAATTAAAATGCCTGACATCTAATCAAAGATGAGCAAATACACGAAGAAATGGGGAAAAAAAACCACAAGGAGAAAAATAATCAATCAGCCAAAACCTATCCAGAACCGACACAGATGTTACATTTAGCAGACAAGGGACATTTAAAATGATTACGAATGTATTCCATATGTTCAAAAGTTTCTTAGAAACGTGAAAGATATAAACTAAAGAACAAAACAGAAATTCTAAAGTCAAAAACTCCAATGTTTGAAGTGAAAATTACACTGGATCTGTAGATTACACACTGCAGAAGAAAGGAAGAGTAAACATGAAGACGTAGCAAAAGAAATTGCTCAAAATAAAGCACAAAGAGATAAAAAAATTAGTTCCTTATGGGACAACCTTAAGAGATTTAACATACCTGTATATTGAATCTGTAAAGGGGTGGGTGGAGGGAGGAGCAGAGAGAAAAGTAAAGAAATCGTGGCTAAGAAGTTTTTTTTGGTAACTTAATTGATATTGATAAAATAATAAATCTACATATCTAAGAAGCTTAATGAATCCTGAGCTTAAAATGATGGGAAACCTGTGATAAACAGAACATCTTAAAAACAGAGAAAAACAAACTCATTATATACAAAAAAAAAAAAAAAGAAAGAAACAACCCAAGGATAAGGATGACAGTCTGTTACTCATCAGAAATAATGTTAGAAGACACAAAGCAGCCTCTTAAAGGACTGAAAGAAAAAATTATAAACCTAGAATTCTATACACAGGCTAAGTCTTTCAAAAACAAAGGCAAAATAAAGACATCTGCAGGAATGGTAATGCTAAAAGAATTTATAATGACAATAATTTATAACTTATAATGACAACGCCTACACTACCAGCAATGTGAAGGGAAATCCTCCGTACAGAAAGAAAATTATTCCAGATGGAAATACAGGTGTGCAGAAAGGAATTAGTGTACAGGAATCGGTACTTACCCTGGTAAATGTATAAGATTTTCCCCTTTTACTTAGATATCTTTCAAAGTTAATTGGCTGTTTAAAGAAAAAATAAGATAGTGTAGAGTTGATAACACATGAATAAATGAAATATTTGACAAAAATAGCTTACCAACTGAGAGGAGAAAGATGGTAGGTGCTATGTTAAGGCTCTCCTGTGTGCAGAAGTATGGTGTCTCTTCAAGATAGACTGTGATAAATTAAAGATGAATGCTATAAATCCTACAGTAATCACCAAATTTTTAAAAAGCATTATAACCAATAAGCCAACAGATGAGTAAAATTATAACATATCTACCATGAAAAGAAAGCAAAAAAAACAGGAAAGGGGGGCAAAGAAAAGATAGAACAAATAGAAAACACAGAGCAAGCTTAATTAAGAACTGAAACCTATAAAATCAATAGTCACATTAAATGTAATCTGACTAGACAGTCCAATTAAAATGAAGATATGTCAGATTGGATGAAAATCAAGACCCACGTATCTGCTTCCTATAAGAAAGCCACTTTAAATATAAACACAAAAATGAGTTAAAAGCATACGGAAAATACATATCACACTAACGCTGTCAAAAGAAAGCTGGACTATTTTATATCAGACAAAACAGTTTCAGAGCAAAGATTCTCAATAGGGACTTAGAAGGCCACTTTATAGTGAAAAGGGGATCAACTGATCAAAAAGCTCAAACAAGTGTGAAACCTTTATGAACTGAATAACTGAGTAATAACTGAAAACCTGTATGAGCTTCACAATACATTAGGCCACAACTGACCTAAGTGCAGAGAAAAACAGAAAAATGAACAATTATGACCAGAAATTCCACTACTTTTCCCTTAATAACTGATTGAAGAAGTAGAAAGAAAATCAGCAATGATATAGTCCACTTTAGCAATGCTATCAACAAACTTGTCTTAGGTTTATAGAATACTCCACCCAACAACAGCAGAATGCAGACTCCCTTCAAGTGCACACATAAAGTTTACTTGTGTAGAGCATGTTCTGGACTATAATAAGAGACTAAACAAATTGGAAAGGTTTCCAAGTCGTAAAATTATGTGCCTGAAAAAAAATGGAATTAAATTAGAAATTAATAACAGAAAGCTATGTGGAACATGCCCAGATATATGGAAACAAAATAACACACTTTTAAATAACTCATAGGTCAAAGAAACCAAGAGGTAAATTATGAAGTATTTCAAACTGAATGAAAATGAAAACGCATTATATCAGAATGTGTGGCTAAAGGAGTAATTAGGGTGGAATTTATAGCACCAAATACTTGTAGTAGAAAAGAAGAAAGGTCTTAAATCAGGGACAACAGCTTCCTTTTTAAGAAACTATAAAAATAATGGTAAATTAGACAGGACGCGGTGGCTCACACCTGTCATCCCAGAACTTAAGGAGGCAGAGGCGAGGGGATTACTTGAGGTCAGGAGTTCGAGACCAGCCTGGCCAACGTGGTGAAACCCTGCCTCTATTAAAACTACAAAAATAAGCTGGGTGTGGTGGCGGGTGCCTGTAATCCCAGCTACTCAGGAGGTTGAGGCAGGAGAATCGCTTGAACCCTGGAGGCAGAGGTTGCAGTGAGCCGAGATCGAGCGATGCACTCCAGCCTGGGCAACAGAGAAAGACTCTGTCTCAAAATAAATTAATAAATTAAATTAAATAATGGTAAATTAAACCCAAAGCAGAAGAAAGAAACGGTAAAAATGGAAACTGAAGAAAAAGAAAACAGAATGAATAAAACCAAAGCTAGTTCTTTAAGATTACATAATTGATAAACTGATCAAGAAACAAAGACAGAAGACAAAAATTACTAGATAGGAATGAGAAGTGATGACACCGTAAACTCAATCAATAGGTATTAAAAGAATAATCAGGAAACATTATGATCAACTTTAAGCCTATACATTCGAAGGCATATATTAAATGAAAGACTTATTGAAAGATACAAACTATCAAAGCTCACTGAAAAATAGACAATGTTAATAGCCTTATACCTATTTAAGAAATCAAATTTGCAGTTAAGAATACTATATACATGGCCGGGCGCGGTGGCTCACGCCTGTAATCCCAGCACTTTGGGAGGCCGAGGTGGGCGGATCACGAGGTCAGGAGATAGAGACCATCCTGGCTAATGCGGTGAAACCGCGTCTCTACTAAAAATCCAAAAAAAATTAGCCGGGCGCGGTGGCGGGCGCCTGTAGTCCCAGCTACTCGGGAGGCTGAGGCAGGAGAATGGCGTGAACCCAGGAGGCGGAGCTTGCAGGGAGCCGAGATTGCACCACTGCACTCCAGCCTGGGCGGCAGAGCAAGACTCCGTCTCAAAAAAAAAAAAAAAAAAAAAGAATATTATACACACACCTACACACACCCACCCCTCTGTGACCAGATCCCTTTATTAGTAAATTATAGAAAATATGTTAGAAAGAAATACATCAGTTCGCCACAAACATGTTCATAAAATTGAAGTGGAGGTAATACATCCCAATTCATTATTCGAGACCAGAACAACCCCAATTTCAAAATATATCATCAGAAAAAAAGAATAGATAAATATCCCTCATAAACATAGATGAAGAAATCATCTAAACACAACTTTAGCATACTATCCACCAATATATTAAAACAATAATATATCAGGACCAAGTAGAGTTTATCCCATAAATATAAAGTTTGTCTAACATTTGAAAATCAATCAATATGTCACCATATTGACAAACTGAAAAATAAAAGCTATATGATCATCTCAGTTTAACAGAAAAGGTGTTTTATAAACTCCAACGTCTGCTTTCTTAAAAAAAAACTTAGCAAACAAGAAATAAAAGCAAACTTCCTCACCCAGATAGAGGTCATCTATAAGAAAATTACAGCTAACATCATACTCAATGCTGAAACAGTGAATGCTTTTCAGCTAAGATCAGGAATAACACAAGGATGTTCACGGTCACCACGTCTATTCAATAATATTAGAGGTCCTGTCCCGTGCACTCAGGCTGGAACAAAAAATAAAAGGCATACAGACTGGCAAAGCAGTAAAACTGTATTTGTTCCTAGATGGCATGATCACTGATAACAAAAATTCAGTGAAATCTACAAAAGCTACTAGGGAAAATAAAATAGTTTAGCAAGGTTGCGGGATAATACACCAATATTTGAAAATCAATTTCGTTACTATATCCTAGCAAAAATATTCAGAAATTTAAATTAAAAATATATAGTTTATAATAGTATTAAAATATGAAAAAGATAAATCCAACAAAAATATATATGTAGTGAAAACTATAAAATACTGCTAAGAGAAATTAAAGACTTAAATAAATGAAAATATACATATTATTCATAGGTCAGAAGACTCAGTATTGTTAAGATGTCAATTTTCTCCAAATTGATTTAGAGATCCAATGTTATCCCAAACAAAATCTCATAAGGCTTTCTGTTGAAACTGACAAATTGATTTGAAAATTCATATGAAATTGCAAGGACCTAGAATAATGAAAAAGAATGTTGAAAAAGTAAGAATAATATTGGAGGAATCACTCTACTTGAAGTCTTATTATAAAGTTACAGAAATCAAAATGTGTATTATAACTTTCAAAATGGACAAGTCAAAGGTACGAAGTACAGATTCCTGCAACAGATACATTAGTACAGACGCTAATTTCACAAAGGTGCAAAATCATTCAGTGGGTAAAGGATAGCTTTCAACAAATGGTGCTGAAAATAATTAATCTTCTATATGCAAAAAATAAACTTTGAAAGCTACCTCACATCATGCAAAAATTTAACTCAAGTGTTCCACGACATAAATGTAAAACTCAAACTCTAAAGCTTCTGGAAGAAAATACAGTTAAAATAAAATTTTAGGTAAAGACTTCTCAGATAATGTACCTAAAGCACAATACATAAAATTTTAAAAATTATAAGTTGGAACTCATTAAAACTATGCATTTCTGTTCTTCCAAAGACAGTTTAAGAGCATGAAAAAGTATCATGACAAAGTATTTGCAAATTGCACATCTGACAGAGGATGTATCCAGAATCCATCTGGATGTATGTCCAGAATCTATCGAGAACGCTCAAAACGCAATAAAAAATAAAAACCCAATTTTTTAAGTGGACAAAATATTAGAGCAGGTGCCTTATCAAAGAAGATATATGGATAGCAAGTAATCACATAAAATATCTTTAATAACATTAGTCATTAGGGAAATGCAAATTAAAACCATGATGAGAAACCACTACACACCTATTGGAATGACAAAAATTAATAAGACTGCTCATACCCAGTATTAATGAGGATGTGGGCAATTAGAACTTTCCTGCATGTGAAACAGTACAAACACTTTAGAATGCAGTTTTCCATACATTTCAGCACGCATTATTTTTTATTTATTTCTTTATTTTTTGAGATGGAATTTCACTCTTCTTGCCCAGACTGGAGTGCAATGGCAAGGTCTCGGCTCACAGCAACCTCCGCCTCCCAGGTTCAAGTAATTCTCCTGTCTTAGCCTCTTAAATAGCTGGGATTACAGGCATGCACCGCCACACCTGGCTAATTTTTGTATTTTTTAGTAGAGAGGGGGTTTCACAATGTTGGCCAGGCTGGTCTCAAACTCCTGACCTCAGGCAATCCGCCTGCCTCAGCATGCATTTAACATACGATCTTGCCATTGTACCCCCCAGTGTTTACCCTGGTGTAAACGAGGCACATGCCCTACAAAGATTTTTACATGAATGTTCACAGCAGTTTTATTTATAAGAACCAAAAACTTGGGGTTGGGGCATGGTTTCACCCATAGATGAGTGGATAAGCATACAGTGGTATGTATACACAATGGAATAGTTCTCAGGGTTGATACAAAATAATTAATATTGACGCATGCAACAACATGAATGAATCTGCCACAATTATGGTGAGTGAAGGCAGACAGATAAAAATGAGTATGTCTGGCCTGGCACGGTGGCTCATGCCTGTAATCCGAGCACTCTGGGCGGCCAAGGCTGGTGGATCACGAGATCAAGAGATGGAGACCAGGCTTGCCAACATGGTGAAACCCTGTCTCTACTAAAAATACAAAAATTAGCTGAGCATGGTGGCAGGCACCTCTAATCCCAGCTACTCGGGGGACTGAGGCAGGTGAATCACTTGAATCCAGGAGGCAGAGGTTGCAGTGAGCCGAGATCGTGCCACTGCACTCCAGCCTGGTGACAGAGAGAGACTCCATCTCAAAAAGAAGAAAAAAAAGAATATGTCCAGTATGGTTCCATTTCTGTAAAACTCTAGTGTTGCAGTGACAGAAAGCAGATGAGTATGAGCAGGTGCCTGGAGGAGGGCGTGCACATAGGGTCAGAAGGGCAACATCATTAAGAGATATGAAGCTTGTGGAGTGATGGACAGGTTCATTCTCTTGATTATGTCAATGATTGTATAGATGTATGCATATATCAAAACTTACCAAATTGTACACTTTAAATATGTACAATTTACTGGAGCTAATAAGTATAGTAAGGTCACAAGATACAGGATCAATATATAGCTGAAAATAACAATTGTATCTCTATATACAAAATATAAACAGTCCAAAAATGAAATTAGGAATACCGTTCACAATATCATCACAAAAGATAAAATACTTAGGAATAAAATTAACCAAAAAAATGCAATACTGTTGCACTGAAAATTTCAAAATATTGCTGAGAGAAATTAATATCTAAATAAATGGAAAGGCCATCCAAGTTCACGGACTGGAAGACTAAATGTTGTTAAAATAGCAAGTCTCTACAAATTGGCCTTTAGGTTCAACACAGTCTCTATCAAAATTCTAGTGGGCTTTCTTGCAAAAGGTGACAAAGTGATTTTAAAATTATTTTTTCTTTTAACTTTTATTTAAGGTTCAGAGGTACATGTGCAGACTTGTTATATAGGTAAACTCAAGTCATGGGGGTTTGTTGTACAGATTATTTTGTCACCCGGGTAGTAAGCGTAGTACCCAATAGGTATGTGTTCTGATCCTCTCCCACCTCCAGCCTCCAACTTCAAGCAGGCCCCAGTGTCTGTTGTTCTCCTCTTTATGTCCATGTGTTCTTATTATTTAGTGCCCACTTACAAGTAAGAACAGCAGCATTTGACTTTCTGTTCCTGTTTTAGTTTACTCAGGATAGTGGCCTCCAGCTCCATCCATGTTGCTACAAATTACATGATCACATTATTTTTTATGGCTGCTTAGTATTCCATGGTGCGTATGTACTACATTTATTTTTATCCAGTCTACCACTGATGGGCATTTAGGTTGATTCTATTTCTTTGCTATTGTGAATAGTGCTGTGAGGAACATACTCATACGTGTGTCTTTATGGTAGAATGATTTACATTCCTTTGGGTATATACCCAGTCATGGTATTGCTGATCAAGTGAAAATTCTTGTTTAATTCTTTGAAGAATCACCACACTGCCTTCCACAATGGCTGAACTCTCTCCAACACTCTCACCAACAGTGTAATAAGCATTCCCTTTCCCCACAACCGCATCAGCATCTGTTATTTTTTCACTTTTTGATAATAACCATTCTGACTGGTGTGAGATGGTATCTCACTGTGATTTTGATTTGCATTTCTCTAATGATCAGTGATTTTAAGCTTTTTCTAATATGCTTGTTGGCTGTGTGCATGTCTTCTTTTGAAAAGTGTCTGTTAATGTTCTTTGCCCACTTTTTAATGGGGTTGTTTGTTTCTTGTAAATTTAAGTTCCTTATAGATGCCAGATATTAGACCTTTGTCAGATGTATAGTTTGCAAATATATTTTCCCACCCTGTAGGTTGTCTGTTTACTCTGTTGATAGTTTCTTTCGCTGTGCAAAAGCTATTTGGTTTAATCAAAACCCCGTTAGTCAATTTTTGCTTTAGTTGCAATGCTTGGGACATCTTCATCATAAAATCTTTTCCAGTTCCTATGTCCAGAATGGTATTTGCTAGGTTGTCTTCCACGGTTTTTATAATTTTAAGTTTTGCATTTAAGGCTTTAATTTATCTTGAGTTGATTTTGTATAAGGTATAAGAAAAAGGTCCAGTTTCAATGTTCTGAATATGGCTAGCCAGTTATCCCAGCACCATTTATTGAATAAGGAGTTCTTTCCCCATTGCTCGTTTTTGCCAGCTTGGTCAAAGATCAGATGGCTATAGGTGTGTGGTACTATTTCTCAGCTCTCTATTCTGTTCCATTGTCTATATATCTGTTATTTTGTGCCAGTACCATGCTGTTTTGGTGACTACAGCCCTGTAGTATAGTTTGAGTCTAATGAGGTGATGCCTCCTGATTTGTTCTTTTTGCTTAGGATTGCTTTGTCTACTCAGGCTCCTTTTTGGTTGCATACGAATTTTAAAATATGGAAGTCCAAAAGATATAGAATAGCCAAAACAGTTTTGAAAAAGCAGAGCAAAGTTAAAAGACTTCTAAGTTTGTTAGAAGTATTATCAAGATAGTATGATCTGGCTTAAGGATAGACATATAGCTCAGTGGAACAGAACTGCTAGTCTGAAAACAAATTCTTATATTTATAGTCAATTGATTTTGGGGAAAGGTGCCAAACGAGCAATAGGCTGGGGACAGTATTTGCAAAACACATATCTGATAGAGGTCTTCTGTCCAGAATATACAAACAACTCTTACAACTTAAGAATAAAAAGATAACCCAATGAAAACATCAGCACAAAATTTCAATAGACATTTCTGCACAGAAGATGTACAAATGACTAATAAGCACATGAAAAGATGCTCCACACAATTAGTCATTAGAGAAATGCTAATTAAATCCACAAGATACTATTTCTTTTTTTTTTTTTTTTTTTTTTTTTTTTTTGAGACAGTCTCACTCTGTCACCCAGGCTGGAGTGCAATAGCATGATCTGGGCTCACTGCAACCTCTGCCTCCCGGATTAAAATGATTCTCCTGCCTCAGCCTCCTGAGTAGCTGGGATTACAGATGCACGCCACCACGCCTGGCTAATTTTTGTATTTTCAGTATAGATGGGGTTTCACCATGTTGGTCAGGCTGGTCTGGAACTCCTGACCTTCTGATCCACCCACCTCGGCCTCCCAAAGTGCTGGACTTACAGGTGTGAGCCACCACACCCGGCCACAAGATACTATTTCACATCCACTAGAATAGCTATAATTTTACAAAGACAGACAACAACAAATGTTGGAGAGGATATGGAAAAATTGGAATGCTCATACATTACTGGTGGGAAGATAAGATGGTGATATGGTTTTGCTCTGTGTCCTCTCCCAAATCTCATCTCAAATCATAATCCCCAGGTGTTGAGGGAGGGACCTGGTGGGAGGTGGTTGAATCATGGGGATGGTTTCCCCCATGCTGTTCTCGTGATATTGAGTGAGTTCTCATGAGATCGGATGGTCTGAAAGCGTGGCACTTCCCCTGCCCGCCCTCCTGACGCCATGTAAGATGCGCCTTGATTCCCCTTCACCTCCCACCATGATTGTAAGTTTCCTGAGGCCTCCTCGCCATGTGAAACTGTGTGTTAATTAAACCTCTTTCTTTACAAATTACCCAGGCACAGGTATGTCTTTCTAGCAGTGTGAGAACGAACTAATACAGTTAGTGTGGCCACTTTGGAAACCAGTTTGTTAGTTTCTTAAAAAGTTAAGCGTACATTTACCATATGAACCAGCAATTTCAAGCTTACATATCCATACAAGAGAAATGAAAATATACATCTACACAAAAACTTTTACATGTTTCATTGCTGCACTTTTCATCATACCTCAAAATTGACAACACAAATGTCCATCAGCCGTAAATGAGTAGACAACAGAATACAGTTCTGCAACAGAAGGGAAGAATGTCATACACAGGCTGGAACACGGATGAGCCGCAAACCTTCACACTGAGTAAACAAAGCCAGGCACGAGACTCTACACATCGCATGATTCGATTTAGAAAAAATATACAGAAGAGGCAAAGCTACAAAGAAAGAAAGCAGATGAGTAGGCGGATGAATGAGCACAAGGAATCATGTTGGGTGATGAAATGCTCTAAAGCTGATGTGTGGTGATGGGGGAGCAACTTTGCGAACTTACTAAAAATCATTGACTTATAAACTTGAAGACAGCAATATATGTAAGACGCAAAATATACCTCCATTGAGATATTTAAAAACAAACAAAAGAAGTGGTTTAAGAAAAGGTTACAAGTGTCTCTGAAAGTTTTTGAGGATCTGTGAATTGATCCAACCTGTACTTCAGAAAGAAAACTCCTGTCGTTATATGAAGGACAGATTGGGTATGACAGAATGACAGTTTTAAAGTAGTACAATTACTAAATATGACACCTTTCAGTCAAATGCATAATGTGGTATGAAATGTGAGGTTACCCAAGGTCCATTTCAGAAGCCCATGTAATAGACCTGACAAAACACTCTCCTAGTTTCCTAGCCACCCCCAACCCCAACAGAAAAATCCACCAAATCACATGGAATTAAAGAAAAGGGAAGGTTGTCAAGTGAGGACTTCCTTCTCACAGCCATCTGCTCTGTTGTGATGTCTGACAAAGGTGGATATGGGTTTCTGAATTACACTCCTTAAGCAGCAAAATTCTTTTTCCTATCACAGCATATTTTACTGATGTGACAAGTTGGAAATATGATAGTGATGATGTTCTGTGCCAAAAACCATTCAGCAGGTGCCTGAACTTAGCTCACTATTTGAAAGCTAGAGCCATCTGCCAATGGTAGGCGAGCCTGTCCCGAGAAATGTCAACATGGAGGTTAAGAGTAGATGTTGCACATGCCAATCCCAACTCTGATTTTGACAACTGACTCATTCCAATGCAAATACATTATATGAGTTAAAGTTATGATTTTTTGCAACATCAAAGCTTGTGCTAGCTTGTACGAAGGGACTTTGCCTGCCTAACAATTTCTTGCTTAGATCTCTGAAGGGAATTGCCATGTCACCTTCCTTTTTTAAACATTCCCTTACCCTGTCCCTCAGCATACCCCAGGCCTAATGTAATCCCTCTTCAGACACTTTGCTGAAGTCATTAACATTTAGATTTTGTTCTTCATTTCCTTTGAACAACAATTGGTTTTAAGCAATAAGCCACAGCCAGACAGAAACACGCCTTTCCCAGTTTTCATTCACACTGCCACCAGCTTTTATTCACGCCACTAGGGAGAGATCCTGCCCTCACATTTGTCTAAAATGCAGCCAGCATCAATGCAGCTCATGTTTAAGGTTAAAATGAGTAAGGAATAATCCCTTCATTTGAGGAGCTGGGGTGTAGGCTTCACAGGCAAAAGAGCTATTCACAAAATAAGAAGCCATCCTTGACAAGCAGGCTGGATGGATCTGCACTAAAAACCCCTACACGTGGGGATAGGAAGGGGGGTGGGAGAGGAACACCACAGGAAAGGTTGTGAAGATATAGGGGAGCTGACGGTAAATGCCCAGAGGGCTGCCATCTGAAGAGCGATTAGGCTCTAGACCCTGAGTATGGAGGCTGAAGGATAGAAGCCTTGGGGGAAACGTGGCCATCAGTCTCAGGAGGTTTTTTTCCAGCTGTCCAGCATCAGTGTGTGAGTCCTTTGGAAGGGCTCACCATTCAGAAGTCACCAGTGGAAATTAGAACAGCCCAGCATCAGAAAAGGTTGGATTTAAATAATCTACAATTTCTCTTCCAACACTGAGTCTATGATCAAAGATGATCTTCAATTTCCTTCAAATATTTATATTACAAGATTTTACACTTTTGACAAACCTGAGCATTAAGCTAAGGGAAGATTATGTCAAGTGTGGTTTAAAGGAGACATAAAAATACATAATTCATGTTAGAAAGTTGACAAAAACTGTGAGTTTATATTTTTAAAGAGGCAAACAGGTTATGGGGAAAATTCGAATACATATAATACTTCATGCCAGATGATTGACTTGTTTCTATGATTTTATCATTAGACAATAGTCAAAAAGGTATTTGCCTCTAACAACTCATCAGAGATTCTTTACTTATGATCCCTAAAATGTAGGCCACATTTTGTTGGTATATACTTTTGCTTGTTTTCTAAGGTGAAGATCCTTAATGTCATCAAATTTGCAAAAAATCTGTGAATTCCCAAAATGCAAAAATCTCTGCATTCGGCTTCCGGTTTTGGGCAATATTGCAGACCAGACATCTCAGAAACCTTCATTCTGGGAAGAAAAAATGCTGTGAGTGTTGTGGACTAACAATTACCACAGGAACTAGTCCATGCTGCATACAGCACAGAGCTGGAGGGTCAGGAAGGCAGCAGCCCACCACCTCAACAGTGTGGTTTGCAGAGAAATTTGGGCACCCAGACACATCCAGTTGTCCAAGTGGGGCTGCAAGGGGGAGCTGGTGTCAAAGGACATAGAAGGCCAATGCTCTGCCCGGTGGAGGGCATGGGGTTGCTGTCGGTCCCTGTGGGCCTGGAGGGCTGGTCATGAGGGACCACAGCCGAACTTGGATTGAAGGAGAAGGAGGACATGCTTGTGGCTGCCGAATTCCCTGTATCTGCCACTCAATCTGACCACGACGGCTTTCACTCTATTTCCATCTTCTAAAATTATATACAACTTTTCCTTTTGGCCAATTCTATTCAACTTTTTCTTTTGGCCAATTCTATTCTATATACAGGGAAGGGAATTATGGGAATACTTCTAAGTCAACTTAGCTAAGTTAACACAGAACAAAACCACTGCAAGGTATTCTACTACCACAACAAATCTAAACAGTGCTGGAAAAATACAGAAGACATTGTCTCAAGTATGCAAATCAGTTTCAAAAATTAAGATAATACTCAGCGGCTGCCAACAGAGCCAATATTTAAAACTAAATGAGCACCAAGTCTGGTGAATAGCCAGGGTGGATGCTGCCCTCCAGGGACTCGCACCCCTGCAGGGAGGCAGGATAGGAAGGCAGAACCCCTGCAGGCCCACATCCTGGCAGAAAATGAAAGTCAATCTCAACTTCCAAGCAAAGAGAGCAAGGGAACTTGAGTCTCCTGGCCCTGGCTCTGGGTGCAATGGGACGCAGTCCCCCAAGATGTTGATGTGTTGGCTTTGAGAATCGCCATCTTACTGTCTGCATGGTGCAGCAACACAAGCTGAGATTCAAATTAAAAGGGTCCCAGATAGGAAGTCTCCCAGGTTCCTGAAAGAAGCAAATCCAAATCTTTCCCCCAAAAAGGGGAAGTCCCAATCATAAGGAAACAAATACACCAAACAATAAATAAGTAATAAAACAGGGACATAAAGGAACTTGAGCAACAATTGGGAGAAATAACAAAAAGCAGAACCAGACCCCAAAAGTTCAGATATTAGAATGTTACACTTGAAATATAAAATAATTATATATTCTATGAGCAAACAAAAGAGAAACAAAATATGAACAAACAATAAGAGATAAATGATCGTGCAGATTTAAAAATAAACAGAAAAACTCTTGAAGTAATTAATAATATGTTAAAGTTAAAATGCATAGGATTGAACAGCCAATTAAACCAGGTGCAGAGATAATTGGTGAATGGGAAAACAGATCTCAATAAGGTATCCAGAGCATCACATCAAGAGACAAAGAAATGGAAGATGTGAAGGAGATGGCAGGCGAGATGCAGAAACCTAGCACACGGCTCATCGGGTGAGAAGTCTAGCACGTATCTAATGGAAGTTTCAGAATGCAAAGACTGGCAGAGAGGCAATATTTGCAGATACAATGTCTGGGAAGCTTCCATGCACATGAAGAACATAAATGCTCAGAATCACAAACACAATGAATTCCAGAGAGTAAATAAAAAGAAATCTCATTATAGCTTGCAATACAGAAATTATAGAAAAGTCAAAAAAAAGTGCCAGGCATGGTAGCTCATGCCTGTAATCCCAGCATTTTGGGAGGCCAAGGCAGGCAGATAACTTGAGGCTAGGAGTTCAAGACCAGCTTGGCTAACATGGTAAAACCTCATCTTTACTAAAAATACAACAACAACAACAACAAATTTAGTGGGCCATGGTGGCATGTGCCTGTAGTCCCAGCTACTCAGGAGCTGAGGTGGGAGAATTGCTTGAACCAGGGAGGCGGAGGTTGCAGTGAGCAGAGATAGTGCCACTGCACTTCAGCCTGGGATACAGAGTGAGATCCTATCTCAATAATAAGAAGGTCAAAGAAGGTCTTAAAAGCACCCAGAAAGAAAAGAGAAATAATCTAAAGTTGGATGACAATTAGTCTGGCAGCCTTCTCTCAGCAGCAACAATGGTGGCCAGAAAAGAGGAGACTGATGACTTCGATGTGCCAAGAGAACTATTCCTCGGTCTAGAGAGGCACACCCAACAAAACCCCTAGAACCAGAGCAGAACAAAGACACCTCCAACTGACAGATCTTGAACTTATTGGCGATAGAACCCCACAAAGGAGACTTCTTTTGGGAAGAAAGGAAGGTGATTCCAGAAGGAGTTTCTGAGATGGAAAATGCGTCTGTGAAAAAACAGAGCAGTAGCTATGAGTAAATGAAAGCCAGCATTAACTGTGTTATTTTACCAAAGCAAGACTAATTTATAAAGTTAAAATAATAGAATACAGATTTCCGCTTTTGGAAATGGTAGATTAGGAAGTCTGAACCAGGTCTTCATTGAAACAATGAGAAAGACTGGACAGAATGTATATTAAAAATGTATTGAAGACATGGCATCCAGCCTCAGAAGAAACACGTGACTCGGGGAGGTGAGCCCTGGCTTTCGGATCACTCTCTTCCATGGGGCTTGATCTTTACTCCAGAGAACAAGGCCAAGAAGACCAGCAGCCCATTTTACACCAAAAATTAAATCATAGCCACCTGGAAAGAGTAGGAAACCACTTTAGCTTGATAAAATTTTTCTACTTCAATAAAATGTGTTTATGATAATAACTGAAGAGTAAGAAATTAAACTATTATTATTCACAGATGATATGATTGTGTATGCACAATAAAATTCAAAGTTATGTTCAAACAAACCATTAGAGTGAGCAGGAGAGGTTTGAAAAGTTGTTGCATACACATTCAATGAGTAAAGACGATCTCTATTTCTACCTAGTCAGAGTTTAAAAATACATTTTATAAAGACCCTATTTACAATAATGTCAGATATATCTAGTACCTAAGAATGAATCTAACAAACAATATGCGAGACCTTTATGCATTAAAAAATGATTGAGAGAAATTAAGGAAACCCTGAATTAACAGAGAAATAAACCATGTTTTTTTGATTTAAAGGCAATATTATAAAATGTCAAATTTTTGCAAATTGATTCAAAACAGTCCAACTAAAATTACAAGTTTTCTGTTGAACTTACAAGCTTAGTCTAAAATTTAAATGGAAAGGCAAAGGACCCAGGCTAGCCTGGATGGTCGGGAAGAGGAAGAATAATGGGATACCTCACTCCACCTGACATTCACATTGATTATAAAGCTGAAGTAATTAACACAAACTGGTACTGACGTGAGGATACACATACCAATGAAACAGAAATAAAAAGTCCAGAAATAAACCCACACACACAACATACACAGACACCTGGCTTATGACACAGCAGCACTGCAGAGCAGAGAGGAAAGGATGGCATTTTCTATAAATAACGCAGGGCTGATTGAAATGTAGACCAGACTGTGAAAAGCAAAATGGCATCACTTCTCGAAAATAACGTAAGATGGCGTTTTCATGGCTTGGAGTGGGGGATGTTTTCTTAAATAGAAAATAAAAATTATGAACTAAAATAGGTAGGATTGATAAGCTTGACTATTTTAAAATTATGAATTTGTGTTCATTAAAGGTCATCATTAAAGCTGAAAAGGCAAGCTGACTGAGTGAGAGAAGACATTTACAACACCATATCCAGCAAATATTTCATAAAAACTTCTGCCAACTGTGCGAAAGTGACAGATAATGCAGCAGAGAAAAAATAATAGGAAAGAAAAGGCAATGAACAAAAGAAGGCATTTAAATCATGAAAAAATATACAAAAGTGTGCTCAATGACATTCCTTTTTTTTTTTTCCCCCCCAAAAGCTTTTTATCATTTTTCAGCCTTTGAGAAAGGATGCTATGATACAGGAGAATCTTGCAAACCTTATGGGAAGTGAAAGAAGCCAAACACAAAAGGCCACAGTTTGCATGATTCCATTTAGATGGACTATCCAGAAAAGGCAAAAAGCAGATTGGCAGTGGCCAGGGTCTGGGAGGAAAGGAAGTGGGAAGTAAGTGCTTAATGGGGACAGAGGTTTTTTCTGGGGTGATAAAAATGTTTTGAGACTAGGTAGTGGTGATAGTCATAAAACATTGTGAAATGTGTTGAATGTCAATGACATTCCTAGTCAGGAAATGCAAGCAGAAACCACTATCCATTCCCTAAAAGAGCTGACATAAAAGGGGTTCTAGTACCCAGTGTTGATGAGGATCTGGACAAGTGGGAATTCTCGCTTTTATTAGGGGTTTACAAAGTTACAAACACTTGAGAAAACTGATTGCTATCACCTGCTAAAGTTGAACATATCGTGCCCTATGACCCAAGAATTCCACTTCCTGGTATCTTCCCAGTAGATACACATATGCACTGGAACCACAAAATAAAATGTATAAGAACGTTCATTGCTGCAGCATTCAACATTATTATTATTGCAACAGCATTCTATACTAGAAATAAACTCAAATATTCTACAATAGAATAATGGATATATGCATGTGGCTGATATATGTAATGAAATACTACACAATATGAAATGAATAAATTACTGTGGTTTTACTCCACAAATTCCGTCACTCTTACACTTGCCAAGCCAGTCCCTGTTGATTGTAGATTTAAATATGAATGACAAAACAATAAAACCTTAAGATGAAAATTAGCAGAAAATGGCTGGTTGCAGTGGGTCATGCCTGTAATCCCAGCACTTTGGGAGGCCGAGGCAGGCAGATCACTTGAGACAAGGAGTTCAACGCCAGCCTGGGCAACTTGGCAAAACCTCATCTCTACTAAAAGTACAAAAATTAGCCAGGTGTGGTGGCACATGACTGTAATCCCAGCTACTCCAGAGGCTAAGGCACGAGAGTTGCTTGAACCCAGGAGGTGGAGGTTGTAGTGAGCCGAGATTGCACCACTGCACTCTAGCCTGGGCAGCACAGCGAGACTCTGTCTCAAAAAAAAAAAAAAAAAAAAAAGATGTCAGGCGCAGTGGCTCACACCTGTAATTCCCACACTTTGGGAGGCCGAGGCAGGTGAATCATGAGGTCAGGAGTTCGAGACCAGCCTAGCCAACATGGTGAAACCCCCTCTCTACTAAAAACACAAAAAATTAGCTGGGTGTGGTGGCGGGCGCCTGTAGTCCCAACTACTTGGGAGGCTAAGGCAGGAGAATCGCTTGAACCCAGGAGGCGGAGGTTGCAGTGAGCCAAGATCGCGCCACTGCACTCCAGCCTAGGCGACAGTGCAAGACTCCGTCGCAAAAAAAATAAATAAATAATAACGAAAGAAAGAAGGAAGGAAGGAAGGAAAGAAGGAAAGAAAATTAGCAGAATATCTTTATGAATTTGAAGTTGGAAAGCATTTTTAAATAAGAAGCAAAAACATAAAAAAAAGAGATACATTTGATTATGTTAAAATAAAAACATCTGCTGATAAGATACACCATAAAGGATGGGGCTATGTAGCAACAATTTTTTTAATAACAAAAATCTAGACTATATATATATATATATAAAAGAACTTCTCAAGTCAACAAAAATCTATAATCAACTCAACAGAAAAATAAGAAAAATATCTCAAACACATCTTTTACAAAAAAAAAAATAAGCAAAAAACATACAAAAAGATGCTGAGCTTCACTAATAATCATGGAAATGGGGAGCCAGAACCATAAAGACTATCTCACACCCACCAGCCCTGGAAATATTTTTAAAAATCTTGCAGTAGTAACTTCTGACAGGTAGGAGAAGCAATTTAATTTTGGGTGGGAGTGGAAAACGATGCAGGCACTTCGAAAACAAATAAGCATCCCCTCATTAAATTAAAAGATGTGCATACCCTATACCCTGAAATACACACACACACACACACACACACACACACACACAGATATAGATATATGTGTGTGTGTATATATATATATATATATATATACGCACACAAATATATATAAAATATTTGCTTATATGCAGCAGGAAACAAGTTTAAGAATATTTATAGAAGCTATTGTAATAACAAAAACTTGAACATAATTCACTGACAGAGAAATAGGTAAATAATTTCATCTCCATTTAACAGAATGCTATAAAGCAGTAAAAATGAACGAACTATGATTCCTTCCATTCGTCACCATGGAAGAATCTCACAAACTTAACATTAACCAAAAAAGCAAACCACAAAATAATGCATATAGTACAGTGACAGTTACATAAAGTCAACAATTTTGCAAACCAAATAAAATGCTGTTTAGGGATTGGTACATGTGTAACCCAAAAAAAATGAAAAGGAGTAAGGATTTGTACCCACAAAACTTGACTCTGATGATCTCAGGAAGGGAAGATGATGCTGAGGGAGAGGCCCAAGCAGACTTCAAAGAATTGTTAATGTTCACTCTCATTAATTGGATAGTGGGTATGTGAGTGTTTGGTTTATTAGTATTACATTATACCTATAGTATATCTTCTATATGACTTTTTCTAAAAATGCAATATTTCATAAAACATACCCACTGCATATGTGACTTGGCTTCTCCTCTGATCTCTAAATTTTCCCTTCAGTCTTTCCTTGGCCAGCCCTCTTTCTATGGGAGAGCCTGACACCAATGTGTGTGTCCAGCACTTAGCTCTCTTGGGTTTGTCCTGTTTCCAGGTTCCATTTGAAATCCAAAGGCTAACTTAAAGCTGTGGAGCTCTATCATCCCCTTTCCAGGTTGTGTTAGTTCTTACATACTGCTGAAACTGACAACAGAAACACCATGAATGTTAAATGATGCGTTGAACAGCATGAAGAAAGCTTTTGAGTATGGGTCTCTCTGGGTATCATTCACTCCCGTGGAACTCTTTCATTGCTGATAGCAATGTGAGACCCCTAGGGTGATCTTGGAGTTGAGTTTTGATGATATATTTTGAATTCCATATGACCCTCCCTTCCGTACCAGTCTCAGATGGCACACAGCACTGACCACCTTCCTCACTGAATGTCAGGAATGCTTACAGCCAAAAGGTAGAAGTCAAGAATGAAGTCACTTCTTCACAGGGCACACAGAAAACCTCGATTGCCTGGGGTTTCTCTGAATCTCAGAGACTGCAGTGGGTGTATTATCTCTTGAGAATAAAAATAACCAAAGATTCAAAGATGGTGCACATGTCCTAACCAGTAGGCAAAATGAAAGTCTTCACTCTCATTACTGTTGACAGCTGTGGGAGCCCTGAGGAATCTACAAAAAGTATCCTGTGAAAGAAAGAGAATGTATAAGGGAAGTAACAGGGAGGGAAGAGGGGAAAGAGAGAGTGCACAGCAGTGGCAGGTGACAGGACAGGAGTAGCACAGGCCGAAAGGCACGGTGAAGACCCTTCATTATTTCTGTAAGTTACCATGCACAGGAAGGAGACACAGTGGTACAGGGATCGGCCCACAGGTGGGATAGGGCAGCTCTGCAAAGAGTCTTGGCTCCAAGGCGTCAATGTGCCTCACTCAAAGCTCTCCAACTCTGCATGTATCCTGGTGTAGGATGGCCACATCCAGGTGACCAAGCAAGCTGTCCTGATCCCTGCAGTAATCATGGAGACTGCGCTGTGAACCCCCAGCCTCCCACATCTATGAGGGATCCATCTGGAAATGGAAGGACCAATGTCTTCTGCTAATTGGGTGGGATGCTATGTGCTGCAGACTGCGAAATGGACACACGGACTTGTAAATGAACATGTAAGTGTGGCCTGGATTTGCCTTCCCCTTGCCAGTTCAGAGAACCCACTCTCTCTCTCACGGTTTCTTCCATCCCCTCACCCTGCACTCCAAGCAGCGGTCTCTGAAGCCAAGCCAGGGTCTGAGTTTTCCAACAAGTTTTGAGGAGGTCTGGAAGCAACCGGGCATGTAAGGGAAATGGATGATAGGGAAGAGCTTTGTGTCTCCTTGTTTCCTGAAGAACGCAAGCTAAGGAAGTATCTCTCTGAGAACAATTTGGATCACTGCTTGGAGATGAGCCCACATGGATATGACATCATAAGGTTATAGACAATCAATTTTATAAAAACATAGTATGTACCTCATGTTATTAAAAAGGTTTTAACAGTTGCAAGATTAAACACACCTATAACGAGATTAGTAAGGGAACCAGGTAACAAGGTCTGGATAAATGCGGCATAAAATCCCTCTTGTCACTTTTTTGAGTCTGATCTGCCCTCAGAGACTTGCGCAGGTCTCCCCTTACCTTCCCCTATTTTTTCTGCAGCCTTGGAGATTCTAAGTCGTTGGTTAGTGGTACTCATTAACAGTTAAACAATTGGCTAGAATCATCATCATCCTCACAATTAACATGACCAATGCCCCTGGCCTGTTGACATGATTATTGTAATTATCATTTCCATTTAACACATGAGACAATCCAGGTTCAGAAGGTTCAGGAAAATTCCCCACATCTGCCTTCAGTTAAAAGAAGCTGAGATTAAAACCCTGGGCTGTCTGACTTCAAAGCCTTTGGTCCCAACCACAGGCCTCAGGGACCAGCCTTCCTTCCCCCACTTGACTGCAGGCTCCCCTGGGGCAAACCTGGATGTCGGCATTTAGCAAGGAGTTGGTCAAACAGCTGACACTAGCTAAATGCTGATTAACAGAGGTACGATGGGAAGGTTGGGAATTTTAACCCATAAAGAACAGTGTTTGTGTCTTCGTTACACTTACTGCATCCCAAACTGATGGTGGAGTTCCGCAAGAAGATAGATATACTTCATTAAACGCATACGTTAACCACTGCAATTATACACACTTTATCACTCAACTTGAAAATTGCAATAATTTCTTTTTTATTTAAGCACTTTCTTGACAGAGCTGTTGCTCTTGAAAGGCTTGCAAATGCATCTGGTTTGTAATCATTTATAAATATTCCCACTTTAAATGGACAAATGTGGTGGCTTTTTTTGTTTTTTAGAAGAAACAAATCACTAAAAAGCCAACCTTTCTAAGAATTTAGAAGGTTTTCTTTCTTCTTATAAATGCTTTTATTTTTTCTGTAGTCCTGTAAGATACAGTATTTTAGTTGATTGAAGCACAGTGGTTGAATACAAAGCTGGCCCTTTACAACCTGCCAAAGGACAAGAGTCAAACCCCACCCTAATGCACATGGACGCAGGGAGAAGGTGAGCCCACCGTGACAGTCTGGTTGAGTTCTGTGCCCAAAATGCAACACGATATTATCAAAGAGCTGTGAAAACTTCTAATTAGAATGTGCAAGAGGACAAACTTGACTCAAAAGAAAACGAAAGATCAAGTAGGCCAGTAACTATTAAATAAACAGGACAATGTTTTCAATGAATTGTCTTATAAAAATCTCTAGTCTCAAAAGTTTTGCTGAAGTCTTTCCCATTTTCAGTTGCAAGGATACATTACATTTTCAGAGGTGAAAAATACGGACAGCTCCCCTAACATTAAAGTAGCCGACGCTGGCCACCATGCCCAGTGAGCCACAATGACGGTTACGGAGCAAGGGAAAGTCATGGGGGAGGCAGGTGGAGAGGAGGCAGGAGGAGGTGAGGCCCTTGGAGAAGTCAGGCCACATCCCCTATGGCTGGAGGGAAGCAGGAAAGAGGGTCAGGGGACACATCAATAGCCATCCTGGAACAGGATTGGAGGAAGCAGAGACTGGGGAAAGCAAGTGTTGAGAGAGTACCCCATTTGTAGAGGATCTTGAGTGCAGCTCTATCTGTTGTATTAAATGGGCTATCAGAACCCGAGGCTGAGGACAAAGGGGCATCAAACACCTCAATACTTCACCTTTTAAAAGAGCTGCAGACAGCTAGGAACAGATGCCCCTCAACGCTTAAGACAGGGGCTCACTGGTTCTGCTGCCTCCACCGTCACTCCAGGACTACCCTGCCCAGGCCCACAGAGGCAGCAGCCCAGGGAAGGGGAGGAGAGGAGAGTCAAGATTTCAGAGCTTTGGCCGGGCGCAGTGGCTCATGCCTGTAATCCCAGAACTTTGGGAGGTCAAGGCAGGTGGATCAGTTGAGGTCAGGAGTTGGAGATCAGCCTGGGCAACATGGTGAAACCCCGTCTCCACTAAAAACACAAAAATTAGCAGGGCATGGTGGTGCATGCCTGTAATCCCAGCTACTCAGGAGGCTGAGGTAGGAGGACTGCTTGAACCCAGGAGGTGGAGGTTGCAGTGAGCCGAGATGGTGCCACTGCACTCCAGCCTGGGCAACAGAGTGAGACTGTGTCTCAAAAAAAAAAAAAAAAAAAAAGAAAAGATTTCAGAGCTTTGTGCTCTCTGCCTAGGTGGAGGGTGAGTGGTCCCTGGGCACGGAGATCCCAGGAGCAAGGGGCTGCCAGGAGCCAAGTGAGAGGGCATTGAACGAGGTCAGCTGAAGTGACTCTTCCAGCACAGGGAAGGAAGCACGGAGAGTCCCCTGCTGTGGCCCCTCCAGGTAATTCTCAGGCACCTGCCAGAGGACAGCACTGGAATTCTGCCGTTTGGAAAGCGCCAAAGAAGCAGGACAGCAAGAACCTGCTCAGCAGATGCCAGATACGCGTGTTTGGACCACTGGTGAAGGAGAATGGAAAAGAAGGAGGATGGGCAAGTAGAGGGGAGTCTGCGTGTGCCCAGGGGCCCCGGGGGCTGGGAGTCCACAGAGCAATGGGATTCTCGCCCCCAAAACCCAAAGCCCAGGCTGGACACAAAGAAAGCAAAAAATGTGTAAAATTTCTTTGTAAACTAGAAGCCATCATAGAAACAATGAATAATTATGTCTTTTTTTTTTAACGTAGTAATTTAAAGTCAGTTACAGAGCAAGGTTCTATTTTAGACATCCCATAGACAACACAAAACCTAGCACGTGCACCATTCCATTCAAACTCTCACTAATTCCAGATGCATAAGGGTCTCTCTGCATGTGCCTGCCTACAACCTTTGTTTGTCTGAGGGTTGGAGACAGGCTGGCGCAGGGGGCAAAGTGTGATTTCTGGAGCCAGACTGCTGCACTTCAAATCAAGCCCACCATCGACTCACTGTGCGGTCACAGGCAGGTTATATATCAACACCCCACCGCCTGCATGCTTTGATCGTGAAGCGCTGGTTGGCATTGTCTCAGCCTCATTGTGTGGTGCAAACACAGCTTCAAGGCCCCACTCCCAACTGGATCACCACCTAGAATGTGCTGGGGAGAAATCCTGGAGCTGCCACTGCTCCCCTAGTCAGGCCACGCAACAAGAACGCCTGTTTGTAGAAAGGAGTGAGGTGCAGGAGGGTGGCTCTTCAGACGCCCCTTCCCACTGAGGGCAGAAAGTTTTGGTCTTTCCCACATGCCCATCTCTGTGTGTCTTTCCCAGTGTCTGCATAAGGAAGTAAGGTGTGCCGTCTGCTTGATCTTAACAAGGTTTCACAGTGTCTCCCACACTCAGCGCTGATGAAGCTCGCTGGGGTCCAGAACCAACTGGAATGATGTGACTTGGGGGCTTAGCACATTTCCTGAGATCTGCAGATCACGATGCCTCCAATCGAGTTGGACAATTCTGGTGTCCACTTGTCAGCAAAACCCTGCCACTAAAAGGAAAGACAGAGACTGTTTTGCTCAATTTAGAGTCTACTTGAAATTAATGGAGAATAAACGTTCCAAATTCAAACCGTTCAAGGGACAATTTCCATTAAGCCCAAGCTCAGCTTCATTGCTGATCCACTGTTGCAAGGAGTAACAGCTGTTAGGGGCACTATAACTGCCATCGAGCCACTGAGGCCATAAGCTCTAAAAAGGAAACTCTTTTTTTCTGATGGTCACCAAGAGAAAAGGAGAGTGAGTGGCACATTTCATGAAATCTGATCACACTGTGGGCACCCACCAGATCCTCAAAGCTGCCCTGAGAGTCATCACATGGAGACGCCAGCTGCCAAAAATACTCCCCTCGCCCTCGGTGGGTGAGCAAGGCAGGCATGATGAATAAGGAGCATTGAAGGAGGGGAAAGTGTAGCAGGAAGCGGAACACAGGTCCCAGCATGTCTAGTGTGCGGCAGAATGAAGTCAGCACTCTGAGGACAGGCTAGAGATGATCTCCCTCAGTTCATCAACCATTCAGTGGTCCAGCCATGCAGTTGGGTGGCTCCTATGTCCAGCACAACCCTGGGCTTGGGGACACATCAGTAAACGAGCCCATACAGCCCCGCGTGCAAGTCTACAATCCAGCCAGTGAGGCAGAGAGGAGATAAATACTTGCACAAAAAAATGGTTTGCCTTTTATGGTGATAGCGGCTATAAGACTTGAGCAAATTCCATGTAACTGTATCCTGGAAGCATCTAACACTGCCTTTGAAAGGGACAGTTAAGCTGAAACTCGACCAAGCCAAGGGCAGGGGGATGTGGGAGACACAGTCCTTCCAAGCAGCAGGCCGAGCACATGGAGAGTCCCCTGAATGAGAAGGAGCCGGAGAGCCCAAGGCACTGAAGAAGGCTGGTGTGGGCGGAAAGTGAGGACAAGGAGAGCTGGGAGAGGGGGGCAGAGGTGCAGACAGGCTGGGTGGATGGGACCCCGTAGGCCACCTGTGTTCCTTCAGAGCAGTGCTAGCCTCACAGGGTCTCCCCAGGACAGTGACCATATCTAGTGGGCATGGTCAGGTGATGCTTCCCACAGTGGTGTCGAAGGGCCAGAGTGGTCAGGAAGAAAGCAGGCAGCAAACAACTGCAATAGCCTGGGCAGGGAACGTTGGGTTGCAGTGCTTTGGGGAAGAGGATGAAGCCTCCCAGGACCTGGAAATGGGCAGGTGTGGGGTGATGCTTTCTGGCGTCAGCAATGGCAGTCCATGACACCATTATTGATAGGCAGCATTCCAGGAGAGAAACAGGCTTTTCCTCTTTGTTTGTTTGTTACTTTGCTTGGGGTGATAATTCTCAAGGGAAGGACCAGGGGAGATGATGCCTTTAGCTTCGGATATGTTAAAGTTACAATTCTGGGGAGACACCAAAGAGGACGTGTCAAGGAGGCAGGTGGAGATACAAGTGTGGGGCTTGGACGAGCAGTCTGAATGGAGAGGTGAGTAGCATCTGGATGGGACAGGGAGCCGTGAGAATGTGCTGGGCGCCATGGAGACAGACAGAATCAGGGAGATGGGACATGCACTGTGGCCCATCACTAGGAACTCTGATATACAAAGACCAGAGAGGAGAAGACCCAGGAAAAGAAGGGGAGACAAGGGAGACCAGGAACCCAAACAGAGGGAAAGAGTGCCATGGACTCTCCCAACTGGCTCCTCTCCAGTTTCCTCCCAGGCCAATAGAATCAAACGTGACCTGCTAGTCCCCTGGCAGAACAGGCCACCCTCCCTGCCTCTAACATGGTGTGGATATGCCAGGGGGAGTGTTGCGTCTGACACGGGGGAAGCCCACCAAAGAGGGAGCGTGGCCAGCTGCATCCGAAGCTGATGAAAAGTCAAGTCAGAAAAAGACTAAAATCTTCTATTGGATTTAGCCACATAGAAGACATTAGTGTTCTTAAGAGAAAAGTTTTGGTGAAGGGGTGGGAGTAGGAAGTGGGTAGATACCAGCTGGAGGGAAGAAAGGAGGGGAAGGGAGGGAGGAGAGTTAGGCCGGGATGATTCTTTCAGAAAGGTTGGCAGCAATGAGACTTCCTGGGGGCAGAGACCGTGTTTTCGTTTCTGCAGTTCCACCACACAGCAGGAGGGATGCGAGTGTTTGATGGATGAATAAGTAAGTGAGGGAATGAATGATTTTCTGTGGGAGCTTAAAGTATGGAGAGATGGAAACCAGGTGCCCGGGCCAGTGGGCATGGGATTGAGCAGGAATGTGCTTCTTAGAGGGAAAGCGTCAGGGACAGACTTGATTTCTAAGGTGGTGTCCATAGGAACGGAGTAAGCAGGTGGGCTCCCATGCAGAGGAAGCTATGAAAGCAAAGGCAGCCCTTGCACCTACAAGTGCAAAGTCATGGCATGCCAGATAGGAGGAACATGCAGACTGAGCCTGGACGGGGGAGATCTGGCTGCTACACTGAAACTTTTCTTCTTGCTTCAGGAGGTAATGGGGAAACATACCAGGGCCGTGAGCAGACATCACGGTGGGTCAAATGCAGACTGAGCTAATAAGAAGAGGGAGCACAAAACCTCAAAGGTAAAACTAGATCTATTTCTTACTGGCATCACGTCACCTGTCTTCCTAGTGGAAGAATAAAACAGTGCACAGAAGCTGTTATTTCAGGCCCCATAACCAAAACATGGCAATGCTGAAGATGCCACCGGAACAATGTCAGGCTCTTCCATTGTGACTTGGATCACAAGATTCCAGAAGAACACACAGGCTCCAATTTGAGGGGTAAGAAGATCATCTGGATGTGAAACCATGTTGTGGGCATTCAGACTCTGGAGTTTGTCCACTTGAAATAAACATGCAAGTGCCCGTCTCTGTAGTTTGGAGTTTAAACAGCTCAAGCACTCCTGTGTGTCTGCCCTGAGACAGAAGGCAGAGGCCTTGAAGGCACACCAGATGCCTGGGCTCAAGGGAACCCACGTGGGGCTTGGATTCCAGGGACCATGGTCCTGAGTTCAAGGGATCCCGCAAGCCTGCAGGTCCCAGGAGCTTCACGCTGTCTTCTGATCTGCTCCTCTCTAGAAGTCCGGGGAGGAAAGGGCTGCACCCTTTATTCCTCCGGTAAATTGTTTCCTATGCAAAGAAAATCTTTGCTTGAGAGAGCTCGAAACTTCTAACTAGAACTTGCCTGGCACCTGAGGTCCTTGTAGGTTCAAATATAGCTCCCTTCAGTCAAGGAAAATTCAATGCTCAGGAACTGAAGATTTTCCTTAAGCTGACTTCATGGGCCCTCATCAGTTTCACATTTTCTGTGAAAACCAGCATAAGCTACGTCCCTCAAATCTAACAATGAGAAAGCCAAAGGGAAAATACAAACCAGAGCAACGTGAGAGCTGTCCCCTGTCCATGAAGGTAGGAGGCTGCAGAGCCGAAGAAGGAAGCTGATCTTCAGCCTGGCAGTGACATGGCATAGTGACAGCACACAGCTCAGGCTGTGCACCAGGGACAGGGCTGGAAAGAAGACCCAGCGTTCTCTGAGCTGAGAAAGAAGGAGCGGAGCCAGTGGCATGAGGATGGGTGAGTGCTGCCTCAGCCAACTGAGTCCTTACTGAAGGAGGTCAGTCTTTGTGGGATTAGCCTCCGAAACTTACAGCCCTGATATTTAACACCCTGTGACTTGCAGGATGAGAACAGGAAGAGCTAAGATTTAAAATCCTCTTGGAAGTCTTCACATAGCCTCCTCCAAAATTAAGCAGCAAGAGAGAAACAGCACGTGTCTAGGATGGGAATAAGCTGAACATGCAAAACACAATAACGAGAACTGATGTTTAGGGAGGGTAGGTTTTTGCCAGCTCCATCAGCGACAGCCCTGGAGTGTGATGAAAGGTCCAGAAACAAGTTTTGGCCAGTGTCTGCCCTGAGAATTCCAGGACACCAGGAAGAAACACTAGTGAGAATCCCAGGACAACAGGAAGAAACACTAGTGAGAATCCCAGGAGACCAGGAAGAAACACTAGTGAGAATCCCAGGACACCAGGAAGAAACGCTAGTGAGAATCCCAGGAGACCAGGAAGAAATGCTAGTGAGAATCCCAGGACACCAGGAAGAAACGCTAGTGAGAATCCCAGGACACCAGGAAGAAACACTAGTGAGAATCCCAGGACACCAGGAAGAAATACTAGTGAGAATCCCAGGACACCAGGAAGAAATGCTAGTGAGAATCCCAGGACACCAGGAAGAAACACTAGTGAGAATCCCAGGACACCAGGAAGAAACGCTAGTGAGAATCCCAGGACACCAGGAAGAAATGCTAGTGAGAATCCCAGGACACCAGGAAGAAACACTAGTGAGAATCCCAGGAGACCAGGAAGAAACATTAGTGAGAATCCCAGGACACCAGGAAGAAACACTAGTGAGAATCCCAGGACACCAGGAAGAAACACTAGTGAGAATCCCAGGACACCAGGAAGAAACGCTAGTGAGAATCCCAGGAGACCAGGAAGAAACACTAGTGAGAATCCCAGGACACCAGGAAGAAACACTAGTGAGAATCCCAGGACACCAGGAAGAAACGCTAGTGAGAATCCCAGGACACCAGGAAGAAACGCTAGTGAGAATCCCAGGACACCAGGAAGAAACATTAGTGAGAATCCCAGGACACCAGGAAGAAACACTAGTGAGAATCCCAGGAGACCAGGAAGAAACACTAGTGAGAATCCCAGGAGACCAGGAAGAAATGCTAGTGAGAATCCCAGGACACCAGGAAGAAATGCTAGTGAGAATCCCAGGACACCAGGAGGAAATGCTAGTGAGACTCCCAGGACACCAGGAAGAAACACTAGTGCATCTGCAGGGAACCCACCATGAGTAAAGGGACAGAGAGTAGGTGGTCAGGTCATATGCTTAAAGTGTGTGATTTTAGTCCTAAAAGGAGAAAGAGGTCATGATTTCTACCTTCAAGTGCAAGTAGAATTTTTAGGAGAATTAACTGATTACTAACTCGTTATCACCCCTGCGTCTAATTCCGTAGCGTCTTGCACTCACGAGGCACAAACTGTGGGCATAAAAGCACTTGATGAAAGTTCGATGGATGGATGATGGACGGGCAACTTCAACACTCACCCCGTCTTAGAGGCTTTTACAAGCAGCTCTGCCAGCAGCTCATCTGACACCCCAGTCCCAATGAGTCCAGTCAGTTGGGCTCACGGATCAGCAGTTGACAGCCACACTCCTGTGAAGTTTGTTCACTTGAAATAAGAAGTGAGGAGCATTTCTGGACCCCGGAGCCAGGTGTGCATTTTGACTCCCTGCTCACGGTGGTGTGTAAGTCTACTCACAGGTACCATTTCGGCTCACCGTCCAAGTCAAAACCAAATGAAATGATAGAGATGGATCTCTAAACAAGGTGTTTTATTTCAGAAAATAGAAGTGCTATCCAGGTCCTACACACAGACCAGGGTGAACTTCAGTATGTCCAAAGAACAAAGAGAAGGTTGGAGGCTTTATTTAAAGGGAAATATTACCTATTGTTTAGAAAGAAAACTCATTGGCACTAGCAAGGTTTGGGGGAGCTGGAAAGCTCTGATTGGTGAGTGATGGCAACAGGTAGAACTGGCCTTAGAGCCAGGCCAATTTATCTCAGCAGCTCCTGGGTGATACTGTTCTTCCGGTGGGAGCAGGTCATTTTGGCAGCTGCCTTACAACGTCCTCCCTGGACAACAGCTTGTGCCCAGAGCACCTTTTATCCCCCAGTCTCTGAACTCTGATTTAGTTGGGTGTGACGAGATAACTCCAACTTGTATAACCAATGTTCACACTTAAAATATATTACTGAACTGGAATGGCCCAAGGAGCACACAACAGAGTTGAAAATCTACCTCATTTTTCTACCACATATTTACCCGAGAAGAGCATGTCATTTATAGAGGTAACAGTCTGCCTCCGCAGGGAAGCTTGGGAGACCCCACAGCTGTGCCACACCACACAGCACACCTACTTCAGCTCCCACAAAAGCAGCCGAGCCCTGCAGAGGCACCATGCTATTAAGGAAGCAAAAAGAACCGTATTTTCAGAAGCTGTTTATAAATGAATTCTCACAGGAGGTCTGCTTCCTCTGTGTCCACTGCAGAGTATTTTAAAGCAAGGGTTAATAGCTATTAGGTTTCTGGTCCCTCTACCACTGATGGAGTCTCGTGGAGAGATTTGTCTTTTTAAGAGCTTTTTTAACGTAAGAAATTCAGGGAAAGGTCCTATTACACAAACATAGGGGTCCCCTGCCCACCATGGAAACTCATTCAAATTAGGCACAGGTGCAGGCCCCTGGAGGGTGAAGTGGAGACACCTGTGAACAAGGGGTCCTCCTGCCTGGACTGAGCCCTCACAGGTGTGTCACCGAAGACATGGAGCAGGTGGCCTGCTGGGGGTGCAGCCAGGACCAGCTGCGTGTCCCAGGGCCTGCACCACCACCTCTGTGTCTGGACACAGCCTTCTCCAGGTGACAATGACAAACACAGACATTTCCATCCACTCACGCCTCTCGGTGCCTCTCCGAGGTAGCAGCATTCTGGAAACCTCTCTCTCTCTAGGTCAGCTAATAAGACAGCCACTGAGGCCTGACACACACCTGTGCTCCTGGTGCCTGTTCAGACCCAGGCAGTGACAAACAGCTTCAGGCACTGCAGGGACCTTGACATGGGGAAGCCTGGCCTGGCGTGGGGACTTCCTTAGAGGCACCCCAGATCCGGGCCTCAAGCCACTCTGCTTTTCCTTGCATAAAATTTAGATTAAGCCTCACTTAAAAAGAAAAAAAAGAAAGGGTTTTTTTGAAGGAAGTGACAAAACATTTGAGCACAGCCGGAGAGAAAAGCTGGCTGGGCCTGAATTGCAGCTTCTCAACCACTCGCAAGCTTTACTCTCCTAATTGCTCAGTTCACTCTGGTGTGAAAAGGAGAGAATTGCAGGCAATGATCTCAATATCGTTTCCAGCTTTTAAAAAGACCCTGGGGCCACGCTATTGTCTAAAGTAAAAATACGGTTCCTATGTTGATTAGAAGTATGATTTAGGCTAGGTGTGGTGGCTCACGCCTGTAATCCCAGCACTTTGGGAGGCCGAGGCAGGCAGATCACGAGGTCAGGAGTTTGAGACCAGCCTGGCTAACATGGTGAAACCCAATCTCTACTAAAAATACAAAAATTAGCTGGGTGTGGTGGTGGGCGCCTATAATTCCAGCTACTCGGGAGGCCGAGGCAGGAGAGTCATTTGAACCTGGGAGGTGGAGGTTGCAGTGAGCTGAGATCGAGCCACTGCACTCCAGCCTGGCCTGGGTGACTGACAGGGTGAGACTCCATCTCAAAAAAAAAAGAAGTGTGATTTAAAGTGTTTCTTCTCAGGAAGAGCAGTGGGCTTCCCAGTCACTTTGGGAGAGGAGCTTAGAGCCCGAGCGCCACCTTCTCATCCACCAACCTTGGGCCTCTCCATCCAGTGAGCGAGATCCCCAGCCCTCAGCCCCAGAACCTTCCTACTGTTCATTCACTGGCATCTGGGCTGTTGGGACCAGCAACACTTTCCTATTACATCGTCTAACAAATCCAGAATCTCATTTTCGTAAAGGGTTATAGGAGGAGAACCTTCCTAAATTATTCTCCAAAAGAAATCAGTATGGAAATAAATGCCTTCTTGACTTGGGCTTTATCAACTGTGATTTTGAAGCAGGTGGCAATCAGTCTGTATTTATTTTGGGAGAACAGCTTGGACTTGATGTTATTTCCTAAGCACTTCGTACCCTCCAGGGACACATGTTCAATGTCCATGGGGTGATGATGTGCATTATCTAGAAGAGCCGCCTCTGCTAATTAGTTTGATTGAAAACTCAGCAAAACTTGATGGGCCACTCACTTGGGAGATCCCTACGCAAAGTGTTTGCAAGCATGCAAGATGCAACGTTCCAGCGACAATGTCCAGGGAAAAACCATCGCCCATCCCAACTCGGATCCTGGCAGCACATTCCTCCCAGCCACTGTGCACAAGGAGCAGGTCAAAGCTGTCCTCAGCATCCTGGACCCAGCCTGCTCTCAGGTGTTTGGGGCCTGCCCAACCTGCTCCTCCAGAGATGGGCACCAGCTGTTGGGTTTTCCATGTTTAAATAACTCAGAAAGATGTCCCCAGTTCCCCCTTAGATCTTCACGGCATTTTCCTCTGTCAAACCTACTCTAATTAAATTATGACCCACATGAGTATCAGATGAGCTTGTCTTCCCCAGCCAGGTGAGGTTTGATTCTGGCAGGGACCACGCTTGTCTCGCTCATCTCATCATCCTTGTGTGAGCAGAGCGTCTGACATGTAGGAGACACTCTGAACACTTGGTGGATGAATGAATACATGGATCACTCCATCAATCCGTTTCTACAGTGATATCTCTTTGATTGGGTTATTCAATTTTGAAGAACACTCATTAGAATGACCAGGGAACAGCAGAGTCTTTCTCTCTCTTTGACGTATTCATCCAGGTCAGAGTAAGATTACAACGCATCCCAACGTGTTTGGGATCCCACAGCCGAGCAAACCATCCCAGGCTCCATGACAGTGGTTTCCCAGACTCATCCCGGAGGAAGAACCTGCAGCCCGGGGCAGACCGTGCTCCTGGCCATCCTCGGGGACGGGCCGTGCGTGTTCTGTGTTGCACTGGCCCTACGCTACCTCTTTCCTCGTCCTCGGGGACGGGCCGTGTGTGTTCTGTGTTGCACTGGCCCCTGCGCTGCCTCCCACCTCATAGGATTCACACCTTGTCCAATTTCCCCTGAAGCTTTTGCTGCCTGTGTTCACAGAGCAATGGAGAAGTCTCGGGTTTTGTGTGGGAATTCTAAGATTTACAGCTTAGCAACTAAGAAATGCAAGAAGTCCTTCTGTTAACCAACAAAGAAATGCTAACAGGGGCTGGGCGCGGTGGCTCATGTCTGTAATCTCAGCACTTTGGGAGGCAGAGACAGGCAGATCACTTGAGGTCAGGAGTTCAAAACCAGCTTGGCCATCATGGTGAAACCCCATCTCTACTAAAAATACAAAAAATTAGCCGGGCATCGTGGTGCGTGCCTGGAATCCCAGCTACTCGAGAGGTGAGGCAGGAGAATCGCTTGAACCCAGGAGGTGGAGGTTGCAGTAAGACGAGATCATGCCACTGCACGCCAGCCTGGGTGATAGAGTGAGGCTCCGTCTCAAAAAAAAAAAAAAAAAAAAAAAAAAAAAAAAAAAAAAAAAAAAAAAAAAATTCAATGCTAACGGGAATAGCTTTTACGTTGTCTAAACAGAAAAACATGCTTCCCAGAAGTCACCTTTGGGTGAGGACTGGGAGTGGCTCTCCTGCCCAGGAGCATTCGCAGGCAGTTCACCCCCACGCGATCCCCGAGTCCTGACTCACAGGAAGCGCCTCCCCGGCGTGGGCAAAGGCAGGTGCCTGGGAGCGTGCGCTGCCGTCACCGCACCGGCTTCCTGCGCGTGGCAGAGCTGGAAGGGCTCAGCACGGCGAGCGGGTAGCCCCTGCGCGAGGTGGAGAGAGCCTCACCCGAGTGCCCGTGAGGAGCAGCCAGCCTCCACTTCCCCGGCCCCGCACATGTGGCTGTCACGCCATTTCTGCTTTGCTTTCCGCCATTGCGCCGTCTCATTTCTACCCGCTCCGTTCGCGCCTCACCGCATCCACCTCAAGGGAGCCCCGGCAGCCCTGTGGATGGCCGGCCTCCTAGAGGCCCCCACCCCTCCATATGTCACCAGTCATGCCGTCATGCAGAGGCCCCCGAATGCCACTCTCACCCCAGCTGCTCAAGACGTGAGACTTCATCCTGTTCATAAAAGGAAAGTTATGTTCTCAATAAGAACAACACTTAATATTCACAAGTAAGAAATCACAGCCCGGGCTGCACCACCGTATTGAGAACTTAATAACAGGAGGTTAATAACCATAAAATACTGCGAGCCATTTTCCTGCAGCACTGGAGAACAGTTCCAGCTGTTCACGAGGAAGCGCCTGTTTCTGGAAGTAACCTGGAAGGAGCAGAGACACTGTACCCACCCCAGAGCCCCTGCACGGGTACCGACCTGTGTGACGGCCATGGAACTCTCTAGTGGAGCTGGTAGGGAGGGGTCACAGATTTGGGGGTTTTTCAAATAGTGTTTAGGCTACAAGACAAATAAAACACAAATACAAAACAGGATAAGCTAGAAGAATGAGAATCATTTATCATGAAGGCAGCATCAAAAACAAGGTTTGTTAACTGACCTTATTTCTGTGTTGCTAAGTGCCTTCAACAAGCCCACGGAAAGCACCCTGTAGACAGCCTGCGCTCTTGGACAACTGCCCCAGTGCTTCCTCTCAGAGACCTGCCTCCAGGCGCCCAAGCCATTACCCACCCCTGGCCTCCAGGTGGCTGGGTTGGTTGGTGGCTTCGTTTCTTTTCTTTTTTTTCTTTTTTTTTTTTTGAGACGGAGTCTCGCTATCGACCAGGCTGGAGTGCAGTGGCGCGATCTCGGCTCACTGCAGGCTCCGCCCCCGGGGGTTCACGCCATTCTCCTGGGAGGCTTCTTTCCTACCACAAATCTCAAACATGCCAGCACCAGGTGTACATGACGCACCCCACATATGGAGAAAATACTATAAATAATAGGAAACACAGCCACAAAGAACTGATTCTTAACAAGCCTGCTAGAATTTTTATTTCTAAGCCAGCCAATGCTTTTGATGTGGTCAGCTTGGAAGCTGTGGTCCCACCTCCTCTGGTTGCAGACGTTGGCCCTGCCAGGATGACGTGGAGCTCCAGCAAGGAAAAGGGCTGGTTGCAAAGGAGAGTGACACCGTGTCAACAAGACTTGGATGTGAATTATGGAGACTGAGCTGGAGGCACTATAAATTCCTCTGAAGGTCATCCAGAAAGACATTTGTAGAATGAGATGCCTCGTTCAAAATTCAAAACCCTCTTAGCTATGAGGGCTCGGGGATGTTTGATGAAAACTGTTTTGCTTTGTACTTGGTCGGGAAGAAGTAGTTCTTTGTGCGTGCACACACACACACACACACACACAAATGGAAGCTCAAGTCAAAGTTGTTTCCCAAGCGGATTCCTGAAATACTCTGGGCAAAAATTTATAACAATTTTAATGGGAAAGTTACCAGCAGCTTCCCACTTGACCCCTCTCCACTATATTGGAAGTCACTCTTCCTCTGAGCCGAGGTAGATTGATGGGCACAGCCATGCAGGACAAGCAGTTCTGCACATCCATCAGCCGCAGGGAGAGCCACACGGTGGCTTAGGGGACATTACTCATGGTGCCAAACAAATGCTCACGATAAATAGGTCATTTTATTCAGGTTTTCAGGAAGCTCCTCCGCCCAGGCATTGCAGGGTACATGTTACTAAATGCCTTCACCAAGCCCAAGGAAAACACCACATAGACAGCCTGGGCTCTCGGGAAACCCCCACAATGCTTCCTCTCAGAGACCTGCCTCCAAGGGGCCCAAGCCTCACTGTCACAGGGCTGGCCTCCCAGTTAACCCTGGGCAGCTGGCTGCCCTCTGAGTGCAGAGGCCCACAATGAAGGATCACCCAGGAACACAGCCTATGTCGGCACTGTCCTGTCCGGAAGGCAGCTTGGAAGCAGCATCTCACTCAAAATGCAACAGGCGAGAGCCGTTATTACTTAATGACTTCAAGACATGCTATTTGGAGGAGATGGAGTTTCCACTGTGGAAATGATGAAGGCTGAGGGGGTGGTGAGAGTGGGCACACGGGCCCTCTGCATGTCTGTGTCCACAGCTCCACACAAGGCATAGACGTCTGCAACACAGGGGTGCAGCCCAGGCTGCAGTCAGGACCACAGAGCACCGGAGCAAGCCAGGCTCTTGAGCAGTCGGGACCTCATGGTCCAGGGAGGTAGAGGGCTAGAGCCTGGTGGGCATGAGGTGGCCACAGCAGGGTGAGGAGGAGAGTGTGCCTGGGCACAGGAGTGCAGAGCCCAGCAGCAGGTCCACGTCTGGTGCTTAGGCCCCGTGGTACTGGGGCACAAGGTCCAGAATGCAGCGAGCTCAGGGGTGGGAATGAAAACCAAGAGAGGAAAATGGGCCCCCAAGAACCACACTGGAGCCCCTATTCCAGAGCCAGCCAGCTGACACAACGGGATCCCCAAATGCAGAGGCAGGGAGGAGCCAGTGCAGGGTGCAGCTCCCCAGAGTGTGACCAGCTGCACAGCTGTTGGGGAGGGAAACGGGGGAGAGGGGAGAGGGTGTCCAGGGAGGAAGCAGGGACTGGAGACTCAAGACTGGGTCTGTTTACTTCTCATCCCCTTGGTCTTTTGATCTCAGAGCAACAAATTCCCATTTTCTGATTTCTCTTCCAATGAATTTCCTTTTCATAAAAATGTTAAGCTTAATGGGTCTTATAGAAGCTGGAACCCTGAGAGTTAATCCAATGTGTCGCCTTCCTCACTCTCTCCCAGTGAGGCGCACACACACACACACACACACACACACACACACACACCACATACACACACTACACATTCACACAACATACAACACCCAAATACAACATACACACAACACACAAAATGCATACTTACAACACATGCATAAACACATACAACATACCTATACACTATGCAACAGAGACACACAACACACATGCACACAACATGCATGCAATACACACAACACACAGCACATGCATACATACAACACACAACAGACACACAAACATGCACATACACACATGCAAACATATACACAACACACACTTAAAACACAAACATATAAAACACATATATGCATGCAATTCACACTAACTACACACACACACACACAGACCTGTTCAAGGACCAACCAACTCAAATCTAAAAATGCAACACATAAAGTTACATCACACCTGCCCCTCACCAAGAAGGTGGAGCATAAGCCTTGATAGGGTGTGATAAGAATGAAACTTTACCTCTGTGGGCTTCCTCCCCAAAACTTATAACCCCAGTCTAATTATGAGGAAAACATCAGACCAATGTCAATCGATAGAAATCTTGGAAAATATCTGGCGAGCACTCCTCAAACAAGCAAGGTCATAAAAAGCATGGAGAGTCTGAAAAACTGTCACAGTCAGGAGGAGACTAAGGAGACAGTATGACCAAGTAAAATGCAGGATCCTGGGTGGGATCCTGGGACAAAAAAGGGCCATTAGGTAAACACCAGGGAGAGAGGAATAAAATGGGGACTTTAATTAATAAGAATGCATCCCTATCAGTGCATTAGTTGTGACAAAGGCATAGAGCTGTACGATTTTTATAAGAGGGGAAGCTGGCTGTGAAGTACGCTGAAGCTCTATATCTTTACCACCCTTCTGTAAATCTAAAACTATTCTAAAATTTAAAAGTTTGTTACAAATGAAAAATTTTAAAACAATTACATCAAGCTGCCATGGCACTTTTGGAAAGCATGCATTCAATCCAGCACTCAGATCCTAACCTTCAGCCTTCTCCTCCTCTCAGTCTGGCTGAAATGAGTAGACTCCATAGGACATCATCGCCCCTTTGCTCATATGCCTCTTAGAACTCGCAGGTGACCTCTGCTGTGGTTTAAATGTTTGTCCCCTTCAAAACTCAAGTTGAAATTTAATTGCCAGTAACAATATTAAGAAGTGATACCTTTGAGAAGTGATGAGGCCAGGAGGGCTCCACCCTCATCTGAAGTTGGTACTGTTATAAAAGGGTGAGTTCAACCCCCTCTCATTCTCTCTCACCTTCTGACCTTCTGCCATGGGGTGACAGCAAGAAGACCCCTGCCAGATACCAGCACCTTAAAATGAGACTTTCCAACTTCCAGAACTGTGTGAGCCAATACACTTCTGTTCATTATAAATGACCAGTCTCAGGTATTCTGTTACAGCAGCACAAAACAGACTAAGACAATGTCTGAAGGTATTTATTATTAGGTTGAAGTAGTGGACTAGGATATAAATTGTGGCATATTATAAATAGTAACATTTTAAAATGAAACTGTTACATCAAACTTAAATGCATCAAATGGATCTAAATAGCAAGGCATTTCGTTTCTGTTTTTGAGATGGAGTCTCACTCTGTCACCCAGGCTGGAGTGCAGTGGTGTGATCTCAGCTCACTGAAACCTCCACCTCCAAGGTTCAAACAATTGTCATGCCTCAGCCTCTGGAGCAGCTGGGACTACAGGCACGTGCCACCACGCCTGGGCACGTGCCACCATGCCTGGTTGATTTTTTGTATTTTTAGTAGAGACAGGGTTTCATCATGTTGGCCAGGCTAGTCTTGAACTCCTGGCCTCAAGTGATCCACCCTCCTCGGCTTCTCAAAGTGCTGGGATTACAGGCGTGAGCCATCACACCTGCCCAACTTTTTGTTGCTTTTTAAATAAATGCATAAACTGAGAAAACTTGTTCACCAAAATGTATAAGTCAGAATGGAGTTTTGTTCTATCACTAAATATTTTGAACTTCTTTCAAGGTTCATGCTTAAAACCACATATCCAGCTATCATTCAATGATAGTGAATGGAGCTTATTTATTAGCTCAACTGCTAGACTAGGACTAGGTCTTTGTCTTGAACCATTGGATTTTCACAAAGGACTCCAGCCCAGTCTTTAGGAGCATTTGTTTTCACAAAGTGGTCAGTGCTATCTCATATTGCCCCTGACCAGGTGCTGGTCTTCATAACCTGGGTGTGTGTGCACTGGGGTAAAATCCAGGGTGGTGGAGGTCCTGCCCAGGTCTGCCTGTACTGTACAAGGCAGGAGATGAGCAAGCACAGAGGGGTACCTGCAGCTCCCAGGCTGGTCAGGTTAACGAGAAATTGAGGATGTGGAAGGCATAGACATCGATTTCTTTAAAGTAATGTATATGTATAGACGCTCACCTGCAAAGTCAGCATGACCCCAGGAGTGCATGACCCCCCAGAAGCAAATGAAAATCAGCAGCCCATAGACTCCAGGAGCACACAGACCCCAGAAACACACAGACCCCGAAAACAGGGACCCCAAGAACACAGGCCTCCAGAACAAGGACCCCAGGAGCATACAGATGCTAAGAACAGGAACTCCAGGGGCACAGAGACCCCAGCAGCATATAGACCCCAGAAACACACAGACCTTGAGAACAGCAACCTCAGGAGCACAGGGGCCCCAGCAGCACACAGACCCTGAGAACAGGGACCCCAGGAGCACACAGACCCCAGAAACTCACAGATCCTGAGAACAGGAACCTCACAAACACATGGTCCCCAGAAACTCACAGACTCCGAGAACAGGGACCCCAGGAGCACAGGAACCCCAAGAAGGGGGATCCCAGGAGGACATGCATCCTGAGAATGGGGGCCCCAGGAGGACATGCACCCTGAGAATGGGGACCCCAGGAGCACACACACCCTGAAAATGGAGACCCTAGGAGCATACACGCCCTGAGAATGGGGGCCCCAGGAGGACACACACTCCAAGAATGAGACCCCAGGAGCACATGCACCCCAAGAACAGGAACCTCAGGACACAGACCCCAAGAATGGTGACCCTAGGAGCACACAAACCCCAAGAACAGGGACCCCAAGAGCACATGCACCATAAGAATGGGGACCCCAGGAGGACAGGTATCCCGAGAATGGGGACCCCAGGAAGATGCACACCCTGAGAATGGGGTCCCAGGAGGACATGCACCCTGAGAATAGGGACCCCAGGAGCACACACACCCTGAAAATGGAGACCCTAGGAGCATACACGCCCTGAGAATGGGGGCCCCAGGAGGACATACGCTCTGAGAATGGGGACCCCAGGAAGATGTGCACCCTGAGAATGGGGACCTAAGGAGGACATGCACCCCAAGAACAGGGACCCCAGGAGGACACGCACTCTGAGAATGGGGACCCCAGAAGAACACGCACTCCAAGAATGCAGGCCTCAGGGGCACATGCACCCCAAGAACGGGGACCTCAGGAGCACACAGACCCTGAGAATGGAGACCCCAGGAGCACATGCACCCCAAGAACAGGGACCCCAGTGTGACTATCACTGTTAAGGGAGCCGGGCTATCCGAACAAAGAGCCACTCTTTTTCCAGAAGCCGCTACCCTGTGCCCTGTGCCAGTGTCCATCCGGGACTCTTGTGGGGTGAGTCCTGAGGACTCGTGTCAGGGCCATGGAGAAGAAAATGACCTGGAGAAGAATATATTCTCACGGGGCATCCACTCCCAGCAGCCGCTATCCTCTGAGCTTGGACTCCTTCTGGAAAAGCCCCAGCTGCATGAGCCGGCGTCCAGCAGGTAGGGGTGGGCCCTGCACCTGAGCACAGAGGAGGCTGATGGCTGGACCACCACAGGGCAGGTCAGTGCCCAGCAGCCTGGTCTGTCGCATTGATGTGCCTGCACTCCTCACAGGTTGCTCACCTAGTCCAAGATGGCCCCATGCCAGTGCGAACACCACCTGCTCTTGCCCACCCCACATGAAAGGACTCCAGGGAGGGACCCCACTCAGAGCTACCAGGAGGATGCCGCCCACAGGATAAATCACACCCCCTCCAGGAGGTTGCAGCCCGGCAAGCCTGAGAGCCAGCCTTGTTCCCTGCCGCGGTGTCCAAAGACCAATGAATTCCTCAAGCATCCCCCGGCTGCCAGGCATAAAACAACCGAAATCCCCCCTGCCTCATTTCCTCATATCTTAAGGAGGCAGCGCTGGGGAGATACATGTCGAAACCCACTTACTGAGCCTATAAAGCGCTCGCTGTGAAGCAAGGGGGTTGTCACTCGCAAGCCTCCCCTGGTGCCTGGCATTTGCAGAGAGAGCAGCACCCTCCTCTGGGCCAAAGAGAGAGTGGAGTCCTCAGGTAATGAGGCAAGATCCCCAGAGGAAGAATTTCCGAAGAGGAGGCAGGACACTCGGCGGGCAGAGGCTCAGGCCTTCCTAATCAAATGCACACCTGAAATCTCAGGCACATTTAGAGCTGCAAAGGCCAAGAAGGAAATAACGTGGCATCCCCCAAATTCCAGAGCATTCTTGGGAATGTCCTAGGCAAGGTGGTAGGGGATGGTGGTTATGGACAGGCGGGGATCCAAGCCCAGAGGGGTGGAGAGACCACAGTGGAGAGCTGCAGGGGGCAGTCAGAGGACCTGGCTAAGAAGGGCTCTGCAGAACTCAAATGCAGTTTGACAAATATTCCCTAACACCTGCTCTGGGCCAGGGCTATACCAATGACTCAGGTACCATCCCAGCCCCTGGGGGCAAACACCAATGCCTTCTGCAGGCCATAGGGCCAGGAGGTGGCCACACACCTAGCAGACACAGCGCCCAGGCTCCCAAGAGCTGCGTGGCCTGCTCCTGCCCCTCCAGGACACGCCCAAAGGGCATCTGCTGGCAGAGCCGAGGCCTCCCTCCTGGAAGCCCAGATGCTCAGCGTTGGCCTGGCCCCAAAGGCTCCAAGGAGCTGTTTTCCACTTTCTCTCAGCACCCCACTCACTTACAGCAGCAGCCAAATAATTACCACGTAATTATAGTTTACAATCCATAGTTTTGCTTCTGAAATAAAATGTAACCATGGTACTAATTTCAGATGACAAAGGAGCAGAGATACACTCTGGGTTTCAGGAATGTGCTCCATGACAGCCGAAGGCTCTGCCCATGCTGTCCAGCCAGAGGACTGGCCCGCCCTTAGGCCCTGGGGCACACTCAGGACCGGCCTGACTCATTTGACCCAAGAGGACCCTCGAGGCTTCACAACCTCCACTGAGGACAGCACAGCAAACCTCCGGGAATCCGTGCATGTCAATTCCAGTGGATTCTGGAAAGCCTTCGTAGGCTAATAAGTAATAACAGCCCAATTTTTATGACATCCCATAAGCTTATTTTTGCAATTTGAAATAACTGAACACAGAATTGCATTTTCCATTTAGCCCAGCTACAAATCCCACAATTGCTACTTTAAAAGCTACTGAGGCTTTGTGATGTTGCCTTGAAGAACCAAAGGACAATTATTGGCAAAAAAAAACAAACACCAAAAAGTAATTTTATGCATGGCAGTCCCTTGCTGCAGAGGCATCTTAAAAAGAGGCGGGTGAGCAAGGGGACCGTTGCTGGCTCATGTTTCCTTTGTCTGGTTCCAGGTCTCCTGACACTCCACAGCCCTCTGTCTGTGCCATAAATGTGGCTCCGGACCACTGAGGACTTGGGCTGCTTTGTGAGGGCCCCTTTGAGCAAAGCATCGTAATTAAAATTCAGAGCAGATGCTACTGAAAACATGTAATCTATGCACAGAGGAAAAACAGTGAAACAGAGAACTATACCAAGCCTGGCAAATTACTAAAGAAAATTTCAAATAACAAAACAAATACAGAAAAAGAACATGGTACAGAACATTCCATTAATAGCGTAAAAAGATTGCTCTTCCGGGACGTGCTTGGTCTTTCTCCTCCTTCCTCCGGCTCTGCTCAGGCTGGCAGGATGTGCAGCCAGGTGGAAGCAGCCATGGACTCTGTCTTCTTCATTCCAGGACTGCTTGCCCTGAGAGCTCTTCTCTTTGCCAACAATGAGCCTAAATTCTAGAAGAAAACATGAGCCACCACACCTGTGCTCTCTCCATCCTTGAGACCCTGCCTGGAACGAGGCGGGGTGTGCAGCTGTGCTCTGGCCTGTCAAATGTGGACCACAGTGAGCCTCCAATCCCAGGTTTTACCCACATTTCCCTCCGAGAGGTCCCTCGCCCTCTTCCAGCCCCACTCGCCAGTGAAGTATGCCAGATGACCTCTAAGATGAACGACCCCTGAGGCACTAAATGACTGCGTGGAGCAGAGCCCTCCCCTGTCCCCCAACTCACATGGAGCAGTGACACGAGTGAGAAGTCAACAGCCCCACTCACCAGTGAAGTATGCCAGATGACCTCTAAGATGAACGACCCCTGAGGCACTAAATGACTGTGTGGAGCAGAGCCCTCCCCCGCCCCCCAACTTACTTGGAGCAGGGACACGAGTGAGAAGTCAACAGCCCCACTCACCAGTGAAGTATGCCAGATGACCTCTAAGATGAATGACCCCTGAGGCACTAAATGACTGCGTGGAGCAGAGCCCTCCCCCGCCCCCCAACTTACGTGGAGCAGGGACACGAGTGAGAAGTCAACAGCCCCACTCACCAGTGAAGTATGCCAGATGACCTCTAAGATGAACGACCCCTGAGGCACTAAATGATTGCATGGAGCAGAGCCCTCCCCCGGCCCCCAACTCACATGGCGCAGGGACACGAGTGAGAAGTCAGCTTATATTGGGTGAGGCCACTGAGGCTTTGTTTGTGGTTTATCTGTTTGAACAGCTGAGGTTCCCATTTGCTCTAAAACACCATCTGCCACCCCACTTATTCCACAGGCTCAAAGACTCACCCTGGTCCCCACCTCCTCTCTCCTGTCCCTCCAGACAATGCCCAACATGCCATCCAGGGTTATCGTCTCCTGCTCAGAGGGAGGCGGAGACAGCATCTGGAGGAGGAGGGGGTACAAGCAAGAGCCAGGAGGTCACGTCTGTGCAGGGTCTCTAGGGAAAGAGGAGCTGGTTTTCCCAGATTCCTCCACCCCTCGGAGTCAGACAGAATCTTCTGGAGAAGCCATCCTGAGCTCACGGGAGCTCAGTCAGAGAAAATCAAAGTCTTTCAAACAGACCACGAGCCCAAAGCTGGGACACCCATCCCTCCCTTGTTCCAACCCCCAGGGACTTCTGGAGGAGAAACTGTCCCTCCTGCCACATATGCTGCCAGGGATCTGGGGTGCCACCAGCACCCCAGAAGCTAACCATGAGTTCTGTCCGTGCTCACTGTCTTAGTCTGTTGTCTATTGCTTATAATAGGATGCCTGAAACTGGGTTATTTAAAAAGAAAACAAAATGAATTTCTGACAGTTATGAGGCTGAGAAGTTCAAAGTCAAGGGCCACATCTGGTGTGTGCCTTTTCGCTGGTGAGGACTCTGCAGAGTCCTGAGGTGGCCCAGGGCATCACACAGCCAGGGCCTGAGTGTGCTCACGTGCTGGCTCAAGTCTCTATTCTGCTTCCTATAAATCCACCAGCCCCACTCCCATGATAACCCATTAATCCATCAATCCGTTAATCCAATAATCCATTAACCACGATTGAATTAATCCTTCGTGAGACCCAGTCACCTTTTTAAAGCCCCACCTCTCAACACTGCCACGTTGGGAATTAAGTTTCAACGTGAGTTTTTGAAGGCACAGATATTCAAACCACAGCACTCATCCTGCCCCGGATGGTCAGACTCAGTGGGTGAGTGGTGGGAGGCCCGACGCGGTGCAGAGCGCTGGCCCTGGGGAGAGGACCCTGCACCTTTCCCAAATCCTGTATTCACAATCACCTGCTCCCCTGGCAGGAAGGATGCAGCCCCCATGATGCTGCCCATTCCCCACTCACCTTTCCCCTGGGGTTACCGCAAGAGTTGTATTAGAAGGCAGCCATGGAATCACATTATGCTCCCAATTCACGCTTTTCTGGGAAAGTGCACGCCAGCTGAGCTGCCACCAATGGGAAAATTAGGGACGAGAGGAAGAAGCAACCTACAAGCTAAACTACTGACACTGCATTCTGCATCCCAGATTACCTGTTAAGGAGTTCTCTGGGAGAAAGATGGGCTAATATGATCTAAGTCTGGTTTATCCCTAATCCCCCAAATAGCTACCGCTATAAGCCAAGCAAAGAGGACCATCATTATCTGAAAAGGGGAGCAAATGTTGAGGCTAGTGCCTGAGGAAGAGTGAATTTTCTGTGTGCTCTCGGTCATCCGCAGTGGACCCCACCATGTTTCCCTTCATGTCGGAAAGCATGTAAAACGCAGGCCTGTGCCGGGGCAAAAGGCAAGTGCAAGGTGGGAGGTCTCTCTCACCCCCACAGGTTCCTACTGCTCCAGGACTTTATATTACTCCTATCACCACTGGTCCAGGGGACTCAGGCAAAGTAAGTGCTAGGCGGGGCCTCTCTGTCACCCCACAGGTTCCTACTGTTCCAGGTGATAGGATATTACTCCTATCACCACTGGTCCCAGGGACTCAGGCAACAGGATGTGGGACTGGCCATCCTCCCCTGGCCTCACCTGAGAAGGGGCCAGGTCTTCCTGCTCTCACGTTTCTCTGGCACAGGAATAAAGAGCCAGGAACAGGATTGGAATCCTGCCCCTCCTACTTGTGAGCTGAGAAACCTCTAGCAAATTGTTTGCCCATCTACGCATCTCCACAACCATCAAATGGAGGTGATGAGCGCTACATACACTCTACCTCCTAAAATAAAAGGGGCCTCTGAACGTGATCAAAATAGCCCTGATGCAGAGGGTGAGCATGTGAACCCTGTGAGCTCAGTAGCAGCTGCCTCACTCCTCCATCAATTAGGCTGGTCTCCTCGGAGACTCTGCGTTTACACACCTGCCCATCCAAGACTTCACTGCTCATCCATGTATTCCCGCCTCTGCTTTCTTTCTCTCTCCCACTCCTCCTCCATTCACTCCCTCTTGACAGTGGAAGGCAGGGACTCTTCCATCACTGCTGGCAACGCTTGTCCTGCACTGGGAGAATTCGGCCTTCGTGGCATGGACTTCTAAGGGCAAATCATGAAAATCCATTCCTCCACTCTACCCTGATGAGTCCTTCCCAGAGCCACACATTGGCGAATCTCATCCTCACCTGGACTCGGTTTCCCCTCTCAAGCCTCAACCCCAGCCTTCCACTGTCTCATCACAGCCACCCGCCCAGGCCAGGGTGCTGTACCCATCCCCGTGCACCTGCCTGTGAGCCCTCTGTCTTCTGCTGAGCTCTCTCCTCCTTTCCAGTCGGGTGTCGCGGCTCACCATATGAGAGCAGCAGGGGCTGGGGGCTGCGTGTGGGCAACGTCGCGGGCTGAAGGAATGACATGGCCCTGGCAGAGGTAGGAAGTTGAAGAAAGCTGGAGAAATGATGGTTAGTTGGCTTTGCTGTTGTTTCTCAAGAATGAAACGGGGGTATCACAAAGAAGAGTTTTGGAACTGGCTTCAGATGAATCTAATTTTAGTGTCTCCCATAAGACACAGAAATGCTTAGATGCACCCACATTTTTATTTTTTGAATTGACAAATAATAATTGCACATATTCATGGGGTATGCAGCAATGTTTCAAACTGGCCGGGCTCCTCAATTTCATATGTAGGGAGACAGCGCCTTCTAGGTTGGAAGCTTGTTTGACTGATATCCCTCGCCAACTCTCAAGGCCCTAGCCCCTGCTATTATCCCAGCCTGCATCCCCTGGAGGGAGGCCCAGAGACAGATGTGCCCACCACTGGCCCAGGGGCTCTCCTCCCCTGGGTCCCACAGGACACCTCCATGGCCCTTCCCTGCCCCTTCCCTCACCTTCCAGCTGTGTCATCCTGGTAAGGACCCTTGACTCACCTTAGACAGTGCTGCTGCTCATGGCCTGGGGAATGGTGGGGGTGGGGAGACTGGCCTGGGGGGACCCCTGCAGCTCCACCTGCTGACACTGGGTCTGGCCTTGGGACAACTGTTCTCCACTGAGGTCCAGTGCTCGGGGAAGCCTCCCACCCTCATCACTGACAGCCTGTGCTAATCCCACTGTGAGCCCTCACCTTCATTTCCCAGATGAGAGGAGCTGGCCCTGCGTGTATGTCCTGATGAGGGAACATGAAGGAATGAAGGCTATATACTATGAAGACATGCTCAATCCTTCTGGAAACAATATCTGATTGTTCTTATAGCTTTGCCATAAGTGCATTTGATTTGGATAAGTGCATTTAATGGACTTAAACTGCAACAGTTAAAATGTGCAAACATCTGTCAAATATATGCTCTAAAATCACCTTATCCTCAAAGCCTCCTCACCCAGTCTGTAGATAGAATAGCAGCTGTCTCCACCCCAGCACTGGCCACCTGCCCCTGCTTACATGACAGACCCTCACCCCAGCCCACATGGGACATGAGGACGAGATGAGGGTCTGCATGGCCACATCCACTAAAGTGTGGGCTCCTCTAGGGCAGGGTTCCCTAACCCCCAGGCCACAGACTGGTGTTTAGGAACCAGGCTGCCCAGCAGGAGGTAAGCGGTAGCCCAGCAAGGGAAGCAGGCTTCATCTGTATTTACAGCCACTCCCCATTGCTCATCGCTCGTGTTACTGCCTGAGCTCCGCCTCCCATCAGATCAGCGGCAGCATTAGATTTTCACAGGAGCACAAACCTTATTGTGAACTGTGCATGCGAGGGATCTAGGTTGCATGCTCATGAGAATCTCATGCCTAATGATCTGTCACTGTCTCCCATCACCCCCAGGTGGGACCGTCTAATTGCAGGAAAACAAGCTCAGGGCTCCCACTGATTCTACATTATGGTGAGTTGTATATAATTATTTTATTATATATTACAATGTAATAATAATAGAAATAAAGTGCACAATACATATCATGCACTTAAATCATCCTGAAGCCATTCCCTCCCCCGATCCATGGAAAAACTGTCTTCCACAAAACTGGTCCCTGGTGCCAAAAAGGTTGGGGACCTCTGCTCTAGGGGGCTGCAGTGCTCTTCCCAGACCCTCAGCCCCCAAAGCAGTGCTCAACAAATGTTGGTGGAGTGAATGAAGCAGGCAGCAAGTAAGCACTCACTCGGTGGCTGTATGCTGAACAGGGAGGATTTAAAATATTCATTCTTGGTTTGCTTTAAACGGAGGCAGTGCAAACCCTTTGTTTACAGCAGCATAGACCTCCCCACTTTAGTTCATTGCACGCTAAGACAGCAAGTGTTTTCTAAACCACAATAATACAAATGTCACCACTTGAAAGATCTGGTGAGACACTGATTAGCCCTGGGATCTGGCAAGTACCACCTTTTAGGGCTGACAAATGCGGCCATCCCTGGGGGCCGTGTGTGGTCTTCAAGCACTCTCAGAACACCACGACCCAACCCAAGGTCACTATCCCAGCAGGGCTTTTGCCCACACTTACAACCAGGCTCTCAAGGTGCCTTTGCATTCTAACCGACCCTCCTCTGCCTCACTTACGGAAAATGACTTTTCTCGGGCAAATAACAGTATCAAGCTCTCGCTGGAGGTTCAAACAGCTCTTCCCACTTCAAACGTCACTTTTGTTTACCGCCAGCTCTCACTGCATGCAAATGCGACCATAAATAGAGATACAATCACGGTGGATAATTGAAATTCCAAAATATTAAGAACTTAGAGTTTTAGGGATTTGGTTTTATAATAGAAACAAATAAAATCTTGCCACATTGGCAAATACAAGCTGACAGCTAAGAAATTAGATTTGCATACAAAATATTTCATTTTATGAATTAATTGGCAGCAAACTCTGCTCCACGTCTGCGGGTAATTTAGTGGAGGGAGAAGGCGTTGACCATCAGGACTCTTGAAGCAACATGGCCCCTAGTGTGGAAGCCGCCCGGGAGCCCTGTGGACAGGAGCAGGAGCACAGGCTAACCAGGCTGCCAGGCTAGATGCAAGGTTTTTGTTTGTTGCTTATTTTTTAACCGAAAGGAGCCTAACGTTTTCTTCTCCTCATCTGAAACACAGAAAGGTGAAAGCTAAAGTGACGTGGCCTGTCTGTTGCTTTGCCACAAGAGGTGTCCATAGTTGACCCTCTGGTCTCTGACCTTGCAGATCCGGCCATGTCTCAAAATGCAAATCAGCACAGCTCACGTGGGTCTTTTGGGATGGTGACAGGGTGATGGGAACGCAGTGTAGGAAACCGACGTGACTTTGCAAAAGCCCGAGCTCCTACTCATGTGTCTTGAGCACGAGGCCAAGATGTGACTTCTCCAAACTGCCCGTCCCCTGTCCCCTCACGTGAGCACCCTCCTGGCTCCAAGTCACCTGGGGAACGAGCTCCTCACCCTCCACCTCCCCAGCCCACAGCAGAGCCCCTATGTTGCCTGTGAGGGTGAACTGTAGGTGTCAATTGGACTGGGCTGAAGGATGCCTGGACAGCTGGTAAAATGTTATTTCTGGGTGCGTCTGTGAGGGCACTTCTGGAAGAGATGCCGATTTGAATTGTGGACTGAGTAAGAAAGATACACTCTCACCAAAGTGTGTGGCCTCAACCAATCCTCAAGTCCTGGAGAGAATGAAATGTGCAGGAAGGGCTCTTTCTCCTAGAGACCTCAGACCCACCACACCGCGCAGTGCCCTGGCCTGTCCCAGAAGGAGAGGTGTGTCCTGGGCTCCCTCAGGACCCGGCCTCGCTTCTCAGCCCTAATTACCTACTGGCTTCCCTGGCTCTCGGGCTTGCAGATGGCAGAGTGCAGGACCTCTCAGACTCCATCATCCTGTGAGCCAGCTCCCCAACACATCTCCTCTTACCTGTCACCAGTTCCTCTATCCCGCCTCCTGTCCATGGTATGGTTTCTGTTTCTCTGGAGGATGATGACTAATTGGCCCCTGAGGCTCCAAAGCACAATGCCAGGCTTTCTGCAGATGTCAGAATTTGCCAGTGACCCATGACCAGGGGGTCTTGTCCTGGCTCCGCTCTCAAGCACCGATGAGTTGATCAGGCCAGGCTGGCATCAACACCACATCTTGGCACAAAGCAGCCAGTGGGGACACTCGCTCCTGGCAGGGCCCCGCCTAAAGGTGTAGGCGCAGCTGTCCTGGAAGCGCGAGGAACTGGAGAAAACGGGCAGGCTGAGTACACAACAGGGAGGCAGACCCAGGACACTGAGGATGTCCCTGTCGCAGGAGGACACGTTTTCACAGAAGTGGAGCCAGCCTGGTGAGCCTTGGAACTTGACGTAGATCCTTCCTTTCATACAAGGAGGAAAGGGGTGGGGCGGGGGGACTTCCAAGGGTTCCATCTTCCAGCAGGCATGAGACGAGGTTCTCATGTCCTCACTTCCACAGACCTCCCCATCTTCTCCATCGGTGGCCGTACGTCTGTGGACCGAGCCCCTCTGGCCGGAGGACTGCCCGTGCCCTCTGCAGCCTGGAAAGGGTCTGGGGGCCTGGGTGGCAGGGGTACAAGGATGGCTGGTCCTTATGGAATAGTTTCTACAGGAAGACTGCCATGTGTCAGGGGAGGGGCTGAGGCCCAGAGCCAGCGGGGAGCAAACTAGACAAGCCTGTCTCCAGGGAGGTAGAGTTTCCCGGGGAAGGCAGATGCACACTGCACTGTGGGAGCAGGGGTCGGCGCAGGCCAAAGGGGGTGCTGATCTCACATCAGTGACTTTTACATGTTATTCATTCATCCATGTATGTACTTTGTGTATTTAAGGTATATAACGATGTTCTCTTATACATACAGAGTAAATGACTACTACAGTCAGGAAAATTAACATATTCATCACCTTCCACAGTTACCTTTTTTTTTTTCTTTGGAGTAAGAGCACCTGAAATCTACTCTTTCAGCAAATTTCCAGTCTGCAATACCGTGTTATTAGCTACAGTCCTCAGGCTGCACATTAGACTCTAGACTTCTCACCTTCCATGAATTTCCTCTGCCATTCCCCCGGACCCCCAACCACTCCACTCTCTGCTTCTATGCAGTCAGCTTTTTTTTTTTTAAGATTCCGCCCATAAATGAGATTCTGCAGCATTTTTCTTCCTGTGCCTGGTTTATTTGCTTTAGTATAATGTCCTCCAGGTCCATCCATATTGTCACCAATAGCAGGATCTCCTTTTTTCTAAGGGTACCAATATTTCATTATATGTATATACCATCATTTTTATCTATCCCTCTGTCAATGAACACGGAGGTGGATTCCCTATCTGTCTTGACTATTATGAATCGTGCTTCAGTGAACTTGGAAGTGCAGATATATTTCGACATACTGATTTTATTTCCCTGGGATATGTACCCAAAAGTGGAGCTGCTGCATCATGGAGCAGATCCCATTGTAGTTTCTTCAGGAGCCCCCACACTGATTTCTGTAATAGCTACAAATGTAGACTCCACCAGTAATATACAAAGGTTCCCTTTCTTCCACATCCTCACCAGCACTATGTCTATTGAAGTATTTTGCCCATTTTTGAATCAGTTTATTTGTTTGTCTGGTTTGTTGTTGTTTTGGTTTTGTTTTCTATGGAGCTGTATGTTCTTTGCTAAGGAGTTACCTATATTTTAGCTATTAGCCCTTTACCAGATATACAGTTTGCGAATATTTTCTCCTAATTCATAGGCTGCCTTTCCACCGGTGATGGTTTCCTTTGCCATACAGAAGTTCTAAATTTGACACAGTCCCACCTATTTATTTTTGCTTTTGTTGCCTGATTTTTTTGTGAATCTGAAATATCATTACCAAAACTAATGTCAAGGAGCCTCTCCTCTATTTTTTCCTCTAAAAGCTTGACCATTCAGGTTTTATGTTTACATCTTTGGTCCATTTTTATTTGATTTTTGTATTTCGTGTAGGATAAGGGTTTGACTTCATTCTTTTGCATGTAGATATCAAGTTTTTCCTGCACCATTTACTAATGAGATGATCCTTTCCCCATTTCTAAACATCATTCCTATGAAAATGGTATCTTAGTCTGTTCAGGTTATCAACAAAATACCATAGACTGGGTGGCTTATAAACAACAGAAATTTATTTCTCACAGTTCTCTAGGCTGGGAAGTCCAAAACCCAGGTGTTGGCAGATTCAGGGTCCTGGGAGTCCCTCTTCCTGGCTCCTAGGACTGATGGTGTGTCCTCACACAGTGGGGCTCCCTTGTGCCTATTTTATAAGGGCACTAATCCTACGGATTAGTCTGCCATCCTGACTTAATTCACTTTCCACCTACTAATACTATCACTTTGGGTATTAGGATTTCAATACATGAATTTTGGAGACACATAAGCATTAGACCATAGCAAATGAGAACAGGCAGGTTAGGCTTTCCACAGACGAACTTCCAGCCTGGTGGAGATCCGCCCAGCCAGGAGGCAGATCTACAAATCGATCTTTGATTAACTCTCCGTCTTTAAATACGAAATCCTGCAGGCAAAGAAATTGTGAAATTCTCAGCAATCGGTGTGAAGTCCCACTCCAATGTAGCTCTCCTCCCACTCAGAATTGCATAAGGCATGCGGGGCGGGGGCAGGGACCCTGCTGCAAAACAAGGGTACCCAGAGCCCAGGATGTATGATGGGCCTGGGCAGGGCTTTCCATGACGCAGGACGGGCTGCACAGTCCACCCTTCCTCCATCAGGAGGCAGCAAAACAAATTCCAGAATCATTTGTGCATCGAGGTCACATGTGTGCATACTGATGTTCATACCAGTCTTTCATAATCACGTTTAATTCTCATTCCACAGTGGGCGGAGTCATTCCTTATCACTTTGCTGCCGCAAAATGAAGTCCCCCCTGGTATTCCCACAGACTCATGACCCAGGGAATCCCCCGAATAGAGCAGAGCAGTACGATTTAATTTGTGTAGGAGCTATGAGTGGAATAACAAAGTTGGGAATTTGGGGCAGGTGGGTTACAGTGATTTGGTGGTGTTGGGGCAAACGTGGAGTGGAGGAGAGGGGCAGGGCACTCATTCTGGCTGGGGTGGGGCAAATGGAATGGAAGGAGCCCCCATGAGAATGCTTCTCAGAACCCCAGGCACAGATGTCAAGGAAGCTTCTGAAATCAGGGACAAAATAAGGATTAACACTTTACAAGCGCCTCAGAGGCCACCACAACCTGGAAGAAACCTCCTACAATGCAGTTCTTCTGGGTTCCTTCCTTCCTTCCTTCCTCCTTCCTTCCTTCCTGCCTTCCTGACTCAGAATTTCCTAAATTCTCGTTGCCACGCTCTTTCACTAAGCAAAATCTTATATCCATAATATTAATCACCTGTTAACTTAATGCAGAAATTAAGATGAAGTTATCATTGTTTAACACATATTCAAAATATCTGGCCAATGCCAAAACAGCCCGGGTAATTTCTCTCCATCTAATTACCTCCAAACGCAGCCGAGACTTCATTCTTATTAACACAGAAGCCCTAAAGCCCACCAAGTAAAGCTAAATCATAATTTAAGCACTTTGTGGAAACAGTGCATGAAACCGAATTGGCTAGCTTAGCCAACTGAGCTCAGGATTGAACATTTACTTTAATTCTCATTTTCTGAAAAGTAGTCAAATGCCTTTAATTAAAACATATCCCTTGAAATTGGTTTAGCATAAATTATTTTTTAAAAAATCAAACGTGAGCCAGAATCTAATTCTGATATCGCCGAGGGAAGGAAAACCACAACTCTGATGCATCTTGAACGGGGTGTGGGTAAAGGCTGCAGAAGGACTTGATGTCCCTTAAGCCCAGCCTCAGGCTGCAGCGAGCCAAGATTGCGCCACTGCACTCCAGCCTCCAGCCTGGGCAACAGAACAAGACTCCATCTCTAAAACAACAACAACAAAACAACAAAAACAGCCTCAGGTGGCACTTCTTCCAGGAAGCCTTCCTGTTCTTCCCCAGTCACAATTACTATACCAGTTCCCCTTTGCTTCCAGGACTCTGTCCTCCTGAAACAGCACTGTTTAATACTCCTGATAGAATAACAGATGCGACTATCGCCCCACAGTGCTGTAAGCTGGGATGGCAGGTGTTGGGACATATGGATCCATTTTTCCAGCCCATTAGAAGATGACCATGAGAACAGGTCACAAGAGCCGATTGGCATTACCAAGGAGAAGAAGTCTCCCAGAAAGGAGCTGCAGTGTTTAGTGATGGCAGGCACGTGGGCACTGGGGAAAGAGAGTGGGTCTCAGGGCCAGCAGTGGGGGCCTCTTCTTCCTCTGCCAGAACCGCCCATGACTGTGGCAAAATTGACAGGTGGCAGGAGACAGTGGCTGAGCGTCACACCTGTCATGGAGACAGGCTGAGACACTTCTCTGCAGTCAATTTGGTAGCACATTTGTCTTTTCCAGGTGGTTTACATTTTCCCACAAAAGGATCCACCATGACCCCGCACAACTGCAGGAGATCCTCCCTCGGGGTCCTTTCAACGCTGAACAACCCTGGGTGACAGGGGTGCATTCTCAGTCCCAGGGCGGACACAGAGATCAACGCTCCCAAGGCCTAGGGGAGCAGCTCCAGGGCCTCTTCTGAGTGCTGGAGTGGGTCCCTGAGCCTGAGACCATGCACAGCCTCTCACGACCGCCTCCCACTCCCACTGTGGTGATGGTGGGGTTGAGAAACAAATGGCATCAAATCAACCACCCCACTGAAATACCTCCTTTCTGAGACCCCTGGAAGGTGTCACTGAAGGAAGCTCCAATGTCTGCAGGTAGGTTGGCCCCAGCACACGCTAACGTTTTGAGTTAAAATGCAATTTGGCGTTATGCATCACTGACATGAGCTATTAGCCTCCCTTGATGCCCATTTCATGAGACTTGGATGCTGAGCCCATAGTTCAAACGTTATGAGATTTCTGTTTGTTTCTGTGCATTTATTTCACAATGCCAGTCAGGTCTGTAGTAATTTCTTGAGGAGATTTCGATCAAAACCACGATGGTCAATGAAAATATTGTTTTCAGAACAGAAAATACAACATGCTTTCTAGGGACCCAGGCAAGTTACAGCAATCTTCTGCCGCTCACTACGGTGAGAAACGGGGCCACGTGTCACTTAGTTTTCATTTTGTCTAACGACATCCTGACTTTACATAAACTGTTTTTGCAAATATGATCATGTAATTGGAGCATCTGTCCTGATCATTATTTGGCAAATGTGTCCTTTTAGCACCAGTCCAAGTGAAATTTGGGAAATTTGGCTAATCACAATTTAACAGATGTTTTGTCCAGTTCTGTGCAATCTTAATTTTAACAGACACAAATCCCTCCATTCACTGAGGCTCTAATTGGAGTCTCTCCATGCCCATAGAGAATGGTAAAGGTGAGAAAATAATAATTTCAGCGCATCTAGTGTTGACCCTGTAGCTTTAATTAATTCAGGTGAAATCCCATTTGGCCTTGATAGCAGTAATTATTTAAAGCAAGCCTTGACATAACATTTCACACTATGCATTTTTCCACAGTCCAGCTCAGCGAGCGGCCTCACAAAGCTGATATCCCAAATATTCTCCAGGAAAAGTCCAGTGCTTTTCCACATGGGTTCCAAAGTAAAAGCCCATTTATGCAACAAAGAAGCTGGAGTTTATTTCAACATAGAGAAGATGCAAAAGGCAACCTCTTCTTAAATAAGATGGTCTTCTAATTCTAATCAAAGACAGCAGGGGGCCCCATCTAAGATGTAATAACGTCGCACCACCACGGCAAAGACTATAGGTAAAAACTCACCTCTCCAATCATGCCTTCTGCAGGAAAGCCGGCGCGCTCTCTGCTGCGGGCATAATTGCCCAGGTGCCAGTGTTTGCCTCACTCCCAAGCACTTGCTTAAACCCTAGGTGGTTGGCTTCTCAAAATAAAATGCACATCTCATTTTACTCTGAATAAAAGTGAAACCTTTTTTAAAGGACAAATGTAAGAGAAATTAAAGGGGTGGTAATAACATTATCACGTCTGGAAGTGAATGGAAGAGACACATTTTGATGAAGAAATGAGGTTATTTTGGCCACACAGAAAATCTCTAGTCCCCATTGCCTCTACTTAGAACAAAATTGTGTCTCTTTCCATGAATAAATCAAAAGTGGTTTTTAATCATTTTGCTTGAAGAACAGTGCATGATCTCTTGGTTTCCCTGATTTTCAGTAATGGAAACGGCTGCTCAGCCCAGCCCTCGTTCCTTAAGCCGCTGCGGTAACGCCCTCAGTAGCTCAGGGCCTGGAGCTGGATGCCTCATCTGCATTCAGCCCCCTGCTGACCAGCTGTGTGGCTTTGGGTAGCTTCAGTTTCCTTATCCCAAAAGTGAGGAGGGCATGGCACCGGCCTCCAGGGGTGCTGGGAGCAGCAAATTATGCCCAGTAAGTGTTGCTGTTGCTTCATGGAGGGCACACTCAGGAGATACCCCTGGGCAGGTCACAGGACCTCCTGGTCCAGCCACTCCAAAGCCCCACTCCCTCCACCTAGTGTACATCCTCAGAGTCACTCCCCATCCTATTGACCACCCCGCCCACTCCCTCCACCACCACGGGCAAAGGACACCAAAGCCTCCATGACCACACTGCACAGGAGGAGGAGATGCTCTGTCTTGGGAATTCCTGACAGGCTGTGCCGAGTGGCACCTGTCACCTCCCACAGAGAGGCCCCATTGTCCTCACACATGTCCATGTCCCTCTAGAGCCGAGCACAGGTCTGACCCAGGTCAGGCATCCCATCATGTGTGTGACCTTGCAGGTCAGCCTCACGGAGAATGGCCAACCTCTCAGCCTGAGGTCACACACTCCAAGAATTCTCCATCCCCAAGAGATATCACAAGATGCTTAAAAACATTCAAATGACCTAAAATTCACCCTGATTTTTAAAAAATCCATGGGAAGGATATCTGAGCAAATGCACTGGAATATTTCTTAACTTCCTTTAAATAACCACAAAAACACACAAATGGGGAAAAAAATCTGCATCTACCCTAGAACCAAGGAGGCATTTCGTGAAAAGAACCCAGGCCTTGGAGTAGGAACCGGGAGGCTACTAACATGAGGACATCATTTCTATTATGACCCTCAGTTATGATTCAAGTATTGTTTAAAAGGAGAAGGTCAAAGGACACCTGAAGGAGTGACATCAGTGTCCATGACATGCCACCTTCACTGGAAAACAAAAAGAGCCCCTCACTGCCACTGCTTCCCTGCCAAGAATCCCATCACACACAAACCAGCAAAGCGTGCCAGTCAAGAAATGGTGGCTCTTAGGATTCTCATGTCAGAGCACTCCCGTCCCCTCTGAACTCCTCTCACCCCCGAGTCCACGCTTTCGCTCCCCAGCAGCTAAAGGGAGCCTCTGCCCATGGAGCTGTGCTCACCGGGGAGCCAGGCAGAGAGAATGGAGTGAAATCAGAAGCATGGCTGCATGGGGCCCCCATGTCCATGTTGCAGGAGGTTTGCAATTCAGCCAGCTGTGCAAAGGGCAATGTCCCCTCTTGCAACCCTGCCGGCTGTACAGGGGGTGATGTCCCTGTTGCAGCCCTGCTGACTGTGCAAAAGGTGATGTTCCCTCTTGCAATCCTGCCGGCTGTGCAAAAGGTGATGTCCTCTCTTGCAAGTCTGCTGACTGTGCAGAGGGCGGTGTCCTTTCTCGCAATTCTGCCGGCTGTACAGAGAGTGACGTCCCCTCTTGCAATCCTGCTGACTGTGCAAAAGGCAATGTCCCCACGTGGGCACACCTAAGGAGCCTCAGTGTGTTTCCTGAAGCAGTGGGTTTCCTGAAGCAGTGGGTTTCCTGAAGCAGTGGGTTTCCTGAAGCGGTGGGTCTCAAACATTTTCAGCAAAGTTTCAAGTACAAGCTACTACGTAACAGGCACAGCTGTACGTAGAATGGGATGGTGAGGATCCTCTAGCTTAGAATGCTTCTGTATGTTCCTAAAAAGCCCTCTGGAACCCCCATGGAGCTACAGATCCAGTTTGAAAGCCACGGTCTGTGAGAGTCCTGAGGTGGAACGGGCATGGGCACCAGGCCTGCCAGTGCCGCCTGTGAGTCAAAGACGCTACACAGCAGCAACTGGCAGCCCCGGGATTTTCTAGCCTGAGCCTGGGTCAGTCCCTTTGTCTTTGAAAAAACAAAAACAAAACAAAACAAAAATTTAACATGTGGCTCAGGGTGAAATTCTGTAGCCAGGAAGTGTGAGAATAATGTCTTAGGCATCTGGAAGAAAAAGTCTGCTGAACTATGTTTTCAACAGAGGAAGGTAGAATATGTCATAGAACAGCAACTGCAGGTTTCCCATAGATTCAAGAGCATGTTACAATAAACCAGACAGAACAGGTACAAGTATGAAGAAACTGCAAGGAAAACCAAAATGGCAAATGAAAGTCCATGCTGGATGCGGCTGAGAGCATGCTCCATGGTGCAAAAAGAAATCATTGAGGGGGTGGGGGAAGAAACTGATAAAATATTCCAGAATTGGGATAAGAAAAGGGGAATCAAAACAATAGGACAGAACACAAAAACTGACCACAGATTTTCAAACTCACAAAATGGGTATCTCCAAGAAGAAAACAGAACAGTAGCAAAAGCAGGGTGAGCACAGCGCTGGCGAGGGTGGGAAGGTGGCACTGCTGACACCGCACCTGCGGACACCACACCTGCCGACGCCACACCTGCTGATGCTGCTCCAAGGATCAGGCTGCCGTTCTCAGGTGAGGCTCAGAGCAACACACTGAACACGCGGAACCCCCAGAAACTGTGCTTCACCTACAAACACGACTCTGCCATGTAGACAACCAAGAGACAAATCAAAATTAAGGACATAAAAAGAGAGAGTTATTAGATTAAAGAACAAGTGGTAAATATCAAAATTAATTAATGTCTTTGTAATTGTTTTTGTAATTATTTTATAAAAATGTATGCAAAGAGGCTTTGCTAAATAAGGAATGTTATATTCTAAGAAATTATAATCCATGTTAAATTAATGAAATTTGGCAAATGCAGCAGGAAAAGTAAAGGTGCTCAATGTTTGGCTTTTATATATAAGGTATTATAAGTTCTATTAGTGCCTTCGAGTAAGTATATTAAGAAATCATATTATAAAACTATGTTAAACAAAAAGTTTTAAATTAGCACAATTTTAAATTTACAAATCATTTGAGGAAATCAAGGCAAATAAGACATACTGTCCATATCTTTTAAAAAAAACAAGAAAGAACAGACATAATGAACAGAAATACAAATAGAAATACAAATGACAAACATGTTATAGAATAGAAATGAGTAATTGTAAACTGTTGCATTATTTAAAAGATAAATTAAAAACAAAAAAACTCCAACCAACATACCTAAAACAAATGAAAAAGAATGTTTAAAATAAAAAAGATGGATAGGCACCTGTAAGACAGATGGGGAAAATGAATGCAGAAATGACAATCTTATGAACAAAGAATAATTTCAGTCAGGAAGTTTCTCACTGCATGAAGAGGATGATTTTATGTTGATAAAAGTTACAGTATAGCAATACAAACGTGTGGTGCTGAAAATATCCTAGCAATTAAAAAGCAAACCATGCTGTAGGTCTAGCTGAAATGGACAGAAACACACCTCAACTGGGAGACTCCATGCATCTTCCCTATTCCATGAGAGAGTAAATGGAAAACTAGCATGTCAGAGACTTGAACAAGAAACTTACACATAAGCCTTTCCAAAAGTCATGCAGTATTTACAAAAATTAACCATCTTCAAGTGCTAAAGAAAACCTCAATAAAATTTGACTAAAGAAAGTTTAATAAAATTTAATTTAAGAAAAAATATAGAGATTACATTTTCTGACCACAACACACTAAAGCTTAACATTAATAATGAAGCTTCTGCCATCAAAAAAATGTAAACTCTTGGAGAAAAAAACCTCATAATTATTACGATAAAGAGAAAAGAAAATGAAATACCATAACAAACAATTTAGAATACAAAGAAATCAAAATATCACTTTAAACAATCCATAGCTTTAAATGCTTCCAGGAAGGAAAGGTAAGAGGGAATAAGTGAAAAGAAAGAGAGAAGAGTAGGAAAGAAGAGAGGGAAGGAGGAAGGAAGAAAGGGAAGAAAGGAGAAGAAAAAGAGGGGAGGGAAATAAATTGATTTCAGTGAAATTATCAGCCAGCAATATCTTGGTATATGCATTAATCAGCTTTTTCTGTGTTAGTGCTGCACATGACATAATTACAAAATTTCAGGGGCTCACAATATCAAGCATTTGTTTCTTTCTCATGGGTTTGTAGTTGGCTGACCTTGGCAAGATACAGCTGGGGTTGGCTCAAGGTGTAGAGGTTGGGTTCACAGCTTCTCTGTGCATCTGTCCTTCCAGGCTCCAGGTTGAAATAGTAACAATTTCCTGGAAACTTTTCCTCGCCTGGAAAGAATATATGTGCACAGAGTGAACCTAAAAGTCCTAAGTATGTTCAAAGCCTCTCTGTAGACATGGCATATGTAATATTCTTCCCATTCCAATGGCCAAAGCAAGGTTCACAACAAAGCCCATGGCTTGTGGGGTGGAGAAGTTTGCCCAACCCCTCAGTGAGAACAATTGTTAAACAACAGCATATCAAAGAGATGAAATTTTGAATACACCAATAAGCCCAAAACTAAGAAGTAAGGAGAAAATGCACTAACGGTGCCTTCAATGGTTGCAAACTTTCAAGGAAATGATAATTTTAAATGTAAAAACGCTAATGCACAGCATAGAAAAATCTGGGAGACCGCTGGATTTCTTAGAGAAAGATAATACAACCCTACTGTCAAAAACTAACAAAGAAAAAGGGGAATAACGTATTTAAAAATAAAGCTAAATGTCATTAGAAAACACTAGCAAAAAAAATATCAGCAGGGTAGTAACCAAATGATCTTGTAAAACCAACTAGGTTTACTCAGGAATGTAGACACTTTAACACTAGAAAACCTATTAATAAATGTATCAAGTCAATAAAGTTATATAAATTATATTTCTGTCCAGAAAAGCAAGGATCTATTCCCAATATCTAAAAACTACAGGCATTCTCAATAAAATTGGAAACTAAATTAGGAGGCCTTCTGCTACAGACTAAATGTTTGTGTCCCTCCAATATTTAAATATGGAAACCTAACCCTCAAGATGATGATATTCGGAGGTGGGGCGTTGGGGGGTCATTAAGTCATGAGGGTGGATTCCTCATGAATGGGGCTAATGCCCTTATAAAAGAGACCCTGAAGAAATTTATTGCCCCTTCCACCACATGAGGTCACAGTGAGAAGATGGCCATCTATGAACCAGAATGCAAGTCCTCAGCAGACATTGAATCTGTAGACACCTTGATCTTGAACTTTCAGTCTCTAGAACTGTGAGAAAGAAACTTCTGCTGTTTATAAGCCTCCAAGCCTATGGTATTCTGTTACAGGAGCCCAAATGGAGACACCTTCTATCACTGCCATTATTCAATATTTACTCACAAGCTCTACCCATTGAAATAAGGCATGAAGCAGGAATTAGAGAATTAAATATTGACAGAGAAACAAAATTTACATAAGAGGATTGTTTCGTTTTACATACATTTGAATAATTTAAAATAACGTAATAAAACATTAATGAAGTCTCACCTTTTGTCTAAATTTGCTATAATTTAAAAGTCCAATATTTGGTTAAAATAGCACAATTCAAAGATTATAAATGGCATGTGAGCTTGGTGCCACGTGGCAGTGGCAGACAGAGGTCTGATAAACAGAAGTCCCTCATATTTCAGTAGCCTGTGAACTGTGCTGCTGCTTATGTGTAGGGTAGCTTAATAAGTAGAATTGTCAATTTAGTGGTTGCTAATGTTTTACCTAAACTATTACAAGTTTATACTCTGGCTGGGCGCGGGGGCTTACGCCTGTAATCCCAGCACTTTCAAGGCCGAGGCGGGTACATCACCTGAGCTCAGGAGTTCAAGAATAGCCTGGCCAACATGGTGAAACCCTGTCTCTACTAAAAATACAAAAACTAGCCAGGCATGGTGACGGGTGCCTGTAATCGCAGCTACTTGGGAGGCTGAGGCAGGAGAATTGCTTGAACCCGGGAGGTGGAGGTTGCAGTGAGCCAAGATTGCACCATTGCACTCCATCCTGGGTAACAAGAGTGAAACTCCATCTCAAAAACAAAGTTTATATTCTACAACAGTATCACATAGGTGTCATTTAAACAGTGGTACATGTGCCAAATAATGCAAGTCAAAAATCAATAAATTTGGAACACAAGAGGCAATAAAATGTTACTCTTATTCAGGTATTTCATTACATTTTTCATGCTTAACTTACATTTTTAAAAATATAATAAGCAAAAAATTATTCATTCTGATAATATGTACATGCATTCATACACAAGCATGTATGCACAGGTGCACACACACACACACACACACACACACATTCCCATAGGAAAATAATGTTCAAATAAAATAATTTTTGAAGCCCTCAATGCTAGTAATGGCTATGTGAGATGGGCATTCTCATACATTGCATGGAAAGGTAAATAAGCAAACACCTTTATAAAATAATCTGTGAGTATGTAAAGGGAATTTTAAAACCAATTATCTGATAATTTATATTTTTGAAAAATCAGAACACATTCCTCCCAAAATGTTTTTCCCAGCCATATTTACAGTAGAAAAATAAAACACTATAATGAACTATATGCCCAACTAAAAGGTAAATAATTAAACAAATTAGAAAACATAAGAGGAAATATTTTGTATCTATTAGAAATGATGTTGATTATAAATAAAGAAAAAAATCAATAAAAGATCAACAAGCTGTGAAGCAATTTAAAGCAGCCCAATATATGAAGTCCCCTAAGTAGATTGAGCAGGATAACAGCAAAAAATGTGAATAAATAATGGCTGAAATTTTTCCTAATTAGACAAAAACTATAAGCCTACAAATTTAAGAACTATTGAACCACAATCAAAAGGAACATGAAGAAAACTACACTAAGACACATGATGATCAAATTACTCAAAACCAGTGATAAAGAGAAGATTTTAAAAGCAACCATAGGGTACTTATCAGGCATATAAGGATAATGACTTCTTGTCAAAAATAATGCAAGAGGGAAGACAGCAAAGCAACATCTAGAAAAAGCAGAAAGGGGAAAATAAAAAAGCTACCAACCAAGAATTCTATGCCTTGGAAAAAAAATCTCAAAAACAAAGGCAAAATAAAAGGTTTCTAGACATAAAGAAGCAGAAAGAATTCATCATCGTCAGCAGAGCCACGCTACTAGAAATTTTTTTTTTTAATTGTACTTTAAGTTCTGGGTTACATGTGCAGAACGTACAGGTTTGTGACATAGGTATACGTGTGCCCTGGTGGTTTGCTGCACCCATAAAACTGTCACCTACATTAGGTATTTCTCCTAATGTTATCCCTCCCCTAGACCCCCACCTCCCAACAGGCCCCAGTGTGTGATGTTCCCCTCCCTGTGTCCATGTGTTCTTATTGTTCAACTCCCACTTATGAGTGAGAACGTGTGGTGTTTGGTTTTCTGACCTTGTGATAGTTTGCTGAGAATGATGATTTCCAGCTTCATCCATGTCCCTGCAAAGGACATGAACTCATCCTTTTTATGGCTGTATAGTATTCCATGGTGTATATGTGCCACATTTTCTTAATCCAGTCTATCACTGATGGACATGTGGGTTGGTTCCAAGTCTTTGCTATTGTGAATAGTGCCACAATAAACATGCATGTGAATGTGTCTTTATCATGGAATGATTTATAATCCTTTGGGTATATACCCAGTAATGGGATTGCTGGGTCAAATGGTATTTCCAGTTCTAGATCCTTGAGGAATCACCACACTGTCTTCCACAATGGTTGAACTAATTTACACTCCCATGAACAGTGTAAAAGCATTCGTATTTTTCCACAACCTCTCCAGCATCTGTTGTTTCTTGACTTTTTAATGATCGCCATTCTAACTGGCGTGAGATGGTATCTCATTGTGGTTTTGATTTGCATTTCTCTGATGACCAGTGATGATGAGCATTTTTTCTTCTGTCTGTTGGCTGCATAAATGTCTTCTTTTGACAAGTGTCTGTTCATATCCTTTGCCCATTTTTTGATGGGATTGTTTTTTTTTTCCTGTAAATTTATTTAAGTTCTTTGTAGATTCTGGATATTAGCCCTTTGTCAGATGGATAGGTTGCAAAAATTTTATCCCATTCTGTAGGTTGCCTGTACACTCTGATGATAGTTTCTTTTGCTGTGCAGAAACTCTTTGGTTTAATTAGATCCCATTTGTCAACTTTGGCTTTTGTAGCCATTGCTTTTGGTGTTTTAGATATGAAATATTTGCCCATGTCTATGTCCTGAATGGTATTGCCCAGGTTTTCTTCTAGGATTTTTATGGTCCTAGGTCTTATGTGTAAGTCTTTGATCCATCTTTAGTTGATTTTCATAACAGGTGTAAGGAAGGGGTTCAGTTTCAGTTTTCTGCATATGGCTAGCCAGTTTTCCCAACACCATTTTTTAAATAGGGAATCTTTTCCCTCTTACTTGTGTGTGTCAGGTTTCTCACAGATCAGATGGTTGTAGCTGTGTGGTGTTATTTCTGAGGTCTGCGTTCTGTTCCTTTGGTCTATATATCTGTTTTGGTACCAGTACCATGATGTTTTGGTTACTGAAGCATTGTAGTATAGTTTGAAGTCAGGTAGTGTGATGCCTCCAGCTTTGTTCTTCTTGCCCAGGATTGTCTTGGCTATGCAGGCTCTTTTTTGTTTCCATATGAAGTTTAAAGTAGTTTTTTCCAATTCTGTGAAGAAAGTCAGTGGTAGCTTGTTGGGGATAGCATCGAATCTAGAAATTCTGAAAGAAGTCCTTCAGGCAGAAGAAAAATGATAGCAGACAAATACAGATCCACAGAAAAGAATAAAAAGCTCTGGAAATGGTAACTACCAGAGTAAGTACATGTGTTTGTTGTTATTTAAATCTCTTTAAAAGACAACTGTTTTAACTGTTTATACCATGTATAACAATAAAATGTATGGCAAAATAGCATAAAGGCAGGAAGGAAGAAATGGAAGTATATAATTGTAGGTGCTTACACTCTCTGTGAAGTGGTGTAATAACACTTGAAGACAGGGATTCATTAATGAAGTATATACTATAAACCCTAAAGCAACCACTAACACAACAAAACAAAGCATTACAGTTAATGATCCAACAAAAGGTATACGATGGAACTTAAAAAAACACACAATTCAAACAAAATGGGGAAAAAAGGAGAACAAAAGACAGACAATACAAATAGCAAGAAGATAGTCTTAAATCTAACCACATCAATAAACACATTAAATATATTGATATGGTTTGGCTCTGTGTCCCTACCCAAATCTCGTCTTGAATTTTAATTCCCACATGTTGAGGGAGATGATTGGATCATGGGGGCAGTTTCCTCCATGCTGTTCTCGTGATAGTGAGGGAGTTCTCACAAGATCTGATGGTTTTATAAGCATCTGGCATTTCACCTGCTAGCACTTCTGTCTCCTCCCACCATGTGAAAAAGGTCTTTGCTTCCCCTTCTACTTCCACCATGATTGTAAGTTTCCTGAGGCCTCCCCAGCCATGCAGAACTGTGAGTCAATTAAACCTTTTTTCTTTATAAGTTACCCACTCTTGGGCCGTTCTCTATAGCAGTGTGAAAATGAACTAATATAGTAAATATAATCTAAACAGCAAAAAGCAGCTTTTGACAAATTGGATTTTAAAAAGCAAGATCGAACTAGAAGATGAGGGGAAGAAACATACTTAAATATAAAGACATAAATTAAAAGTAAAGGAGTGAAAAAAGATGTATCACGTTAGCATCAGTCAAAACAGATGGAGTGGCTACACTAATATTGCATGAAGTAAATTTCAGAGCAGATTCTATTGCCAGAGATAAAGGACACTTCATAATGATAAAGGGTTCTATTAATTGAAAAGATATTATAATCTACAAAGGCTACTACAACTAACGTGAGTTTAACAAGATTGTTGGATACAAAATCATAAAAATTCAAATGCACTTCTATACACTAGCCACAAACAACAGAAAATTGAAATTCAAAAATAATAATACATTTGCAATAGCATAAAAAATGTGACATAAATCTGACAAAAGATGTGAGAGATCTGCACACTGAAAACCACAAAACAGTTCTGAGAGAAATTTTTTAAATGCCCAAATAAATTAAGAGATGTGCCTCATCATATGGGTTAGAAAACAACATGGTTAGCCACCACTCATCCCCCAATTGATTCATAGATGCAACATAATTTTTTAAAAAATCCCAATAGGCTTATTTGCAGAAATTGACAAACTGGTTTTTAAATCCATATGGAAATGGAAAGAACCTAGAACAACAAGAAGAGCTAAGGAAAAGAACAAAATTGGAGGATTATCACTACCTGATTTCAAGACCTTATGAAGCTACAATAATCAAAACAGTGTGATACTGGCATAAGGACAGGTCAGTTGAACAAAATAGACTCCAGAAATACATATATATGGACAACTGAGTTTTGACAAATATACAAAAGCAATTAAGTAGAAAATGATGAGTCTTTTCAACAAATAATTCTAGAACAACTACCTATCTCTATGCAAAAAAAAATCAACCATGCCTTATATCATATACAGAAATTAATTCAAACTAGATAATAGACCTAAATATATAACCTAAAATTATAAAACTTCAAAAGAAAACATAACATAAAATCTTTGTGACCTTTGATTAGGCAAATATTTTTAATATGACCATCTAAGCACAATCTATAAAATAATAAATTAGTAAGTGGGACCTCATCAAAATCTAAAACTTCTGCTCTTCAATAGACACTGTTAAGAAAATGAAAGACAAGGCACAGCTGGGAGAAAATCATTGCAAAGCATACATCTAAAACCAGTACTCATATCCAGAATATATAAAGAACTCTCAAAACTCAACAATGACAAAAAAGTAAGGGGGAAAACTGAGCAAAAGATACACAGATACTTCACCACAGGACATTTCCAGATGGCAAATTAGCACATGAAAACATGCTCAATATCATTAGTCATTAAATATGTGACCACATTAAATATAAAGCCACAGTGAGAACCATTCTGCACCTACTTGGATGGCTAAAATTGAGACTGACCATGCCAAGCCCTGGAGAGGCTCTGGGGAGCTTGGAACTCTCCTACGCTGCTGATGAGAACATAAGATGGTGCAACCATTTTGGAAAACAGTTTGGCAGTTTCTTAGAAGGTGAAACATCACCCATTATAGGATTCAGTCATTCCACTCATAGGTATTTCTCATAAGAAATAAGGGTATTTCCTGTGGGTTTTTTTTTTTTTACAGGAAATGTCCTCATAAATACTTGTACCTAAATGTTCATAGCTGCTTTATCTGCAATAGCCCAAAACTGGAAACAAGCTGGATGTCCCTCAGTTGCCGAGTGAGTAAATAAACCACGGTGAATCAATTCCATAGAATATTACTCAGCAACAAAAAGGAATTAACTATAGATACACTCAGCAGCATGAATGAATCTCCAAATCATTATCCTGAGTAAAAAAGCCAGACAAAAAAGAGTGTGTACTCTCTAGTTCCATTTGTATGACACTCTAGAAAATACAAATTAATATATAATGACCCGGAGTATGCAAGTTTTTTTGGGGGAGCAAGAGGAGGCTGGGGAGATGGTGGGGAGGATTTCAAAGGGGCCTGAGGGAGCTTTGAGAATGAGGGAAATGTCATTCACTCAATTGTGGTAATGGCTTCACAGGTGCATACACGTGTCAAAACTTATCAAATTGCACACTTTTAATATGTGAGTTTAACATATATCAATTATACCTCAATAAAGATGTCAAAGTGATGCTTGTGAAAATAGTATTATTTTTAAAATAAACATCCTGTAAACTGTTCAATAGCATTGTAAAGTGCTTATGATAAAATGCTATGAGATAATAATAGGAATATTTTCAGATGCTCGTGAGGTTGTGGAGGGAATGCTTATACACTGTTGATGGGAGTGTAAATTAGTTCAGCCATTGTGGGAAACAGTGTGGTTATTCCTCAAAGATCTAAAGACAGTCAGGGTGCAGTGGTGAATACCTATAATCCCAGCACTTTGGGAGGTCAAGGCAGGCAGATCACTTGAAGTCAGGCATTCGATACCAGCCTGGCCAACATGGTGAAACCCTGTATCTACTAGAAATACAAAAATTAGTTGGGCATTGTGGCACATGCATGTAATCTCAGGTACTCGGGAGGCTGAGGCAAGAGAATCACTTGAGCCTGGGAGGTGGAGGTTGCAGTGAATCGAGGTCACGCCACTGCCCTCCAGCCTGGGAAACAGAGCAAGACTCCACCTCAAAAACAAAAACAAACACAAAACAAAACAAAACATAAAAGACCTAAAGACAAAAACACCATTCAACCCAGCAATCCCATTACTGGGTATATAACCAAAGGAATATAAATCATTCTATCATAAAGACAAATGCATGCATATGTTCATTGCAGCACTATTCACAATAGCAAAGACATGAATTCAACCTAAATGCCCCTCAGTGATAGACTGGATTAAGAAAATGTGGTATATATACACCATGGAATACTATGAAGCCATAAAAAGAATGAGACCATGTCTTTTGCAGGGACATGGTTGGAGCTGGAGGCCATTATCCTCAGCAAACTAACACAGGAACAGAAAACCAAATACCACATGTTCTCACTTATAAGTGGGAGCTAAATGATGAGAACACACGGACCCATATTGAGGAAAAACACACAGTGGGGCCTTTTGGAGGGTGAAATGTGGAAGGAGGAAGAAGATCATCAGGAAAAATAACTAATGGGTATTGATATAGTTTGGCTCTGTGTCCCCACCCAAATCTCATGTTGAGTTGTAATTCCCAATGTCAGGGGAGGGACCTGGTGGGAGGTGTTTAGATCATAAGATGGATTTCCCCCTTGCTGTTCTCATGACAGTGAGTGAGTTCTCATGAGATCCGGTTGTTTAAAAGTGGGTTGCTCTCTCTCCCACTCTGCCATGTGAAGAAGGTGCTCAGTTTCCCTTTGCTGTCTGCCATGACTGTAAGTCTCCTGAGGCCTCCCAGGCTTCCCTTCACCTTCTGCCATGATTGTAAGTCTCCTGAAGCTTCCCAGCCTTCCCTTCACCTTCTCCCATGATTGTAAGTCTCCTGAGGCCTCCCAGCCGTGCTTCCTGTACAGCCTGTGGAACAGTGAGTCAATTAAACCTCTTTTCTTCATAAATTACCCAGTCTCAGGTAGTTCTTTATAGCAGTGTGAGAAGGGACTAATACAGGTGCTGAGCTTAATACCTGCATGATGAAATAATCTATACAACATATCCCCATAATACAAGTTTACCTATGTAATAAACCTGCACTTGTATCCCTGCATTTGAAATTAAAGTTTTTAAGTCAAAAAAACAGTTTGGTTATTTTTTTGTAAGAAAAAGTAAAAAAGCATTATGTAGAAAAAAAAAACGGAAACATTCAAATATGCGGGCAGTGCTTGGATCTGAGTGGTGGGCTGTGGGGATATTTCCCTAAATGCTGATCACTTATTTACTGCTGGTTTTTTGTTGTTGTTCTTGTTGTTTCGGCTTTTTTTTTTTTTTTTTGAGACAGTGTATCATTCTGTCAGCCAGACTGGAGTGCGGTGGCACGATCTCAGCTCGCTGCAACCTCCGTCTCCTGGGCTCAAGCAATTCTCCTGCCTCAGCCTCCCCAGTAGCTGGGATTACAGGTGTGCGCCACCACGCCCGGCTAACTTTTTGTACTTTTAGTAGAACCAGGGTTTCACCATGTTGGCCAGGCTGGTCTCGAACTTCTGATCTCAGGTAATCCATCCGCCATGGCCTCCCAAAGTGCTGGGATTAGAGGCATGAGCCACCACACCCGGCCTATTTACTGCTATTTTAATGTGCCTGTGGCGCTTGTCAGGAGAGCGGGGTGGGGTGTTTCTGTGTCTTAAGCCAGGACCGCAGGCTCTGTGCCGAGGTGAACAGCAGAAAGCAACCGCGGGGTGCTGTGGCCGGGTCCTCAGTTTCCTCCACACCTCAAAACCCAGCCTCACTCTCCACACCCCAGGTGGGCTGCCACCACTGACCCTTCTTAGCCCACCACCATCTCTGGGATACAACCCGAACACACCACCATAATTCACTTGTTGGCTTCCAGGTGTGGGTCTCAGACTGTTACTAGGCTTCTCATCTAGCATTTTGAGAGATTGACGCCTCCAAGAAAAATAGGGTTTTGCCCTTCAAAAAGACAATCAAGTCCAGATGGGATTTCAGACTTCTGCAAGCATCTCTGATGAGTTTTCCTAGAATCCTAAAAAGGGGCCCAGTTAAGTTCCAAGAGGCAGCAGCGGGTAAAGGAAAGCCAACCCAAAGTATCCCCAGCAGTTCCAAGGCTAGTTTCCCACCAAGCAACCCAAGCACTTATTTTTGTGATTGAATTATTAAGCCATACAGATTTTCAACAAAAGTAAAAACACTAAGAAGAGCTAATGGATAAAGAACTTCACCCTGGGCCAGACACCACACTAAGACACCACACTAAGAGCTTCACACATGTTAAATCATGTATCCTCACAATTTGCTAGGTAGGTACCCAGAAGACTAACAGAAAAACCAAGGCACGGAAGTGTGAATGTTCTCAGCAGTAACAAGGGGGGCAGCTAGGACTTGAACTCTGGGAGCCGCCTCCTACATTTGCATCCTTACAAAAACACTCAGTGGCTATCAACGTGGCCGAAGCCATGGACACCACAAGCCAGTGCCTTGACCCTGTTGAAATGTGCATCAGGATCGGGTCACCTCCCCTGTCATCCAGCAAAACGTTGTGCAATACATCAGCCACAAATCGCAAAGGGCAGATAACAGCTTCACCACCCAAAAATCATCTCGGCTTTCACCTGATCTCTCCAATTGCTATCCAGTATCACAGGGTTCCTCTCATCCTCTCTTCTTTCCATAATCGTAGCTCCTTCTGCTGCCATCTCCTACAACATGTTTACTGATTTGCTTGTCCCTAACAAAAAAAATAGTTTCAGAATTGCTAACCCATGCCTCTGTGATAAAAAAAAAAAAAAAGCCCCTTAACTAAAGCTGGAAGTTTGTTTAGAGTTATTTTTATCTTTAGCCTGAGGACATAGAATCCAAATACAGTCGGCCCTTCATATCCATGGATTCTACATCCACGGATTCAACCAGCCACAGACCAAAAATATCTGGGAAAAAATGGATAATTGTGTTAGCACTGAACATGTACAGATACTTTGTTGTCATTATTCCCTAAACAATACAGTACAACAGCCATTTACATAGCACTTACCTTATATTATGGATTATACATAATCTAGAGATTATTTAAAGTATATGGGAGGATGTGCATAGGTTATATGCAAGTTCTGTGCCATTTAACATAAGGGACACAAGCATCCATGGATTTTGGTATCCGTGAGGGCTCCTGGAACCAATCACCCATAAACACTGAGACAATTGTTCTATGTTCAGCGGTTATTTGGGTTAGTTCTCCACCGCCTCCCACCCCACTTCGGTATGGTCATCTTACTCATTTTGGAAAACAAGTCACTTCATTTATTTTCTTTTTGTAAACAATCGTAGATTGTTTACACACCCATTCTTGTTGATTTCATTGATTTTCTTTTTGGAGTAAGTAAAATATTGACATGGTTCCAGAAGTCAGACTGCACAATAGGACTGATGACAAGAAGTGTCACCACCTACCCCCCATTTTTTCTATTTTTTTTCTTTCGACTCAATCCCACCCACCCCAAGTCGGCACCAATTTTATTGTATGGGTCTCTGGTTTATCCTTCTTTGCGTGTGAATAATTGGGTTTTCTGTTTTTTCATAAATGAACAAATGGATGCAAATTTTTAGTTCCCTTTTTTCTTACACAAAAAAATAGCATACTGCATTCTTCTGCACTTTGCTTACTTTTTTCTACATAATAATATGTCCTCATGAATCACTCCTTATTCTTCCTAGAAGTCTTCCTCATTAGTTTTTTTGTTTGTTTGTTTGTTTGTTTGTTTGAGACAGAATCTTGCTCTGTCGCCCAGGCTGGAGTGCAGTGGCGCAATCTCAGCTCACTGCAGCCTCCACCTCCCAGGTTCCTGAGATTCTCCTGCCTCAGCTTCCTGGGTAGCTGGGATTACAGGCACGTCCCACCACACCTGGCTAAATTTTTGCATTTTTAGTAGAGATGGGGTTTCACCATGTTGGCCAGGCTGGTCTCAAACTCCTGACCTCAAGTGATCTCCCCAACTCAGCCTCCCAAAGTGCTGGGATTACAGGTGTGAGCCACCACGCCCTACCCTTCCTCATTACTTGTTAAAGCCACATGAGAAATACTTCATGGGCTGGATGTGTCAGGGATGTTCGGCTGCTCTCCTGTGAATGGCCATTCAGGTTGTTTCAATGTTTTGTAATTACAAACAATGCTGCAATAATTACTTTGTAAACTAGATTTTTTTATTTTATAGAAGGACATCATCTAAAATGAGTAAATTTCTGGAATTAAAATTTATAAACCAAAAGGAGAATGCAAATGTCATTTTTCTAGCTCTTGCTAAGTTCCCTTCCATAAGGGGTTATAACAATTCTCATTCCCATCAGCAATGTATGAGTGTGCCTGTTCCTACACAGCCTCACCAACAGAGTGGGAGACATTTATTCAAAAATGTTTGCAGATCAGTTAAGTGAGAAATGTCATTTCGGTGTAGTTTCAATTTGCCTTCATCTCATAAGATTGAAATATTTGTGTGTGTTTAAGAGCAACAATCGTACCTCCACCTCCAGCCCGACGTGGGAGAGCAGTAGAGATGATATGTATCTTTGACTTGTTCCTGATCCTTTTGAAAAATGTTTCCCCATTTTGTAAGACACTGGTCGTAGAAGCATTGTACATGTATATTTTCATGTTGATAAAATATCCACCAATTATTATTTTCATGAATATTTCCATCAGGACTGGTTGTTGCATTTTGATAGAGACTTTTTCAGCATGTAGGGAGAAAAATCACGGGGGGGGGGGGGGTTGTTTGTTTGTTTTTTTGAGACAGAGTCTCGCCCAGGCTGGAATGCAGTGGCATGATCTCGGCTCACTGCAACCTCTGCTTCCCAGGTTAAAGCAATTCTCCTGCCTCAGCCTCCCGAGTAGCTGGGATTACAGGCACCCGCCACCACATTCGGCTAATTTTTGTATTTTTTAGTAGAGGCGGGGTTTCACCATGTTGGCCAGGCTGGTTTTGAACTCATGACCTCAAGTCATCTGCCTGCCTCAACCTCCCAAAATGCTGGGATTACAGGCGTGAGCCACCTCGCCCGGCCATGCGTTTTCTTTTTAGATTAACATAGACTGCACTGTATTAATGGTTTCCCTAATATTAAATGACCTTGCAGTAAGAAAAAACCTACAGCCACAGCATTAGACTCTGCTTGCTTATTTTTTGTTTTTATCTTTAATATTTTAATGTTTCCTTCCTAGTGATGTCTTTTGGTTTGCTTGGTGATTTTTTTCTAGCTCTTTGAAAAGGAAAATTAACTCATTTCTTTTCTTTCACTTTTGTTTATAAAAAATTAAGGCTATACGTTTTCCTCTTTCTGAATATATACTATAAATTCTAATATGCAGTGTTTTCATTCTATTGTTTATGAATTCTTTAATTTTGGTTTGTATTCCTCTTTCATTCAAGTGTAATAGGATTTTAAATTTTCTAATGAAAGGACCATTTTAATTTTGGTTAATATTTTCTACTTGTATTGCATTTTAATCAGAGAGTGTTGTTTATAGAATTCTTACTCCATGAATCTTACTGTTTTCTTTGTGACCTAATATGTGATCAGCCCTTATTAATGTTTCATGTGTGTTGTATGTAAATACACATTGACAATTATCAGGGTGTAGAATACGATACATACAAAAATCTACCTTGAGGCTTGTATTTTTTAGGTCTTCTATATTCTGATTTATTGTTTGTACCTTTGTCTGTCTTGTACAGAGAGTGATGTCTTAAAGTCTTCCTGTCCTATTTAGGATTCCTTGCATCTCTTCTAAATTCTGCCTTTTCAAGTTACTTGTTATTTGGTAAATAAATATTCATAATTATTATCACTTTGTTATAAATTATGGCTTTCAGCAGTAAAATGTGTCCTTTGTTATTTGCAATTTTTTTGTCTATTTCTAAATGCTTTGTTATTTCCAAAATCTTTGCATTTGGAACTCTACTAGGTCTGAAGCAAGTATTGCTACCCTGATTTTCCTGTCTCCAATTGTATAGTACATCTTTGTAAATTTCTTTATTTCCATCATTCTCAAATAATTTTACGCTAGATGAGTCTCTCGCATACAGCATACATGTGGGACTTTCTTTCTGAAGTGAATTGGAAAGCATTTTCTTTTATGCAATGAATGAAACCCATTTATCTGTATTGACAAAACTGATATGTTTGGTTTTAATCCTGTCAGATGCTTATTTTTTAATAGCTTTATGGAGGTTTAATTAACATTTCATAAAACTGACCTACATTATATACAAAATCATTTTATTTCCTGCTGCTCTGGGCCGTCAGGAAGAAGTGAATACTGATAAATGCTCAAGATGACAAGTATAAGTGATGTCACCATCCTAAGAGGATGGCCTCACTTCTACCAGTGGTTCTGGATTTTTCCAAACTTCTAGCACATTAATCTTAGTAGAAACTTAATAACTCTTTTTCAGATAAGGTGATAGAATGTCAGAGAAGATAGGGAAGAAGATGGGGAGTCATTCCCACTACTGGAAATGATGCTGAAGGCAAGGGCTCTGCCACAGGCCATGCCACACATGTCAGCCTAGCCAGGACATCCTATCCACAGACAACCTGGAAATGGAGTCATCTTTGACTCAAGGTGGGCTGACCTACTGTGAGCTCAGGAAAGCTTGTGAGCATTAGGGATGGACTGAGTGAAAACAAAAAGGCTCCTTGCAATGCAAGTTCCCCTGTGCTTACCAGCATCTGATCATGGGGAGATATTTCAAAGCCCCTTTTGAGAACACCTATGGGCAGCTGACTTTGGGGCCCAGTGCAGACATTCTGGCCACAGAGACACCTATGTTGTGCAGGTAGAACCCCAGAATGTCAGAGCTGGATGGGGTCTGAGCCAGCCTGTGCCCAGTCCCTCACCCAGGAGGTGACGGAGAGGAAGCCCAGACTAGGCTGTGCCCCCAGATCAGTCTTCCAGACCAGCAGGTGCAAATCCCCACCTGCCTCTCTGAAGCTCTCAGCTTCTTCCCTTTGCCGAGTCCCTGTGCCTGCGACTCTGCTGTTTATGGGGACCACTGTCTTTCTGTCAGGGAGCCAGGTGCACCTGGTACACCTGCAGAGGTGTGCAAATGGAGCCCGGTGGGCAGGCATGAGGCCCATGGATAGGCAGCATCGCCTCCTGTGCCAGCATCCTACACCTGGGGTCCCCAGGATGAGGGACCCAGCTCACTTGATGCCACAGACACTTCTTATCCAGAAGTTTCTGATGACTTGAGAGATGGCTTGGCAAGGGAGAAGAGGCAGGGACCAAAGAAATGGGACTTCCACTGGAAAGAAAAAACAGGATTCATTTTGTTTCCTTCTTCCCTTTCAGTGATTGATGTGGGAGTTTTCCCTGTAACTGGCACCATACTTTAAGTATAGAATAAGATGCAAGATCACCTTACCTATAATAATACATGTATTTCACATGTTTACAGAACGCTTTTCGTAGAAACGAGAGGGATTTGCACTGAGGCTTGACACCTTCAGGGATACCTTGTAAGAATAACAGGACCTAAGGAAAAAATGGAAATTACCTAGAACCTGTTACCCTCCCCACAAAGAGGCTTCCAGGAGCTGCTCTGAAGGGCACTTGTGACCAGCACAGTCATTCACGTGACAGTGGAGAGGGGTTGATGAAACCAAAAGCAGGAAAAAACAGAAGAGCTGAAGCATCATTAAATTCATGAAGTCCCATTTGCCTCTTAAGCTTTAGGTTGCATGTTTCCAACCCAACTCATGTGAATTCAAATCCAATCATCACTGCCATCAAATAGGGTTTACAAGCTGCTGCCTGTGCTTCCCAGTCCAGTCGCAGAGCCCAATGCTAAGGCGGCACCTCCTCCCGGAGCCCGAGCCTTCACTTACCTTTTTGAGGATCTGTTCCGTGCACTTGTGCTCCTCTTGAATGCCATCTCTGGATCTCACAAAACAGGGGACAGGCAAGCTGTTCATGGGCTTGACACAGGTAATTCCTTCATTGTTCCCTCTGGGGTTCCACTCGTCAATCTTAAACCTTCACAGAGTTCCAGGATCTGGCACCTGAGCTGGGGCCAAAGACCAGCTTGAAGGGGTCACAGCCCAGGTGTGTTTGAGAGACACCATCAGGATGCCATAGGACGTCAGACCCGTGGGGATCCAGAAGGGCTCTCAAAACAAGAAACAGACCCTCTGAAGCAGGCACATGTGGGTGACAGCACTCACGCCATCTCACATGGATGGCTGGCTCCCACGAGGCCCTCTGCCAAGCCAGGGGGCACCCACCACGCTGCCAGGTGCATCCTCAGTAAGACTTATGTGGACGTCCTCTGTAATTGGGCAAAGAAATGGAGCTGAGTGCCCCTCACCAAGCTGAAGGACTGAGGGCAAAGGTTAGCTCAATCACCCATAAAAGACAAGGGTTGGCATGACAACTGGCTGGTATCTGGGGAAACTCGTGGGCATCTCACCTCTACAAACAAACAGCGGTTTCATTCCTCATGCATTGCATTGAAGGTGTTCAAAGAAAGGGGGACAGAGGAGGTCCCAGGAGGCGCCACCATCACCTAGGAGAGCTCCACTCCAGCGGTGGGTCTGCATGCACCTAATCGAGGGAGCTGCGCCCTGCTCACAAACTTAGCAAGGTGCACAGGGAAAGCTAGGGTGCAGACTCGGGATGTCGCATCTGAGCCTGTCTATAGATCATGGTGGATTTTGATAGCAGAACACCAAAAAAAAAAAAAAAAAATGGCAACAATCACCATAGCTGGACTGAGATTTTAGCATCTCTCTCTTTCAATAGAGACTCTCCACAGTGAGCCATATGTACACAATTTGTGTCGCTAATACCTTCTCTCCCTCTGTGGCTTGCATTTTACCCTCATAGTGGTCTCCTTTGATGACCAGAAGTTCTCAATTACAGCACAATCTAACTTGCAAATCTTGTCCTTGATGGATAGAACTTTAATTTTTTCCTTTTGCCTTTCATGTTGAAGCTCACTGTGTGGCTGGCATTTGTTTATGTGGTGAGGCAAGGCTGACTTTTTCCCACATGGATATTCAGAGGATTCAGCATTGTTTGTTGAAAAAAAAAATCTGTACCTGCTCCACCATTAAAATCAAATGTCCACATACGTGTGGGTCTACTCCTGGATTTCATTCTGTTCCTTTCATCTATCTAACACTATTGTAAATGGCAAAGATTTTTTCATTTTATTTTCTAATAGTTGTTGGTAGTATCCGGAAAACAACATTGAATTCAGTGTCCTTACTGAACACTATCTGTATTAGTCAAGGTTCTCTAGAGGGACAGGACAAATAGGATGGACGTATATATGAAGGGGAGTTCATTAAGGAGTATTGACTCACATGATCACAAGGTGAAGTCCCACAACAGGCTGTCTGCAAGCTGAAGAGCCAGGAGGCCAGTTTGCCCCAAAACCTCAAAAGTGGGGAAGCCGACAGTGCACCTTCAGTCTGTGGCCGAAGGCCTGAGAGCTTCTGACAGATCACTGGTGTGAGTCAAAGACTCCAAAAGCTGAAGAACTTGGAGTCTGATGTTCAAGGGCACGAAGCATCCAGCATGGGAGAAAGATGAAGCCCAGAAGACTCAGCAAGTCTGTTCTTTCGAGCTTCTCCTGCCGGCTTTATTCCAGCCACGCTGGCAGCTGATTAGATGGTGTCCACCCAGATTGAGGGTGGATCTGCCTCTCCCAGTCCACTGACTCAAATGTTAATCTCCTCTGGCAACACGCTCACAGACACACCCAGGAACAATACTTGGCATCCTTCAATCCAATCAAGTTGACACTCAACATTAATCATCACACTATCTTAAATTTAATAATTTCCCTATAGATTCCTTGAAGTATTTTGTATACACTCCAAATGATATTCAAATAATATCAGTTGTATTTCTTGCAACTATAATAAATGTTATTTTTTAATTTTTCGCTATTGCACTGGCTATGAATTCTAACATAATGTTAAATGGAAATGGTATTTTTAAAAAAGGACATTCTTGTTTGCTTCCAGTTTTATGGGAAAATATTTGAATATTTCACCATTTGATATGACGTTCTGTGTGACCATCAGGTTAAATTCTATATATTTACTTCCTTATTTTCTAAGAGTTTTTATCAAAGGCTTTTTCCCTCATCTACTGAAATGTCGTGAGTTGTCTTTTTTCTTCTCGTCCCTTGGTGACTTACACTGATTGACTTTCAAATGTTAAATCAAACTTGTATTCCAAAATAAATGTGAGTTGGACATCATGTATGATCATTTTATTCATTGCTAGACTTGGTTAGCTAATGTTTTGCTGAGGATTTTAAAGTCTACATTTGTGAGTGACATCGAACTCAATTTTTATTTTCTTGTATTGTCTTTGTCAAATTTCCACTTCCACATTATTTGACTCTTATGAAAGAAATTGGAATCTGTAGCTTCTTTTTTTGTTCTCTCATGTGGATTGGAATAATTTTTTCCATCAGAGTTTGATAGGATCTGCTGTTGAAACCTTTTGAAAATGAAGTGTATCGTGTGTGTGTGTGTGGTGTGTGTGTGTATATAAAAATATAAATTCGGCATATTTAATTCTGCAAAGAATACTCAAAGTTTTTATTTTCCCATGGGTCTGTTTTTCTATTTGTTTCCAGGAATTTAATAATTTTATCCCAATGTTCAAATTTATCTCTGTGAAATTTCTCCCAGGGATTGGTCACCTGTGATCCGTGTGGTGGCTGCAGGGTCTGTGGCACTAACCCCTTTGCAGTCCTGAATTCTTGTGGTACCAGGCAGGGCTTTGCCCCTTTTCAGAGATTCCACTTTGGCTTCATTAAATCTCTGTATTGTATATTTATTTTCTATTACTTTAATTTATACTCTTATAATTATTTCCATCCTTCTACTTTCTTAGGGTTTAATTTGCTTCTGTAGGTAGATTTCTTAATGATTAATTATTAGCCTTTTTCCTAATATGTGTATTTATTTCCTTCTAATTAGGACACATTAGCTCCATTAACCACCCTCCAACTTGTATACTATTATGTATTTTAAGACTCTATACTTGTTAAAACCCATTAAACATTATTATTATATTATTTTAAATATACCCACATAGTTACCATTCTCTTTGTTCTTAATTCCTCTCTGTATCACTCAACTTCCATCTGGGATTATTATTATTCTGCCTGCATAATAATAGTTTGTTTCTATCACTGTTGTCTGTGCTGATATTTTTCTTTGTCTCAAAATCTTTGTCTTCATTTTTGAAAAATATTGTTACAGCATGCAGAATTCTAGATAAGTAGTTACTTTCCTTCAACACTTTAAACCTATCTTTTTAGTTGCTGCCTGTGTTTCACCATTTTCGTTAAAATGTCAGCTATCAATCTTGTTTCTCTGAACGTAAGAAGTGGGTTGTTTTTGTTTGTTTGTTGTTTTGTCTCCTTTTAAGAATTTCTCTTTGTCTTTGATTTCAGCTGTTTTGCTATAATTTGCTTACTGCAGTTTTCTCAATATTTACCCCAGGTTTTATAGTACTCCTTGAATTTGTCATTTAATGTCTTTTATTCTTCTCACTTTTTGCCTTCTGAGCTCCAATTTTATGTGCTCAGCTGGGCTATGAGGAATTATCAGCACTCATTCATTGCTTCTTACAAAATTCACATCACTCATCCTAATATTACTTTTCTGTTTTTCATTTTTTAATCCATTTATCTCTCAGTGACTGAAGTTTGGATATGTTCTTCTGACATGTCTTCAGGGTTACCGATTCTCCCTTTGACTTATCTGATCTGTCATTAAACTCAGCTACTGAATGGTTAATTTCTATTATTGTACTTTTCAGTTACAGAATTAGCATTTTGGGTTTTTTATAGTTTCCGATTCTTTGTCAATTTCTTCGATCTTTTTATTTACATAAATATATTAGGCATTGCTATTACAAAGTTTTTGTCAGAGAACTCCACAGTTTCATGTCAATAATCCTATCTTCTGGATACTGTGTAGATCTGTTTTGTTTGCTTATGTTCTTTTGATTTTTGGTTATGCTTTGTTTCCTCATATGTCTAGCTGTTTTCTTTTAATGAAATGGAAAACTTTCATGTGAAAAACAGTGGGGATAATTTGAGGATTTGAGTGGTGTATCTTCCTTCAGAAAGTATTCATCTTTTCTTTTAGTTAGCTAAACTAGGGGAACAAGGGGAAGAAGTCATCCCTGATCACCTTAATCCAGTCACGGATTGAGGTGATTTTAAGCTAGTCTGTATTGGTGCCTCCATTTCTTGTTTATCCATTTCTTTTTTTTTTCTTGAATTATAAATCTTTAAGGTCCCAAACCAAAGCGTGAGGGTTGCTGGTGTATTTGAAAGTTAACATACAATCTTATTATTTACTTTCTATCTTGCCTAACTCTTCTATGCTCCTTTATCTCTTTTCTTGCCATCTTTTAGATTTTTTTTATTCTTCCATTTGCTATCTCTATCAGCTTGACAGTTGCACATGCTTTTACTACTCTTTTTATGCTTCTCCTAGAGATTACGAAGTGCATCCTTTAGTTATCAAAATTTTACTTCAAGTTCTGTCTTCCTAGTCCTCTGTGCCTGCAGAGAACTTGCTTTGCTTCTCAGCCTCTGGGCCATCGTTTTCAAAAACTGCAAACATCTCTAGGGTGAAACCTACCCCAAATAACAGGCTCCTCTATATGCTCCTCTCCTTTCCTACATCTTGATAACTCTCTAATACTTTCCAACAGATTTTTTAAGTTCTTTGTCCAGCTTTTTCATGTGTTCTCAGTGGGAGGGCTGGTCCAAACTAGCATAAATTAACAGGTGTAGAAACCTGGTAGTTATTTGATTGTTGTTTGGTTTGTCTCCAATTTTTTGAGCTTTCAAACACAATAGAGAATATGTATCACTGGGACTTTGGACCTGCCTAACAACGTCGATGATTTATGAAGTTCTCGCTGTGTGCTCAACATTGGTCTAAGTACTTACATGTGCTGTTTCACTTAATCCTCATGATTGGCCTTTGAGTTGGGCCATTGTTAGAACTTCAGTTCCCAGGAAAGAAATCGAAAGCACAGAGGCCAATCAAAGCAAAGCCTGACAGAGGCCAGGGCCACAGCCGTGAAGGGGCAGGTGAGCCTGCAAAGCCTGAGCCTGACCTTAGAGTGGTGTCTCTTAGCCCCTACGCCAGTTTACTGGGAAATGGTTAAGCATTTTTGAAAAACCGCGGATTCTAGAGTGATAAGGGGAGAAGTGGGTGGTAACGTGTGGTTAGGAGACTTGAACATATGCACCTGTCGAGAGGAAGAGCCAGAACGTGGGGAGAGGAAGTGCATTCTGAGTAGCCTCAAACTGGAGCAATAAAGACTTTAATATGAACGAGCCTTTTCTAACTGTGCTAAAACTCCAAATTATAGAAATGCCACTGAGGGGTTCCATGGGCACACTTTACTCATCTGGGTTTAGTTGTAACAACATTTTTACAAAAGAAACAGGCAAATCCCGCCAACAACAAAACTGCATGGCCTTGGGGTAAACTTGACAGACTGTTACCCAAATGGCTACCTTGTCTGGGGTAAACACCTGGGGTTCATCCTCTCGTGCCAGGAAAATTTAGGACACGGACACACACGAGGAGTTTAGGAGCAAGAAAAAGAGAAAGGAAAACAGCTCTCTCGAGAGAGCGAGAGAGGGAACTTCCCAGAGGAAAATGCCAGCAGGTGGATGCGCTGGATTTTCTAGTCCAGCTTGAGGAGGTGGTGTCTGATTTACGTGGGGCTCACAGATTGGTTTGATCAGGCTTGACGTTTACATAGCGCTCAGGGAAGGCTGCCCGCCCCACCCTAATCTTATTACACAAATGAACTTTCCCCTTGACCAGCGCCATCTTGCCTGCTCCTTACTTTGACCAGCGCCATCTTGCCTGCTCCTTACTTTGACCAGCGCCATCTTGCCTGCTCCTTACTTTGACCAGCGCCATCTTGCCTGCTCCTTACTTTGACCAGCGCCATCTTGCCTGCTCCTTACTTTGACCAGCGCCATCTTGCCTGCTCCTTACTTTGACCAGCGCCATCTTGCCTGCTCCTTACTTTGACCAGCGCCATCTTGCCTGCTCCTTACTTTGACCAGCGCCATCTTGCCTGCTCCTTACTTTGACCAGCGCCATCTTGCCTGCTCCTTACTTTGACCAGCGCCATCTTGCCTGCTCCTTACTTTGACCAGCGCCATCTTGCCTGCTCCTTACTTTGACCAGCGCCATCTTGCCTGCTCCTTACTTTGACCAGCGCCATCTTGCCTGCTCCTTACTGTACAGGTGGCTGGCAGAAGGGAAGATGGAGCCGCCATTTTGAACATGATTGGCACAACTGCCTGCGTCTATGCTGCCGCTTGATTTTACACGCTGCTCTTTGTTAGAAAGGAAAATGATTTGGGGCTGCTTTTCATGAAAAGGAAAGCCTTACCCAGGACTTCCCTACCCTCACTATCTGCCTAAGTAATTTCTTCTTAACTCCTGTATCATTGCTCTCATCCATTACCCAAGAAGGAGGAAAAAGAGTCACAGGATGAGGGGGAGCCAGCAGGAAGGACAGGGAGCAAAGGCAAAGCCTGTACAACATCTGGCACGCTGTGCCTCCTCAGCCAGCAAGGCCGCCACGGTCACGTGGCAGATGCCTGTGGGCTGTCTTCCCATGGACGACCACCAGCAGTGGACTTCCTGGTGGGCTCCCCCTCATCCCATGACTCTTTTTCCTCCTTCTTGGGTAATGGATGAGAGCAATGATACAGGAGTTAAGAAGAAATTACTTAGGCAGATAGTGGCGGTAGGGAAGTCCTGGGTAAGGCTTTCCTTTTCATGAAAAGCAGCCCCAAATCATTTTCCTTTCTAACGCTCCTGAGGCTGGGCAGCTATCTCTTCTTCAGCCTTGAATATAAACCTGTGGGCAGAGGAGCGACGCACTGTGCCAGCAGGAACCCGTTTCAGTGCAGGAGAGACCTGCTCCTCATCTTCCAGGTTCGCACATCTCTGAAATGCCTCAGGTACCAAGGAGGGGGTAAGACCAGTGAGTGTGCAAAATGGCATTAGCAAGGAAACCCCCACAGCCATCCCGAACGTCCCCGTTTCCAATTGCCTGGAAGTGTCATACATGGAGACTGAGTTCAACATTTTTACCTCAATGAACAATTGGAAAATGAATTCTATTATGTTTCCATAGAAAATACAGATGGCCGAGTCCCTTGGCCACTTTTCAGCTGCCCGAGCTCCTGTGACAATAGCGTGGTGATATATTACTGCCTCCTGGGGGAAGCCTGCAGCCGCAGGGAACCCAGCAAGGAGACAAGCCGAGCCCCGGCCTCCCCCACCAACTAAGTCCTGGCCTCCCTGACCAGCCAAGCCCCGGCCTCCCCCACCAGCAGAGCCAACTCCCCACAACCTAGGAGCCCGCCTTCAGGAAGAATCTAAAATTCACCATGATCTGGGCACATTGTCTCTGGGGTAGAGAAAAGGAACAGGTCACAAGGAGAGATGATTTCAAGGACGCATCATTGGCACACCCACTTGCATTCGGCATACATTTAACTTCCCTTATTTTGTTGACATCCACGAGAGCTTCCTGTTCTCCTATCTCTGACCCACGGTAGTTTGAGTGACTACTTTGGGAAAATTATATCCCAGTCCTGATGTTTGTTCTTGTACAAACACCCATAGTTATTCCGGGTACACATGTAAAACTTGGAGGTTCGAGAGAGCTCGGCCATTTGAATTGCTACAAGTTCCTGTGCCTCTGTTCCTACCATGGCGGGCAGGGTTATTCCATCACCTGCTATGTGCTGCCCTCAGCTAAGAACAGAACGTGGTGCTGCTGTTCAAATAAAAGACGTGCTGCATTGAAATCAGAAATGAGAATAATCAGCGTAGGAGTCTGGATTTAAGCAAACGCTGGTGTGTTTTTTATCCTCCAATGCAGCCAAGCAAGATCGCCAACACAATTAAGCAGCTGTTTAAGAGAAAGCAACAAAAAAGAAGTCCACTTGCACCCAGAAAATAAAATGGGCCGTTTTTCACACTTTATTCCTGTTATAATTGTTCATTTTCAGTAGGCCCTTAGAAGACTATTTTAAGAAGAGATTTCATCCAGTATGGTCAGAGAGCAGTGCTTCTCCACCGCCTTCCAGGCTAAAAGTTGGCTTTTGTTTTAAACAACACTCAGGGAAACTGCTACGTGACTAGGACGATGGTGGCCAATGCAAGTGGCGGCACCCACCTCCCCTTGTGTGCAGTGGGAAGAGCTGCTCTCCTTGCTCTGAGGCCACGCAAGGACACAAGGGCAAGGGCTCAATTTCATAGGAGGAGGGTCTCTGAGGTGCTTCCCTTGTGTCTAAGAAGCCAACTTCCAAGGAGGAGGGAGCGGATACTTGGGAACTGCAGATACGGTGACCTGCAGCCCTGGGTGCCACCCGGTCCCCAGAGCTGAGCTCCCAGACTATGCCAAGAGATATCAGAAGGCTTTGGTCCAGTAAGTCCTGCTTCTCTTTGTCCCACCTCCTGTCCCTCCCATGTCACCTGCCTCCCTTCTCCCCACTCTGTCCTCTGGATCCTTCCCTTCCTTCTTTCATGGAGGGGAGGAAGGAGAGCCCTGGTGGCTTCCTGGAGGGAACGCTGACTCCTCCTCCCATTGGAATGAATTTACTCCTCACCCTTGGACTCTCTCCTCACCTGACTCATGGAGAAAACTGAGGGCTGCTCCTGACCCGTGGGCCCAAACTGATGCACAAGCTATGTCAACTTACTTTTAACCCCACAGGTGTACAAGTCTGTGTTTATTAGCAATGCCCACAGCTGCCACAAAAATAGCAGGCAGCTCAGGGCAGTCTAAACACGAAAGTGGCCTGGGAGCTAAGCAGGATTTCACCTTCATGTTCCTCAGCCCAGAGAGTCCAATTTGTACCCATGGGCCAGGCTGGCACCCACCCAGAATGCCAGCCAGCGAGAGAACCTACAACTGCACCTTGGCACCAGCCTGTCTCCAAGACAAGCACCTGACCAGCTGTTCCTGCATCCTGGATGCCATGTCCTCCTCCTAGAAAGTGCAGTCCCAGGAAGAAGAGGAGAAGTCGCAGGACAGGGGTTTGCAGGACAGGAGGGGCCGTGATCATCCCCATGCTGGTCTAGTCTCCACACCCCAAGCCTGCTCTCAGGGGAGCCGCTTCTGGGATGAATGCATGAACACGGCCTCCACAGTGCCAGCCTGAACCCCCCACCTCTTTAGACAAGTTTTACATCCTGGTGAACATCTTCCCAGGGATCTGATCAGAAGCAATTCTTTGGTTTTCCAGTTTTCCCAGGAGGAAGGTGGCCTACCAGGTTGGGACAGATAGATGGCATTCAAACACCAAGGATGACGAGCTCGCTGCCCTCCAGGTCCTGTCGCATTCTGGGGACCTGAGTGGCTGGGGATGTGGAGCACACCTGCAGAACAGGAGAGAACATTCCAAACCCTTCTCTAACTGGCACTGAAGAAAGTGCGAGCCATTACCAGCATTCTCTCTTCCGATACTCTCCAAAGTTTTTAGTATCTACAAGACTTTTAATTTCATATAAAATATTTCAGAAAAATCGAATTGGCCCTTGTCAAGTGAATTTTGACTTTTAGAAAAGAGTCATAAATTATTCAAACCTAAGTATCACTACAGAGCTAGGAAAAATAACTTTAAAATACATACTGAATTTTTGGAAGGGCTGCTTACTCTCACTAGTATTTTAAAGTTATTTCTCCCCGAAGCATGAATAGAAATTTTATAAAATGCAAATGTCAGGACATCTGAACTCTGAATTCTTTTCTATTACCCTAACATTCTCTACTTCCTTCCCTCAGCCTAGCCATCACTGTAGTTAATAATTAAATAAAGTAAGGCTCATCACTCACTAAATGCAAGCTCTCACCTTGGCAGGAAGCTTATGGTAAGTCTAATGCATTAGAAGTTGAAAAAAAATTCTTACAAAAAGCAGCAAATCATAACAGCTGCTAAATTTTCCCCTGAAGGGAAAAAATGCATTTTAAAGTAAGTGGGGCCAAGTGCGGTGGCTCACACCTGTAATCCCAGCACTCAGGGAGGCCGAGGCGGGTGGATCACTTGAGGTCAGGAGTTCGAGACCAACCTGGCCAACATGGTGAAAACCCATCTCTACTAAAAATACAAAAATTAGCCTGGCATGGTGGCAGATGCCTGTAATCCTAGCTACTGGGGAGGCTGAGGCAGGAGAATCACTTGAACCCAGGAAGCAGAGGTTTCAGTGAGCTGAGATCATGCCACTGCACTCCAGCCTGGGTGACAGAGCAAGACTCCATCTCAAAAAAATAAAAAATAGAAAATAAAATAAAGTAAGTGGTGTATTTTCTTCCTTCTCCCTAACTTGAAATTTCCCTCGGTAAAACTCAGGAGAATAGAGCCCAACATGCCCATCCATCATGGATCAATGGATCAATTGACTTTCTGGAGGCATTTTTCTCTGTGAGAAAATACCCCCATTTGCTGCAATCATTTTGGATTTTTTTGCCTTGACATAACACTCATTTCCCAGGGACAAACTAAATAATCAAGTTCCATGAACTGAATACATTTCGCAGCGCATTACCTTGACAAGGCAACAGAAAATATTTTTGCACCAAAAGGCTGGCTTCATCCCTCAACAAGTGACATCTTAAAAGCAAAACTGGAGGACTCAGAAAGCTGTGTTTGCTCAAAAAAGAAAAACCTAGTTCACTTATTCTATTAAGGTAATGAAGGAGGCATTTTATAATACAGAACTCTTGTTAGTTTTAACACTTTCTGATAAAACCCGACCCAACATGTCTGTCAGGAGAGGCTAGGGAACAACGTGGAGACAAATAAGCTCGAAAGCACAGCGGCTTCCAACAGTGCAGTGTGTTCCTCGCTCGCCGCACACCCAGTGTGGTCAGCAGAGCAGCAGGAGCTGTGGGCGTGGGGCCTGGACGTCACTTTTACCAACCCGATGGCCAGAGCTGGTCTCCTGGCCAAATCAACTTCAAGGGCTGGGGAAGCTCAGTTCTGCTGAGCACCCCAAAGGAGGGCACCCTGGTTATATTGGGGAACACTCATAATTGCACACCAGTTGCTGCCATCTTTCCCAAGTATGGGTAATAAAAACCTGGCATTTGAGACATTTGAGTTCTCAATGCTAACCACTCAATAACAGCATGGGGGAAGCTTTCACGAAACACAGGCCCAGACCCCTCCCAGGTCAACCAATTCCAAATTTCAGGGTGGAGCCCAGCCATCTGTATTGTTTCAAAGCTCCAAAGCTTTGATTTTAATACTTAGTGAGTTTAAGAATCCCACCAACAGTCTTACAGCCTCCTCCGTCCCACACATGGCACAGGAGTGCCCATTCCTGCTTGTGATGACACCAAGCTTAGCATCTCTGCAAGCTTCAGCTTGAAGCAGAGACTGGACCAGCCAGCATCAGCGTCTCCAAGGCAGTGGAATCTCAAACTCCAGTGTGCACAGAATCACCTGAGGTGCAGCTTAGAACCCCATGCTAGAGTGCCCCAGCACCCCCAGTTCTGATCCGTGGCAGCCAGTGGAATCCCCCAGCCCAGGAATCTACATTCTGGCGGATGCCCCACTTAAATACAGAGCTAAGGAGCTTTCGACCTCCCTATGCTGACTCTGGACAGAATGCTTCTGCTCTAGTGGGTGGAAACTGCCTGAGAACAGAACCCAGCCTGAGCACTTCCAGTGGGTGCCCTGGCACACACCGTCATTCATTCAGCTACACAGACCTGGACACTTAGCAGGTACCAACCAGGTGCCAGGTCCCAGACCAGGGAGGAATCCTGATGGCTTTTCTCCCCCAGCAGCCTCGTGGGTGCTGTGAGCCCCTGCTCATACCAGGGTGCCAGCTAGTTCAGACCAAGGGGCTCAGTGGCAGCAGGGGTCTGCTAGTCACAGGTTGTAGGCTTGGCCTCCCTGCTGCCATGAACTCCCCACTGTGACAGAGAACTCAGGACAACAGAACCTCAGGGTCCACAGAGCTGTGCTCTGGCACAGGGACAACAAGTGGCATTTGCAGACAAAGAGTCTGTGCTCTTCTCACTGGCCATGCCCCATTTTTTCCTTCCCACCTCAACCCTGGGCACCAGCAGGCAGAGAGAAGAACAGCAGGTGCTTTTGAGCCAAAGCCTGTCTGCACTGCACACAGCACACGGTAGACCCTGAAGGCTGTCAGCACCATCACTGCTGTGCTGTGGTCTGTAGGTGTCTCTTGAACTGAGAGTTGCCGGAGGTGCCAAGGATACGCTGAGCACTGCTATTAAGCAGCCCCACCTGCCTCCTCTTCCCAACAGGATGGCCTCGCCCTCCACAAGCCAGACTCTGGGCCCTAGTGCCACCAGGAGCCATGCGAGCCGCTGTGGCTCTAGTCCTAAGGATTGCTTGCACCAAGCCTGCATCCACACTTGCCTGCTCAGGGCATCTGCAATTAGGGATGGGGCCTGGATTGGCAGAGTGTGTGTGTACCCACTCCCACAGACTGCTGGGTGGCCCAGCCTGGACAGTGCACGGGAGCTCACTGGGCAGCAGGAACCCCTGAGAGACTGTCTCACATTATACTTCAGGGAATCAGTGCGGCTTCTGCCCTAACTCCACCTGTGCCCACAAAGTTAAGTCCACAGTAGGATCCCAACGTCATACTAAGTCCATTTCCGCACATCCCTTCTCCAGTCCCAACAACAGCTCTGCCAGGGAGCACCACACATCCAGTGTTGACAGACGAGGAGGCCAGGACTCAGACAGGCTGCCCAGCCCCGGGTCACATGGCTGAGCAGCACACAAGCCGAGATGTGAATGCTGGCCCAAAGCTGCCCTCTTCCCACAGTACTTCACGGCCCCAGGAGCAGGTGCAAGGGGCTGAATGTCTGTGTCCCCACCAGATTCATATGTTGAAACCTAACCCCTAAGGTGATGGGGTTACATGGTGGGGTCTTTGGGAGGTGATTAGGTCATGAGGGTGGGGCCTCAGGGATGGGACAGCGCCTTATAAAAGGAGCCCCAGGGAGCTCTCTCCCCGCCTGTGGGGATGCAGCAAGAAGGTGGCCGCCTGCAACCCAGAAGAGCCCTCCCCAGAACCCAACCATGCTGGCAGCCTGACCACAGACCTCCTGCCTCCAGAACTGTGAGAAATACATCTCTGATGCTGAAACCACCCAGTCAGCAGGACTTCGTTACAGCAGCCCAAGTGAACTGAGAAACCACACTGATATTTTCCGGCTGGGTCTGCGTCTGCCTCTGCTCCGTGGAGGCTGCTGTTCGTCCGTCTCTGGCTGGAAGGAATCACGCTCAGGGACACACAGCAGCTGCCCTCACTCACAGCACCATGGATAAAGTCGGCTCACTTACAAATATCATTTCTTTTCTTTTACTCATGTATTAGTCCCCTCCTCAATCTCTTCTTTCCCAAAACAAGGCAAAGTAATTCAATCAGATAATATACTGACAGTAATGCAGATTTGAGGAGGTCGTAATTTGGAAGAGGAGAGAGACGCCACCGTCCTAACCAGGGAGGCCCAGTCTCTCTCCATGATTGTGAATCCAACTGGACTCCGAATGTCCTGAAAGCCAGAGCAAGGAGGGAAATGAGAGAGGATCAGAAAGCTCTTCAGAAAACAACCACAGGTGCGATGGCTCATGCCTGTAATCCCAGCACTTTGGGAGGCCAAGGCATGGGGATCACCTGAGGTCAGGAGTTCTAGACCAGCCTGGCCACCATGGTGAAACCACGTCTCTACTAAAAATACAAAAATTAGCTGGGCATAGTGGTGGGCTCCTGTAGTCCCAGCTACTTGGGAGGCTGAGACAGGAGGATCACTTGAACCCAGGAGGCGGATGTTGCAGTGAGCCAAGATCGTGTCACTGCACTCCAGCATGGGCGACAGAGTGAGACTCTGTCTCCAGAAAGAAAAGAAGCACAGGGAAAGCATCTCTTCCTGGTGCCTGCAGACTGTGAGTGAGCCCTAGAATGACTGTTTTTCTTCCTGTCAAAGGCATTTGCCCCTCCAGACATGAACATGATCTGCCCCCAGTGACTGACAGATAAGGAAATAAAAGTGACCTGCAAAGATTCGGTTCTTCAAGCCCATTTAGCATGCTGTGGGTCACAGAGGGGACCGAACACAAAGGGGAGCATGGGGAACACAGAGCGTGGAGAAACCAACCCTGGCCCAGCACTCACATGAGGAGTCCGCTCATTCCTGCCTGAATAAATGTCTCTGAGCACCTGTCAACAGGCACACGCCGGGAGAGACAGAACCTCTCTCTGTGCTTGTCTCCCCTTCCCACTGCGAGGGCAGGACCCTAGAACATGATGGAGGAGGCTCGAATCTGAGGCTTCAGGAAAATGGAGCAAACAGCCGCCTCTCTGACAGAAAATGCTGTTTTGGCCACAGAATCCAAGTAGTTTTTCCACCATTTCATAGAGACCTGGGAACTGATTTCCTCAGTGACTTTGAAAATGACCCGTTATTGTGAAATGTTAGCCAAAATTTTGAGTGGAAATGTGTCCCCAGCATCCACCATTCCAGGAAGGAAGTGAAGTGGAGGGGGCGTTGTCTGGGAACGGGGTCTGCTGAGTAGTCACTGTGGTGTGGGCAGCCGCTGCAGTCACAGTCGGCTACTCCCCTGCAGACGCCCAGGCCAGGAGCAGACGCCCACACGGCCCGATGGACAAACACACGTGCACAGCGGAGAGCTGGGTTAACTGGAGTCACAGCAAGAGGACTTGGTCCCAGTGGGGCCCGAAGTGCTTTACAAACCGTCTATGTGGGTCTGCCCCTCCTACCAGTGGACACTGGGCACCTGCCCGGCATTTACAAAGCCCTCTCCCCGGCTCAATGTCATGAGTGCTGAGGAAAGAAAGACCCCATCTCACCACCACAGAGGCCTCCGGGGCATCCAGGCATGGCCCCCGGGGACGGGCTCATCAGCACCTGCTGCAAGTCCTCTCCATGTCCCCACAGTCACAGAGAGGGCAAGACCACACACCCTGCCCCACGGACGACCAGTCCCCTTCAACCCGAGCAAGTCCCGAGGGATTCAACCCATTCCCGACCTCACCTGATTTCCGGTTTCCTAACATCTTGCAAAGGGGAAGAGAAGAAGAGCTTCAGCTTGCTTAGTGGGACTGGTTTCCCATGCAAGAGACAGGAAAGCCAGAGGAAACACTGGCCCCACGGTCTGATGAGGAGCAGGAGAGGGTGGGGAAGGGCTTTCACATTCCTGCATCCCTCAGGTTTGCCAAATTTCAGGCCTAACCTGGAAGCCTTGAATACGAGGCTAGGGAGAAATAAAACACCTGGGGGCCAACCCCTCCCACCAAACAGAGGTGGGGCAGGTGTGCTGCCCAGGCCTCTCCCTCTGCTGACCCACACCTGCCCCTGCTCAGAGGTGAGAGGAGCGTGTGTGCGAACTCCATGTGCACGAACTCTGAGGAATACCTCCACTTAGAGCCTAAGGCTTAACTAAGCCTGAGGATACTGTCAGCTGCCACAGCCCTTCCCGGAGACAGAGAGTCCTTGAGATGACTCTCGGACCCAGACCTCCAGCCCTCTGCCCTCTCCCAGCTCTGATGCATCATCCCACCTGCTGCCTCACACCCAGGGGCGCATCCACGATGTTCACTGCCCGCCATTCCCAAGTGCTGCCTCTCCCCTCTGCCTTCTTTGGCAGCTCATGGTTTCCCCATTCTGTAGGATGTCACCCTCCACCTCGGGCCCTGTCAGACTCCCAGAGCTGCCCCTACTCCTCTACCAGCCTTATGCACGTATGCGGGGGTTTGCCAAGTGCTGCACCTGCTCCTTCCTTCCATCCCCAATTTCGGCAGCTCACCTGCTCCCCCTACCATGATGACACTCCCAGGTGCACGTTTCCCTTCACTGCATCCGGCCCACACCTGCCAGAGCTTCCTGATGTTTTATGATTATCATCTCATCAGGCCCCCTTTCCTGTGAAAAATCTCCAGCCTTCCCAGCCTCCTCCTGCCAGTCCCAGCAGACCCTTATCTCAGTACAGTCTCAAGGAGATCTCCAGCTCTGGCAGCCCCCACGTGTAAATCCTACCCACCTCCTGTGACCAGCAGGATGGCAGAACAGATTCCTTGAGTGGTCCTCTCATGGGAAATACTTATATTGGAGCAGAACAGATTCCTTGAGTGGCCCTCTCACGGAAAATACTTACAATGGTGCAGAACAGATTCTTTGAGTGGCCCTCTCATGGGAAATACTTACAATGGTGCATGAGAACCCTGTCATTTTAGTGCCGGCTGCATACAGTATTCTGTGAAGACAAAAACAATATGTAAATAGGAGCCCGGGGAGGTAAGACCAAGGCTGGTCTTGCCCTGGGGTTTCTGCAGAGCCTCGGGAGCCTGGAGCTTCTCCTTTGGTGGCTGCACGGACACATGTGGGGGCAGCAGACAAAACCCAAGGACCACTGGGGAATCCCAAGGGAGTTTTCCATATTAAGATAGAACTCAGAGGGCTGTGTCCACCTTTACATACAGCAAGCAATAACCCTTGCACACAGAAAACAAAGAAATGTATTTGCCTCAATTCTCACGTGGGGGAAGGAGAAAAACTTTCCCAGAAAACCACAAGCCAGTTCTCTTCCAGGTCTGCTGTCTGAATTCACTGTAGTATAGATCAAAACACTTCAAACAGGAAATTTTAATTACATCGGTGCCTAGTGGAAATGCTCCGGACGACAGGAAGAAGTAAGTGTGCAGCCTCTGGAGGAAATAAATCTCAACCCACCTCTCAAAGAAGTCCGTGGGTAGCGTTGAGGGAAAAGAGCAACCTGTCTCCCAGGTAAGAAAATAAATCGCGTGATTGCAAAGCAACAGAAGCAGACATGCAAACGTTTATTATGATTGATATTTTAAAGAAATAGAAGAAAGCTGTAAACAAGGAGCACAAATGATTTTTAAAAAAGAATTTCTAAAGATGAAAAATATGATGTTTAAAATAAAAAGCTCAGTGATCTCCAGGTCCAGGAAGATGGAACGGAGGCATAATTCCACCTGCCGAGTGTAACTAAAGACCCTGGACGTTGTTCATGGAAACATACACAGAGTTTCTGAAGGGTGCAGAAAAGACAGATGGATGAGGGACCCTGGGACCTGAAGAACAACACAGTAGTGAGTTCTCAGGGCTTGCTTTCACCTTACACATATCTCAGACTTCAGGTGGAAGCAGCCAGCAATCTGGAAATACTCACAGGTGCAGACAAAGAAAACCCCAACCAAAGTTTGCTCCCTGCAGGCAGTGGATCAGGACAGAGGCAGCCTGGAAGACAGAAAACTTTTAGGAGCTCTACTCTAGCTGACTACCACAGAAAAAAATCTGTGTCACCACCCCGTCCCCCGGCCATTGATACTAGCCAAGGCCAAGTGGGGAGCCTGGACTTCCACTTTCACGTGGTTTGATGGAGGTGCCTCAACCTCCCCACTGCAAGATGGCGTCAGAGAAGGCCTTGTAGGGGTCTGGGACATTTATATCCAGGGGCAGAAGAAGGACCCCTTCAGGATATCAGTGGAGCCCATAAGGGGAGCCTCAACCTTCACCCCACCCAGCAGGAAAAAGGCACCCTCCCCTCCTTGCTATTTGGGATTTGGCAAGCCTGAAGGATCCAGGAATGAGAAAGGCCTTCCCCGCCCTCTCCTTCTCCTTGCTAGGGTGGTGTCAGAGGACACCTAGTAGAAAGTCAGGAATTTTACCAGCATCCAGTGGAAGCAAGGCTGGCCCTCCTCCTCTGGGGCCACATGGGGAGAAGTAATGAGGAACTCCCACACTCCACACCCCAACTAAGCAGTCATCAGTGGGTGCCTAGTGGGGATTTGGAACTTCCATCCCAACCCACAGTCATGAGGTGCAGCCCCTTAGAAGCCAATGGAGCTCAAATAGGAAGCCTGGAGTTCCAGCCTTACCTGGCAATAACAGGACAGCAGCCCCTTTTCCTGCCAGAGTGGCGTCAGAGAAAGCCAGCTGTGACTCCTCTTTCAAATAACATTCAGAGTCTTACAACATAGTACCTAAAATGTTCAGGATTCCATTTTTTTAAAATCGTTTGTGATAACAAGAACCAGGAAGCTCTCAAAGTCAATGAAGCGAAGACAATCAATCCATGTTTAACACTGAGGTGATAGAGATGCTAGAATTACCTGACAAAATACTTTCTAAAGCAACCATCAAAAAATGTTTCAGATATGCTGGAAATAGAGTCTCATATAATAAATCAAAAGTCTTCACAAATAGAAGATGTAAATAAAAACCAAGTGAACATTTTAGAACTGAAAAAATATATAGTGGTTAAAATGTTAAAAGCCCAAAGGATGGGCTTACCAAGAGAATGCAGGGGACAAAGGAAAGAATTAGCAGAACGAAAGAAACTGCCCAATCTGACCAACAGAGAGAAAATAGACTAAAAAAGGTGAGTAGAGCCTCAGGGACCTGCGGGGCTGTAGCAAACGTCCTAACATCGGTGCCACCAAGGGCAGGTGGAAACAGAACTGGAAGTCATAATCGATGAAAACTTCCCACATTTGGCAAAAGACGTAAACCTAAAACTTCCAGTGCTAAGCAAACCCTAAAAGATAAATCCAAAGAAATCCATACAAAGCCACATTATAGTCAAGCTTCCGAAAACTAATGAGAAGGGAAATATCTTGAAAGCAGAGAAGAGAAACGGCACCTTACCTCCAGGGAAAAACTGTTGGAATGACAGTGGATTTCACAGCAGAAACTATGAAGAGGAGAAAAGAAGCATCACGCATTGTTCAGTAACAAAAATTCTGTATCCAGTGAAAATATTTTTCCAGAACGATGGGGAAATAAGACCTTCTTGGAGAACAGAAATAAGAGAATGTTGTTGTCAGAAGACCTATTGAAAAGAATGACTGAAGGAAATTTTCTAAACAGGAAAGAAGAGAATCAGGGGACTTGGAACATCAGGATGGAAGAAAGCACTCAGCATGCAAAAGCATAGGCAAATATATTTTATTTTCCTCTCGAGTCTTGTAAGTTGTGTTTGAGGGTTGAACTAAAAATGATAACTCTGCCTAATGTGGTTCTGAATATACATGTAGAGAAAATTTTAAGAAAAGTATATTATAAATGAGCGAGGGTAAAGGGATAAAAGGAGAGGTGAGGTTTCTTATACTTTACTCGAACTGATAAATGGCCCACACCAGTGGACTGTGACAGCTTATATAATACCTAGATAAACCAACTTAAAAAGCTATACAAAGGGATACAACCAAAAATACTATAGATAAACCAAAAATAGAATTCTAAAATATTCTCATGGAAGCCACAAGAAGACAGAAAAAAATAGCAAACAGAGAAATAAACAAAAAGAACAAATAGAAAACAAAAATTAAAATGACATTGAAATCCTAACATTTCAATATTTACATTAAATGTAAGTGGTCAAAATACACCAATTAGAAGAGAGAGATTGGCAAAATATATTTAAAAACATGCTCCAACTATATATTGTCTAAAAGAAACTTACTTCAAATATAAAGAAATAAGCAGACTAAAAGTAAACAGATAGGAAAAGACATTTCACACAAGTATCAATCAAAAGAAAGGAGTGGCTATGTTAATTTCAGACAAAGAATACTTCAGAGCAAAGAAAATTACCGGAGACAAAAAGGAATATTATGTAATGATAAAACAAATCACCAAGAAGATGTAGCAATCCTAAGTGTGTATGCATCAAACAGCAGAACTGCAAAATCCGTGAAGTTAAAAACTGATAGAACTGAAAGGAGAAATAAACAAATCAACATTATAGTTGGCAATTTCAGTACCCCTCTCTCAACAATGATAGAAAAACTGAACATAAAATCAGCAATAATACAGAAAAGTTTAAAATACCACCAAGCAATATAACATACATAATATTTATAGAACATTCTGCCAAACAACAGCAGAAAACACATTTTTTAAGCCAGTCAGACTTAACAGCAGGATGGTTGTATACCAACTTTAGTGACACTAATGTTAATACGTTCTGATGGCCTGTTACCATCAGACCAACAGAATACACACCTTTATTATGTGTCCATGGGATATAAGTGTATCATAATAGGACACATCGTGGGCCATAAAACAGACCTCAACCGATTTAAAAGACTGTGTTCTTCAGCCACAATGGAATCAAATTAGAAATCAATAGCAGAAAAATAGCACAAAGATATAGAAACACTTGGAAATGAAATGACACCCTTCTAAATAATTCATGGTTCAAAAGAACATTCTCAAACAAAATAAACATTTATGCTGAACTGAATAAAAATGAAAATACAACATACCAAAATTTGCAGGACACAGCTAATGCCATGCAGAGAGGGAAATTCACAGTATTAGATGCTTACATTAGAAAAGATGAAAAGTCTCAAATCAGTAACCTAAGCCTACATCTCAAGCCCTGTGATAAAGAAGAGCAAAATAAATGAAAGCAAGCAGAAGGAAGAAAGGTAACAATAAAGGTAAGAGCAGAAATTAATGAAATTGAAAACAGAAAAATAATAGAGAAAATTAATGAAGCAAAGAGTTTGTTCTTTGAAGAGATCAATACAATTGACACAATTTCTAAAAGACTGACAAAGAGAAATGAGAGAAGACACAAATTACCAATATCAGGAATATCACAGAAGACCTTGCAGACTTCAAAAAATAATAAAGAAAACTCTACAACATAAATTTGAAATCTTAGACAAAATGGACCAATTCCTCAAAAAACACAAACTACCACAGCTCACCCAATATGAAATAGATCATTTGAATAGCTCTGTGTCTGTTTAGAAAATTGAATTTATAATTTAAAAAATCCCCCCCCCCAAAAAAAAAAGAAATCTTCCGATCCAGGAATTGCATTCCTGGGCATTTATCCCAGAAAAGTATAATAAAGGGAGAAGTATAGAATACTCCATTGAAATTTTAACTTTACACAAAAACACATCCACATACGTTTACTGCAATTTTGTTTGTAACAGCCCCAAACGGAAACAACCCAGATGTCCTTCAGCAGGTGAATGGATAGGCAGGCTGTGGTGCATCCATCCATACCGTGGAATACTACTCAGCAATAAGAAGGAATAAACTATTGATAACAAGGAAGAACCTGGATGAATCTCCAGAGAATTATGCTCCGGGAAGAAAGACAATCTCAAAAGGTCATGCATTATACTATCTCATTTATAGAATTCTCCAAATGACAAAATTATAGAGCTGGAGAACAGATTAGTGGTTGCCAGTGATCAAAAGTGATCAGGTATGAGGTTGGGGATGGAAGTAGGCATGGGCCTAAAAGGGAAACCTGAGGGATCGGGTGGGACGGAAATGACTGTATCAATGCCGATATCCTGGCTGTGACATTGTGCTATGGTCTTTCAAGATGTTACCACTGGGGGAAACTAGGTAAAGCATACACAGGATTTCCCTGTATTCTTTTTTTCCAACCGCATATGAACCTACAATCATCTCAGAATAAAAAGGTTAATTAAAAATAACTCAATAATTGGATTAATTGGTGGATTAAATGCAGACGAAGGAAAAATTAGTGAACTAGAAGACAGATCCAGAAAAATCATCTAAGTCATATTATGGGGCTAGCAGAATCTCAATATGGAAAGCAGACAAGGACCTGAAAGGAAAATTGCAGGCTGATTTCACTTGTGAACATAGATGCAAAATCCTACAGAATATTACCAAAGTAAATACAACAGTGTATAAAAACATTCAAAAACACATGGGCCTCTCCTCAAAATTCTCTAAATGTTCTTACAACTCGAAGAACAAATGAATGTTCTTACAATCTGGCTTCCCCCAAAATAAGTAATCAGAGAGAGAAAGAGAAGAGGAAGAGGAGGAAGGGGAGAAGGAGGGAAGGGGGAGAAAAGAGAGAGAGCACCAAGCCATGGTGCACTTTACAAGCTTGTCTCTGGATTCACACACTGTCGGTTCAGCTTTAATCTTTTCATCAGAAGCAAACAGATAAATCCAGTTCACTTCCAAGGGATGGGGAGTTAAGCTGCACCTCTGGAAAGAAGAAGTACAGAATAATCTGTTGATATAATTTAGGACCATCACGATGTTACTTGTGACAGCGATATAAATACGAAGTATCCAGAAATAAACATAACCAAATATCCACAAGTCTCTCTCAGAGAAAGTTAACAAAACTTTATTTAAAAGAGCTAAAGAAGACCCAGAGGAGAGATAAAAACAGGGTACTAGACAGAAAACCTCAAGGTTACACAGAGCTCGTTTCTCCTCACCTTGATCTGCCATCCAATGCAAATTTAACCCAAATCCCAGGAGACTCGTTTTCCATATGGAACTTGAAAAGATTATCGTAAATCATACATGGAGAAATAAATGGCCAAGAATAGCCAACACACTTCTGCAAAAGGATACCATGGTGATCTGTGGTGGGCAGGGTAATTCCTTGAACAGATATCAAGACTTACTGTGATCCTGAAGCATTGCATGCCTTTAGAGAAGGCAGGAAAACTTGACGGCCACAGCGTGAAGATGACATGGATCAACAGGCTCTTGTCCACACTGGGGGAAGGCAAACAGCTGCATCCTTTTTGCTGAAAGTTTGACATCACCTAATAAATGTGTCCCTATCAAAGCCCCAGCAAGCAAAGGCACCTAGGCATAGGCCCTTGAAAAGCTGCTGCCCAGTGCACCAGAAGATAAGTAGGAGAATGTCTGGAGCAGTGCAGTTCACAGCTAAGACAGGCAGAATAGACCCAATGCCCACCTACCAACAATAAGTGCAGTATACTCAGACGAGAGAATGTTCTCCAGCAGTGAAAATAGATTCGCCATATGCACAAGACATGGATGAATCTCAAAATCACCACATCAAGCAAAAGAAGCAAACAAACTTCCAGACTGTGCAGTTACCTGTGTGTAACTTCAAAAAGAGAAACTAAGCAGTCTATTGTTTAGAGACACACATAGAGGTGGGGCAACCATAAGGAAAGGCAAGGGATTCAGTTGACTTTGAGGGCAGTCTTTGGCAGGTAGAGAGTTGGAGAGAGAGACAGAGGGAAAGGTGATCAGGGTGGAACACTGGGAGGTAGGATGACCAATTGCCCAATTTTGCCAAGAAATGAGAAATTCCCTAAGATTTAGAAATGAGAAATTTCCTAAGGTTTAGAAATTTCAGTGCTACAACCAGGACAGTCTTGGGCAAAGTGGAACTATTGGCTACCCTACACCGAAAGTGTCTAAGTTTCCAGAACATTCTGATTTGGCCCTGTGGCTCTTTATTTTACCATTATTTGTAAACTAGATGTAGCAGGTGAAATGGTGTCCCCCTCCCCAAAGATATATTCACATCTTAACCCCCGTTACACTGCGAAGTGACCTTATTTGAAAATAAAAGTGTCTTTGCAGATGAAATTATATGACTATTCTGAAGATGAGATCATTTGGTTAACCAAGTGAGTCCTAAATAAAATATAAGTATCCTTATAAGAGGCAGAAGTGGAAAAGACACAGAGAGGAGGAGAGAGCCATGTGAAGATGGAGGCAGAGCCTGGAGCAATGTGGCCACAAGCCCAGGGACACCTGGAGCCCCCAGAAGCTGGAAGGGGCAGGGAAACCTTCTCCCCTAGAGCCTCCAGAGGGAGCATGGCTCTGCTGACACCTCAATTTTGGACTTGTGGCCTCCAGAACCATAACAGAATCAATCTCTTTTGTTTTAACCCACCAGGTTCATAGTAATCTTTTGTGGCAGCCACAGTGAACCAATTCACTGAGTGCATATATTTTTATACCCTGTTTTGGTTGCATAATATATTTTAAAATAGAAAGAAAAATTTTGACACCCCCCCCCCTTCCTTCCAGGCAGCAGCTCACACACCACCCCTCCCACCACCCATGACCCCTCCTCTGCAGTAGGTCTGCAGCGCGTGTTTGAAAGTCTCCTATTTTGGCTTCTTGTGCATATGTAAGTAAATGCTTCTAATCTTCCTTGCCAGATGTAAATATCCTTGAAAACACCAATCAAGACTTATGCAATGTTCATACCCCACAGTGTCTAGATCTAGACCAGTGTCAATCAAACAACAGTGCTCAATCAATGCTGCTGAGTGAATGAATAAGTAAATGAATGTCAGCAAAATTCTACAAGGCAACAACCAAGCCAGGTGAGACTCTCAATGCACATCAGATGCCAACGGCCCCTGGAGCACCCTGTGGATGCAGCCTGGAGCCAGCAGGCTGCAGTTCTTGGCAGTGCCCAGTCTGCCTTCCATCTTCCATTTCCAAATTGCCCGCTCATCCCCCGCCCCCTGACTGCCCTCCCGGTTCCTGTGTCTGCCTCCATCTCTGAGATGCTGGTGTTCACCGCTCAGCCATGGTATTTCCCATCCCATGAACCACAAGCACCCATTGCAGATGGTTCCCAGCACTGTCTGTGGATTCTCATGGCCAGCATGTGAGGTCCCGGGCTCCGGGTTTCTCCTTTGCTCACATCCTTGTCTCCCAGGTTTGGTCAGCCTATGCACAGATATTAGGATGAGCCAGAGAGGCCAACACACCTCAAACCTGTGTCCCAAAGACAGTGAGAGCAAATGACTGGCTTGCTTGTGGACAGGGACACTGCAGCAAGCCCAGGATGCCACAGCTGCCTCCACCTCCTCGTGCAGCACAGAGAGCTTCTGTTTCTGCAAAAGCACTCCTCACCCTTCCCCACCAGGCGCTGCATAGCAGCCCACCCGCAAGGCTCCACCAGGCTCCCTGCCTGGCTTCCAGGTGGGCTCAGCCATTGGGAAGCCCTGTCAGGAGATGGAAGGGAGGAAGGTGGGGAGGAGAGAGAAGGGGGAGTATTTATCCACAACCCATCCTTGCTCTCTGCCTGCAGGGCTCCCGCAGACTGGGTGCCTTCCTTGGGTGATGGACACAGCTCCTGCAAGATTCCCCATGCCCCTCATTTCCACCAGCTCTTCTTCCCACTTCTCTCTTCAATCCACAGCATGGTACATGCCCCACGATCCCATGTCCAGCACAAAGCACTGTGCCATCCCCACACTCTGCCCACCTTCATATTATCCTCTTATTAAACTCTCCTTAAATTCCACAAACTGAGGATGCATCTGTTTCCCACAAGGACTCAGGCTGGCCCAGCACCTGCGATGTTCCCCAGGAGGGCACACAGTGGGATCTCACCACCCTTCCCATCTTCCAAGCCAATGGGGCACCAGGATGCACTTACCCCCAGACAGAGCCTCAGGATACCACAGGCCAGAACTTAGAGAACAAGCTCCTGGTCAGAGATCACATGGGCAGTGAGAAGGAGCAGTGGGCTCTGAGAAAGGGGAGTGGACAGGCTGCCAGGATGCCCATTCAGGCCCCCTAACCTACTCATCTTAACCAGGAGAGCAAGGCCCAGCCAGGCAGTGAGGCTCAGCCCAATCTGTGTGTCCCAGGACTGCAGTCTGCTCTGCCTCCCAGATACCATGTCCTCAGAGAGATTGAACTGGCATCACCAGTTCAAACCCCAGCCAGTGAGATCTGCTAGGAGATGGGGACACTGAAGAGCTGAGATTAAATATCAGGTCAGAAAATACCAGCAAACCACCCATGGGGGACTTCCAGTGAAATTAGACATAGGATGGACAGGGAGTTTCTGGGGCTCTGGCGGAGAAGAGCAGGATGGCAGCAGGACCAACCAGTGCAGGAGTACTGGCCGCGACCACCTCTGCTCTGCCTGGGGGGCACAGTTTATAATATGAAAATGATGGCATCCTGCTTTGGGATCTTGGGTGTCCATGGTAGGGAATTACACTAAAGGATTCTATTTTTGTCATTTGTCATTTATTTTGACCAGCAAGTCAATGATCTTACACACACACACACACACACACACACACGTCAATTGCTCCCTTGTCCGGACACTCCTTAGGAGAGAACCAAGGCCAATCTCGGGTCCAGCACTTGCCTGACCTGGGCCCTGACTCCACAGAGCAAGATCCTCTCCCGGACCTCACATGTCAGGATTCCCACCTGGACACCTGGCCTGGATCCACGTCATCTGCCTCACAACAAGCAGTGCAATTCCTGGACATGAAGTCGCTGTTTATTAACAGAGGCCAGGGAGCGCACTCAGTTTGATGGGGAAGAGTTTAGGAAAGAGTTACTGATGGCCACGACTTCATCTCATGAGAGAAGCAGCTTCCCAGCCAAAAGTGACGAATTGTGTCTGCTGTGACTTTTCTCCTGGGAGTAAACCAGATGACCTGGGTCTCTTGGGCAGCTCCCATCATTGAACCTGTTTGAAGCTTGTATTTGGAGTTGAAGGGGTTGCTGTTACTGAACAATAACCACACACAAATATTTGTGAGGATTTTAGCAGTGATGAATGACTGCATCTGAACCGTCCCTTTAGATGACCCCAAAGCAAAATTAGCCTGTGTTAGGTAATCAGGTATTACCGTATTTAGCTAAACTTTGGAGGCTAAATTTACTACATATTCTGATTTTGACCTACTTCAAGTAAAGAAGAGACATAATTGTTTACAAAAATGAAAATTATGTCCCCAGAGATTAATTCTACTTGTTAAATGATAATTTCTTCCCATAGATTAAGTTTGGAAGACTCTAAGAACAACCACGGAAACAAGGCATTGAGCATTTACGATGGGACAGGCACTGCACATCCTCATTAACCCTCATGAGAAAGCCACAAGGCAGATAATACCAACATTCCCATTTCATGGATGAGGAAACTGAGGCAGGTCAAGGCCGAGCAGCTGCTCAAGGAGGCAGAGCCAGGACCTGACTGTGGCCCTTTGCTCTGTGAGCTCACAGGTCTAGTCCTCACTCTATGTGACCAGTCTCCTGAAACACCACGCCCTGTCTTTCCAACACGCGGTGGGGCCCTGCCTCTGAGCCCAAACCCCCTGGGGGGAATTATCCCCAGAGCCAGCACGGCAGTGGTGCCCCCATCACTACCTCACCAAGGAGGCACCAGTGTCTCACATTGAGGCATCCCTTCCTGGAGTTTGAGTCCTGACCAGAAGCATCTCAGGACCTTCCCGGATCCAGCCCCCAGGGCTGCTGCCTCACCCCGGGTTTCTGCATCCCACCACCACTTCATGCAGACGATTCTGATTCCAAGAAGGGACCATCCCTTGAGATCTGGGACCAGCCTCCCCATCTCTGGGTGTAGACCTTCGCCGATGAACCATCTCACCATGCTCTGAGCACGTGTACCTTTTTCTCTTCTACAGCACAGGTACCTCCAGAGAGCACGAACCACAGGTCATTATTTATGCATCTCCAGAACCTGGAACAGGTCTCGGCACAGAGGAGGCAGCGAGCGTTTCCCGCTGAATTAATAAAACCCGGAATCTGGTGAAATTCTTGCTGTAGGAACCAATGATTATGTGGCTGATTCAGAAAATGGTGCATAAAAATGGAAATATCCTCTGTGTTTCTAAGATAAATAGACAAAAGCCTCACCTTGGCCATGGCCTGGACCGTCCACACGGGCCTGGTTGCACAGGGCTAGTGCCAGGCATACCACAGACCTTTCCCGGACCTCTTCCCAGCTCTAAGCTGAGCCTGGCCACAGGGTTCCTAAAGCGACCTACTCCCCACAACGTCCAGGTGTGTCTGGCCACATGTCATCCTTGCCTGTCAGAGGCCATGCCTCTGCTGTAACCCCAGAATGTTTTGAATGCTTGTACTTAGAAAATCCAGAGAGCAGGGAGTGACCCCAGGACACGCTCCCACAGCATCCTCATTAGCTAGACGTCCATCTGCAGGACATGGTCCCCTTCCATGCCCCTACGCCCATGCCCACACCCACGCATCCCAGGACAGCCAGCTCAGAGGCAGAGAGGTTGAAACAGGAGCCAGCAGCCCTGCCTCAATATGGCCAGAGCCACCCGCTCCCCGACATCTGCTCTTGGGGCCTTCAGGCCTCTCTGAGCAGCCAGGGATGTGGAGGCAGCTCTGGGTCAGCCATGCAGAGAATCTGGAAGCTTCCGGCTCTGCACCCAGGGCCCACTTCTGCAGCACAGCTGGGAAGCACTTGTCTCCAGGCTTTTGAAGTGTACAAGAGTCACACACTCCTGAACGCATTCTATACTGCTGACCCAGGAAGACTAGACACTTAGATGACTTTCTACTCACTGTGCCATGGGTCTGTGCAGCACACTGTAAAATCCATGGAGACATCGGAATGTTCTGCAAAATAAATAAGAAAATAACTTTAGAGTCTGAGGGAACCACCACCATAAATAAAGTGTAACGAGGTAATGGGTTTACTGAAAGCTAAATGTTCTGCCTTTTCAGTGTGCTTTTCTGCCCTAGGGTTCAAACAACCCACCAGCTGTCCCCTCCAGCAACAAAATCCTAATAGACTGAAACTGTCGGATTGCAAGACTGCATGAGTGATGCAGTTTACTCATATAAGATGCCATCGATAATACATAAAATGTATCTAATTCCTAGACCCGAATCTAAGGAACTTGGAGGGAAGCTCGTTGGATGTTCCACAAGTGTGGGGATTCTAGATTCATGCAGAAAAGGCACAGGGTGAAATGCTGCAAATGGCTTAAGAGTAAACCCTTCCCTTCCATCCTGTGTACTAATGAAGGCATCACTGAGAAGGTTACTTCCATCCCGTGTACTAGCGAAGTCATCATGCAGAAGGTTACTTCCATCCCGTGTACTAGAGAAGTCATCATGCAGAAGGTTACCTCCATCCCGTGTACTAGTGAAGTCATCATGCAGAAGGTCACCTCCATCCCGTGTACTAGTAAGTCATCATGCAGAAGGTTACTGTCTGAATGAACTGGAAGGACACTTTTCTCCATCCTCATCCTCCTTTGATCACGATTGGACCGTGTGTAGGGAAAGGGCCCCACACCCACCAGCAGGCTTGACTGAGAGCAGGCAGGCCTTGAGACAGGCCCTGGGTTCACAGGAGCACAGGCAGCCAGCGACTGTCCTGCCGGCTCAGGCTAGGGCTGCCATGTCACTCAGAGTCCATGGGGAAATGTTGGGGCCAGTTCAGGCCAGGACCACCGTGTCACTCAGAATCCACGGGGAAATGGTGGGGCTCACAGTTCTGTAGGTCCAGCAGCTCCTTAGCTTGGCTGCCCCAACCGTGTCCTGGAAACTGTGGATTTGGGAGGAGAAGAGAAACACAGCTAAATGGCCATTACCCATTTCATCAAAAAATTTCCAAATTCAGACCCCAATAAATTATCTGGGGTCCGGCAGCTGCTGTGCACAGCATATTCAGGGGTAGACAGAAGTCTTCTTCCACCCTTCCTTTCCATTATTCGTTTGGAAGCGCCCAACTAGGGTGTGGGCTGCAGGAGCCACAGACAGGGCCAGGCTGGCACTCTGAGGCCAGCTCCGCCACCCCAAGGCTGCAATTTTGAGCCTTTTTCCCTGAGCAATGCACCCAGCTCACCCCTCTGACCCTGGCCCATGGGGGACTGGGCAGGGACCTTGGGCAAGGACACAGATGCTCACAGGCCTAGTGTGGGTCAGCCTCCCCTCCTGCCCCTGCCATTCCTTCCCTATCCGTGCATTTCTCCCTACAGCTGGGAACAGTGTGAATGCACGCTTCCACCCTGTGCCCACAGGGTTCCTGAAAGCTGGCAATCTGGACTATGAATTTCCAAGGTGAAGGAGAAGTTCATCCTTCCTTCAGTTTCACTTTCCTGAAAGGCCTCCGTGCAAACCATGGCCAACTCAATCACCTTTCCTAGAGTGCCGGGCTGAAGAGCCTGGGCTCCTCTCCTAGAGAAGAAACAGCCGCGGGGCATGTCTGAGCTCACATGCAGGGGGCATGGCCAGACACCTGGGGCAAGTGTCTGGGAAAGCACCAGCAGTGAAGCCCCACCAGACTGAGTCACTGCCACCTGCCCTAAGCATCCCTGTGTCACCTGGCTGGTTTCCCCACAAACTGCCTTCTCACTGGTCCTCATGGGGGAAGGGGTGCAGCTCCCCCAGATCGCCTCATGGAAGGAGGCTTCTAAATGGGCCAGTAGCCCCAAGAAGACAAGCTCAGTCTCTACCACACTTGGGTTCACCATTTTGGGGTTGATGCCGCGTGCCTGGTTCACTACAGCCTTCAGAGCACCCTGTCCTGGCCCAGCACCTAGGAGGTGCTCAAGAAACATGAACTGTGCAAAACGTCACCTAACTCGGGCTATGGCAATACCAGAAGCATGCCTGGCCACGTTTTACTTTTTGTTTAATTCTTTACTGCAATCATATGTAAAACAAAACAAAGGCAATGAAATGTAAAGAGAAGAATGGCAGCCATAAACCATCACCTACAGGGCTGAAACAAGGCTTCCGTCTCTATTTTTCAGATGAGCCCCTCCATCCAATATTACAATTAGTGGCTTGTATTTATGGAACAGAGCACCATCACATACCACATACCATAACAAACCCTGGGCTTGCTCTTTGTTAGCACTGGAGAATGATTATTTTCTTACACGCACATAAACGCATGTGCACATATATACACAGTAAATACATTTTTGCTCACACAGTATGCATGTGCATGTTCACATGTACACAAATGTGTGTACACACACAAATTCACATGTTCACACACACAGGCACCTGAACACATACAGGCATGCAAGCACACACAAATCCATGCATGCATGTGTATGTGCACACTTAAACACAGGTACACACACACATACCTACACATACAGACAAGGCTCTGGGGAAAAGCGGCTACTTGTGGCGTGATTGCTAAGATTTCTCTGGGTCTAAATTGATACTGCCTCCTGTGTCAGAAGAGTCTCGTGCCTATAGCCAGACAATATAGGGACCCCTGAGGAAATGCTGACCCTCTGTGTTCCAGCACAGCCCTGTAGCCAGGCTCCACCCCTCTACACCCCAGAAAGGGAGGCGTCCAAAGGTTGATTCAAACCAGAAAATACTTCTATACTTCTTGTGTGTTATCCCTAGTTCAGTCTTTATTTCTCCATCTATATGATAATATGCCTCAACTTTGCTTCTTATAGAAATGTTCTAACATGCATGAAAGTAGAGAAAAGCATCAACTCAGCCCCTCGCATCCATCACTCCGGATCCAGCCCCGCCCCACATCCACGCTCCTATTCTCTCTCCCCTGCTATCCGTTGAGGCAAGTGGAGAGCCAGCAGATGTACAAGGCGGAGGCGGGCAGTCCTCCCCAGCCCCGGGGCTATGTCCTGGCTTGGCCTCACATAAGCCGTGAGGTCAGGCCAGCCAGCTGCTGAGCTGAGATCGCTTCTCCCCCGTAATCCAGATGACAACGTCCACTCCCAGGGCCGTTTGAGGATTAAATTTTAAAATGCACACAAGGCTTCATGCGGTGTCTGGCACCTTATAAGCATTTCATGAACAGTAGTTAAAATTAGCAATTGTATTGTTAGCTGTACTTCCAAACACTACAGCACAGACAGCTGAGGAGCTAGCCCAAGGTCACAGACCCATGAGGGACAGACGGGCTGGGCCCCAAGATTCTGCCGTCCGCTCCTCGGGCCCTCCTGAGCGGGAGGACGCAGCTTTGTCTTCAGACCCTGAGGCACCTTGGACTCAGTAGAAGCCTGAGAAATAGAGCCGTGTGTATTTTGTATTTTAACCCCAAAACATTACGCTGAAAAACAGACGCGTTCTTGAGGCATCATTTTCGTGAGTTTAGCAAATGCCTCAAAGGTACCTTCCATGAAGTGTGCAAGCCTCAGCTTCCAAACAAAATTTGTTTAACTCAGTTTTTAACTCTCAAGGAAGCGTTCCTTTCTCAGCGCTCTGGGCCCAGTCATGGTTGCGAAAGCCCGGCCCATCTTCCACTGAGCGGACGGATCCCTGCCCACCTTCCTTCCTCACTGGCTGCCTGAGTGTCTGCAAGTGTGTGCAAGGAGGAGGGCTTATCTTCAGAAGGGCCAGGACGGACCCGCATGGACAGGCGCCTCAAATGGCCCCACAGCGCAATTTCTCCTACTGAGCATTCCATCCTGGTGGACTTGACGACCTGCTCCTCGGGCTCAGAGCAGCCCAGAGCTGTCCCCAGGCTGCAGCAGGAAGAGGGATGAACCCACACATGAGGCCTCCTCACCGCAGACAAGAGAAGGAGGAGTCCAGAGATTCACAAGAGAATTAAGCAAAATCAAGCATCCTAGAGTCCTCAGCACGGGAGCCAACCAGGACCTCAGTCCTCAGGAGGCTACTTGGGGAGGCAGGGAGAGGCTTCCCAACTCACAGAGTAGATCTGTGCCTGGAGCACACCAGCCAGCACTGAGCCACACGGGGCCCCAGACCTGCATCCCATGCCCAGGGTCCACACCCAGTGTCCACACCCAGAGTCCTCAACCAGTGTCCATACCCAGGGTCCACACTCAGTGACCCACACCCAGGGTCCACACCCAGGGTCCACACCCAGTGACCCACACTCAGTGACCCATAGCCAGAGTCCACACCCAGGATCCACACCCAGTGTTCACACCCATACCCAGTGTCCACCACATCCAAGAATCACAACCAGGGTTTACACCCAGTGTCCACACCCAGTGTCCACCACACCCACTGTCCACATGCAGTGACCCACACCCAAGGTCCATACCCAGTGTCCACACCCAGGCTCCACCATACCGAGGGTCTACACCCAGGGTTTACAACCAGTGTCCACACCCAGAGTCCACACTCAGTGACCCACACCCAGTGTCCAAACCCAGAGTCCACCACACCCAGGGTCCATACCCAGTGTCCAAACCCAGGGTCCACACCCAGTAACTCACATCTAAGGTCCACACCGTGTGTCCACACCCAGGGTTTACACCCAGTATCCACCACACCCAGGGTCCACACCCAGGGTCCACACCCAGGGCCCCACAGCCAGACAACGAGGGAGAGACCAGCACACTCCTGGGCGGCGATATCTGAACCCCAGCGGCTATGCTGTACCCCATGCTGTCCTGCTCTTCCTCCTCCAAGCTCAAACGTTTTATGATGTTTGTTCTTGTGAGTGGTTTATGAATTACTCTGGAGGGGCTGGGACATGGTTTGAGAGGATGCGCAAGGAAGTCAGTGCTCCTGGATTCAATAAAGCACATCCTAATTCGGTATCTCCAGCCCTAGAGTGAGTGTTTTTCCAGTATGAGCTGGGGAAGCATTTATTGTTCTGAATGTATTTACCTTAGAAAATGCATTGCAACTGGATCCGCTGAGCCCTGGCTCTCCAGCCATCTGTCGCCACACAGCAGTAGCTGGTTTTACAGGGTGAGCCAGCACCCAGCACTTAGCACGATTCCCTGACCAAATCAAACATTCAGGAAACACTGGGTGCACAGAATCCTAACGCCATTCATTCTCGTAGGGCTTTACCTGGCTCAAAAATGGTTCCTTAACCACAAATTCATTTCAAGAGACATGTCCAATGAAATTAACATTCTCCCTGCGACTGGAGATCATTCCTCAGTCACAACTGCGTTGCCTGTACTTAATGACATGCTTTGAAAAAAAATGATGGCTCTAGTTAAAGTTGAGTGGTCATTTCATTCCCAACTCATCTTTACAGCTCTTAAAGAATGTTTAAAATTCCTTCAGCTGAGCCTCAGGCTAAATGTGAATTTTTTAAGAAAGTAAACAAACACTGAGGTTCCCATGTGGGAATTAGTGAGGAATGAGCAATTCACAGCTTGGTTTCAAAGTAATGGCTCAGACTCCAGCTTTGGCAGAAGCTGGAAAATGCAGACTGGGCCCTTTGAGCAAAGACTTTTTTTTCCCTCCAAATAAATAATTGTTTGAAAGCAAGTGAGGTGGTAGGCAAAGGAAGGCTCCTTCCAATGCAAACCTCCAGGCAGCAGGAGGAGGCCCCTGGGAAGGTCCAAATCAAAAAGCAAGCCTCGGCCACGGGGCACGGCAGGTAGCCAGGACCACCAACAGGGAGCGGCCCCCAGGCAATGGACTCTCTGGGCCCAGTCACCAAGCTCTGGGCTGTAGGACATTTACAAGGCCCTGTAGGGCAATGTCCCAACTCAAAACATACTCCTACAGGGTCACCCCTTTTCTATGTCAGGAGTTAAATTTTCTTATTTTCCTACATAATTTGAGACATTAGACCCACAGTTCTCAACAATAGCTGCACACTGGAAATAGCTGGAGAGATTAAGAAACACAGAGGCCTGGCTGTCACCCACAGAGGCTCTGATTTAGTTGGTCTAGAGTACACCCGGCTGCAGCATCCCAATTCAAATGTGCAGCCACAGCCAAGAAATCCCTTGTTAAAGGAATCTGTGATTACCAATGCCGGCCAAAGGTGAGCGCCTGGAAGGAGAGCAGGAAGGAGGAGAGAGAGGGAGAAGAGGATGAGGAGGAGGGAGAAATACACCTTGCAAAAGATGGATCAATGGCCTAGACCAAATCCCCTGAGGATCAGAAGAAAATTTCCCAGGCGTACTTCATGCTTGAGAAGGATATAATAGGAACAGAAATGCAGTAAAAATAGTCACTCAAAGGCAAGATCAACAAGGAAATAAGATGAAAACAGAAATTGCAGACCCCAGGAAACAAGTTGACCCAAAACACCATCATTACAGGAATCCTACACAAAGTCAAAACATTGAGAAAGAGGATACCCGCAACCAACACCAAATTAGTGACACAGAGAAAAGGCTGTGATCACCACAGTGGAGGCCAGTGCAGACATAGCAGGGAGTGAAGCAAAGAGAGAGAATTGACCTCAGAGACGGCGCTAGTCAAGCATAAGGAAAACTGGCTCCCCCAAAAATAGCCCAACCTGTGGAAGCAAGGCAGTGCAAAAGAAAAGGAATGATTCATAGAAGAAATGCCTTGTGATTCTACAGCCCATATCAGGTTTCAGCATAAAATTATACAGAACAATCTACCAGACATATCCTAGTTAAGGTCCTGATTTTCAAATTGAAAGAAATGATTCTTGAGCCATCCAGGTAGATAAAGAATTCACCAACAAGGCTGAAAACAATCAGACTGGCTCAGAGTTCTCCTCAGCCAAAGTCTACTCAGTCTGTGGGAGGCAACAGGGCAAAGGCTGCAAAGCGCCCGGGAAGGGAGCATGAGACATCAGGATATTTGCTCCAGCTAAGGTCGTTCAACGTCAAAGACAATGAGCAGACACTCTCAAAGTTGCCTGAACTCCAGAACTCAGGGACTGGGTAATATCCATGGGCCCTTCTCAGAAGACCTGCTCAGTCAGAAAGTTCAGGAGATGAGAAAGCCGGCAGAAGGGCCTTCCTAGGACTTCATGCTGGATGCCAGAAAACCGTGGAGAGGCTCTAGAGAGGGCTGAGATGAGGACGGAAGGCCCACCGCAGGGGCAGAGTGCATATGGGAAGAGACAGCGATCCCACGCTCCCAGGGCCTCGGGGAGTATGGTCACTGGGTTCTTCTAAGAAAAAATCACTGGCAACAAATCTAGCCAACCATGAAATGAATAAAAATGACCTAGGAATGGAGATGTCTTCATTAAAGCCCTGGTGAGGTGGGGCAAGTCCACAAAATACAGAGCTGAGACTAAACATCTACGGGAAGTCAAGTTACAAAGTAATTGTGCAGGCTATCAGCTTTGGTAGCATTCGAATCATACCTGACAAAACATTGAAGGTGGGGGAAGGAGAAAGGGACTGTGGCTACATCCATTCCTGTGTCTTTCTTAGTAGAGAATGGGAAAATGAAAACACGTGGTTAAAACCGTATGTCTCCACCCTTACCATCTCTCACAATTATTTTCAGAACCTGGGAGGGATCATTGCATTACTAATATCTCTTCTAATTAGAAACATGCACTGGAAATCCAGCAGTCGTTTCAGTTTTGCTTTCTGTTGTTGTCTTCATGTAAAATTGAATGGGTACCTATGTTGGAAGATGGCACATATCAAATCATCTCATGTCATCATTTACAGCAAGCGACCTATGCCAGCTTCCCTGCTCCCGTGCGCCGTGGATGGGCTCACCAAATGTCACCCAAGTAACTACAGGTAATGGGCAAGCGAGTGAGCGCCTTTTTTAACCTTGTTATGCATATCTTTCTTTATTGCTTAGCTTTTTAGAGAGAATATATCTGGCTAGGCACAGTGGCTGATGCTTATAATCCCAGGACTTTGGGAGGCCGAGGTGGGTGGATCACCTGAGGTCAGGAGTTCAAGACCAGCCTGGCCAACATGGTGAAACCCTGTCTCTACTGAAAATACAAAAATTAGCTGGGCATGGTGGCGCACACCTGTAATCCCAGCTACTTGGGAGGCTGAGGCAGAATAATCGCTCGAACCTGGGAGGCAGAGGTTGCAGTGAGCTGAGATCACACCACTGTACTCCAGCCTGGGCAATAAAGCAAGACTCCATCTCAAAAAAAAGGGAAAAGAATAGATCATTATTCCAAATACAGTCAAGTCCGAAAGATAAAACTTTTTCCACTAGACAAAACCTATAGAGTCCCAGTTGCCCAAATTGCCCACTGTGGCTTCATTTACCTCCAAGTGGAGCCCTTGTCCTGCCTCTTCCTCAATCCCCTTGGGCCCCACTGCCTCTCCCATCAGTCTGCACCCCTGCCTCTGCCCTCAGACAGCGAGTCTTGTGGGGTCTAGGACTATGGAACCTTGACCTCCCCAGACCGACTGAATACAAGCTGGTTGGTGGAATCCACCCCCTTTCCTTCACTAATCTGTACACTCCCCAGGAATGGAGGTGGCACCTCTGTCTCCAAAAACCTAGAAGAGTGACTGGTGCCTGGTACATGCTTTAGTGAAAGTCAATTAAAAAGTATAAGGTGACTTATGAACTGTATGCCCGTTAATATCACAGTGCAGCCAAAATTATTTTCTCATAATATTTAAAATACAAAATTGATACAGTAAATATTTACTAAGAGCTTATTTTCTATAAATAGAGGGAAAGTTTTCAATAGTTAAACAATGGAAAAAAATGTGTCTGTGAGCCCAAGGGTCCTGCCGTTTCTCAGAAAAGATGGACCCAAGTAGCAGGAAGACCAGAAGGGGGCAAATGAGGGGCAAGGGAGCACAGGCCACACCTGCGTCTGCTCACAGCAAGGCCCTGCAACCTGACTTGGGTCTTTTCCCCAAGTGATAGTTGGTGCAGCCTAATTGTGATCAGATGGGGGGTTTCACAGGTCTGGCTGCATCCTGGGAAGATCTCCCCGTTGTCTGGACCAGAGCACAACCTCAGAACACAGTTCTGGAAGGATCTGAGGCTAAGGAAGGTGCCAAGGGGCCCTGGAAATGCAAGCCCTAGAGTCTGGAGTGGGGCCTCGCACTGTCAGCTCCTCCAGCGGCAGACTGGTGTGGCAGGCCAGGTCTCACTAATGCAGGCCTCCTTAACGACTGTTTCAGCACTGACTGAGTGGTTAAGTTAAATATTAAAAGCTGAAAGAGCCAGTGTTCTTATTCAAAGGCTGGAATGTAACAAAGCCCACCTAGAGCTGTGCCTACTAGGCCTTTCCTGGGCCTTAAAGCGTGACAAAATAACGAAGGAATTCTTAACAGGACCCATTTAGGATTAAACAAGCTTTATTGTGGGTCTGAAGAAACTCCCCAGGCCTCCACAAGCAAGTTGATTGGGGGTCTGAAGGAACTCCCTGTCAAGTGCGTCTGTGTGAAGAGACCACCAAACAGGCTTTGTGTGAGCAATAAAGCTGTTGATTCGCTTGGGTGCAAATGGGCTGAGTCCAAAAAGAGAGTCAGCGAAGGGAGATGGGGAGGGGGTTGCTTTACAGGAGTTGGGTAGTAATGGCAAAGTACAGTACAAGGGGGTTATCTATTGTTAGCAAAGGAGGGGGTTGCAGGGTGCATGGTGGAGAGATCGTAAGACTCATTGTCCAGAAGAAGAATGTCACAAAGTCGATTGATCAGCTAAGGTAGGGCAGGGACAAGTCACAATAGTAAAATGTTGTAATTTTAGTTAATCAGTTAAGGCAGGAACTGGCTGTTTTACTTCTTTGTAGATTTTTTCTTTGGCTGCTCCAGGCTTCCTGGCTCCTGCAAGCCACCTGGATGTGTATGCGCAGGTGACAGAGGTTATAATGGCTGAGCTTCGGCTCAGAGGCCTGACACTCCCCAAACCTCCGTGAGTTAGCAGGAGACAACATAAGGGTAATCACCTCAGCACCTGGACCCATTTAGCGTAAGTAAACTTACTGAGGCTCCAGAGGAAGGTCTTCGGGACTCAGACCCCAGTTATAGAGTAGAAGAAGTTAATCACTTACGTCTTTAGGCGAATGTACACTTGCACGTAGACATACAGCTTCGAAGGTATACAAGCTCTGGAAAACTGTGTAATTTTGAGTTGGTCTAGCAATATTTTCCAGACCTTCTCCTTATAACCAGTTACGGAAACAAACACTCCCTCCTTTCCCAGTTCATCTGCATCGCATTATTGGGCCTCGAGAATAAGCAGCCCAACCCTCCATTTGATCAGGGAACGCTGTCACGCCCGGGGAGGGGACACTCTGCTTTCCCAATCGCCGTCCACCCTTTGCCACGTGGTGGCTTTCATGCCTGAGGCAGGAACGCTTCGACAGAGGTGGGGTGAGGCCATCTGGAGAACAAGACATGGCCCCCAGGGTGGCTTAGTGGCTGAAAAGCAGTAAAACTGGGGGAGACCTGAGTCCCGGGGGCCACCAAGAGCTGAGCCAGAGGTGGAAGCCCCTTTGGCCTGGGATGCTGAGCAGGGCTCAGTCCCATTCACACATTCTGAACTATTTCCCCTGGACTGGGTTGAATGGCACCCCGAAAGTTCGTGCCCACCTGGAACCTCAGAATGGGATCTTACTTGAAAATAGGGTCTTAGCAGATGTTTTGAGTTAAGATGAGGCCATACTGGATTAGGGTGAGCCCTAAATCCAATGACTGGTGTCCTTATAGGAAGGCCACGTGATGGCAGAGATGGGGTGGGGATGCCGCTGCCAGCCGAGAAATGCCACGGACTGCTGGCCACCGCCCGGAGTGGAGAGGCAGAAGGGGCCCAGGTAGAGCCGCCAGCGGGAGCACGGCCCACCCACACCCTGATTTGGAATGCCGCCCCAGAGCTGTGAGGCAACAAGTGTCTGTTGTTCTAATCCACTCGCTTGTGACACTGTGTGAAGGCAGACCTAGGGAAAGACCCCATGGGGAGGACGTGTGGAGAGAAAGGTTCCCTAGGAGCATCTCAGGGCCTGCGGCTGGGGGAGTCGGGGGCAGCGGAGCCAGCGGGAGTCAGCCCTTCCTCTCCACGGCTGCCGCGCTGTCGACACTGCCACCCACACTTCTCCAGCAGCATCCACAGCTTTCCAGTCGCGCCCAGCTCTCAAAACTTCACCCCGCCCCGTCTATGCTGTTTCAGAGCTCCCATGGCTACCCACACATGCCCTGGTGCCACCCCATTGCAGCCTGGCCCCAGCTGGGAGGCAAGACCCCCTTTCTCCCAGCCCTTTCTGTCGGACTCTCCCTTTCCCGGCCTTCAGTGTCACCCTGAACCCACTGCTCCCCTCAACAATGCCTTGCTTGCTGGGACCAGCTGGGACCAACACAGAGCACACCCACGCCCCATCGATGGGACTGTCTTTCGTGACGAAAACTGCCTGCACCGGCGCAAAGCTTCCATCTCACACCTTTGCGGGGCCCCAACTCCCTTCCCAGGCCGGCTGGCAGCCTAGGGTGGGGGTGGGCGTGGGGGTGGTGTGCCCTTTAGGGCCTTCTTTCCATGGAAGGGAGGAGGAGGTGAAGACACCCTGACCAGTTCCTCCAATCCCACCCTGCTGGGCTGGGGTCTGGAGGGAGACTGCACAGGTGAGGTCGGCTCTCTGGTCTCAGGCTGGAGGTTTTGTGCGTGGCTTGTCTGCAGTCTCTGCTGCCTCGTGGGTGTGGCCGTGCACCTGGGGTGTGTGGCATCCTAGGGTGGCATCTAGCTTTTCTCCGACCCATTATTGTTGGTTGAATTGTATTTATTAAAAAAAAAAATAGTTGGAACCCTAACCCTCGATAACAACATGTGACCTTCGAAGACAGGTCTTTGTGGAGGTAATTAAGATGCGGCCATTAGAGTGGGCCTTAATCCAACGTGCCTGGTGTCCCAGTAAAAAGAGGAAATGGGACAGAGAGAAAGGCAGGCACAGAGGAAGGACTGCGGAGACACCGGGAGAAGGCCACGCAGTGGTGGAGGGTTACAGGGATGCATCTACTCTGAGGGACGCCAGGGGCCACCAAAGCTGGGAGAGAGACACGAGGGAGATCCTTCCCAGGGCCTTCGGAGGGAGCATGGCCCCATGACACCTTGATTTCCCACGTGTGGCCTCCTCGAGAACCATGAGACAATAAACTCCTCTTGTTCCGAGCCCCCAGTCATGGTACTTTGTTTCAGGGTTACTAACACTCCCCTGCCTGTCTAGCATCATCTCCGAGAGGCTCGGGGTGGCTGTCTTTAGCCCCTGCAGCGGGGACCACACAAGACCCTCCCTCAGCAGCCTGGGCCAGTCTCTCCAGCTCCTGTTCCTCACAGGAGCCACAGGAACCTGCAGGGTCTCCCCTGGTCCCAGGTCCAAGTCTTCCAGAGCAGCTCAGGTGCAGCCAGCGAGCTCCTCCTGCTGGGGCTGGCGGGGACACAAGCCCCACTGCTGGTCCTTCTCTAGGACACCTCCCCAGGCCACTTCCTGGCTTCCAGGGTGGGGCTTGGGAGCCCAGTCTTCCCTCGCAGGTTGGAAGGGGAAAGACAGTTCCTCACTGCCATGGATCGCGATAAGACCAAAGACTCCATGGACTCCCAACCCCTCCCCTCCCCTCCCCTTGTACCTCCAGATCACCTTATTCCCGATGCCCAGCCTGGAAAGGGGCTGCAGACATGGCCCCCCTGCAAGTCAGCAACCCCGAGCTGGAGGCACCCACCCTCCCCGTGTCTCACCCTTGGTTCAGGAAAGAAGAGTCTAGTCTTTCATAGGCTTCCTGTTAGCACCTGGCTTGCTCCCCATTAGCCTGTCTGGGTTAAGGACTGAAGGGTGCTGAGGTTTTCCTCTACACCGGAGGGTCCAGCTGTGCCCAGCCCCTCACCAAGAAGGCCCCTCACTCCCTGCCCCCTTTGAACAGGGCTCTTCTGCCCTAGAACCTTCTTGGTGGCATTTCCCTTAACACCGTGAAGTAGGTTAAAATAAAGCCAAACGGAACAAGCCTCTGAAGTGCCGTGGAAAGATGCCAAAGAAAATCAACTATGTGCTAACAGCTCGGGATTCTCCTTTAGGAGCCTACAATATGCTGTCCAAATGGCGCCTGCCTTTCCAGCCCATTACTCCCCATCACCGGCCCATCGTGCAGACCTCAGCTCACTGGGCTGGGGAGCTTTATGTCACCGCAGCCCTCGGAAGTTATCAGGTAAAGGGCAACCTTCTGCCAAGCTCCTGGGCTGGAAGTCCTGCTGTGTTTCCCGAAGCCCAGGAACTCTGCTCCCCCTGTGGACAGCAGGAGCTGTAAGAAGAGAACAGCAGCGGCATCCCCCAAAACACCAGGGGGAAGGGGATAGAGATGGGGTCTGGGCAGGGTATTCCCCGCAATGGCGAGCTAATGGGATGGAAGTGGCCCCCATCCCATGAGGCTGGAGCAAGTGACCAGGGTCAGGAGGCAGGGGACACTGCATTGCCCCGAGACTGGGACCTGCCTGGACAAAAGCCCCTGGTCTCCCTCCCCAATGTCACCCCACACACAGGGGACCCTGCCTGACCACAGACACACAAACCTCATGTCAGGGCTGCTCCAGCAGGTTGGGGTGGCCAGACCCCAGCGAGGGTCTCAGCACAAGAAGGGGCAGCTCTGCGCTGAGTGGTCCCAGCCTCACTATCACACACAGTGCAGTGCAACTGACCTGCACGTTAGGCTGTTTCTCAGCTATTTAGAATATGAGAGGACTTCGTGTTTTGACATTTTCACGTGCAGAATTGCAGAATCCAATGAACAGGACCCAGTCAGGTGTTTACTTAGAGAAGGAAATGCTCTCGCCACAGGTCTTTCTTTTTCAAAAGCGAACAGCTACAGTATCCATCATACTCCAGAGCAGCCCTCAAAGCCTGGGCTGTTGAGAGTGCACATCCTGGCCTGCGGTGACAGCCGTCAGATGGTGAGGGGCCCCAGGCGACTGCCCCAGCAGCAGGGCCTGGGAGCTGCACAGGGTAGAACTCGATAAGGAGCATCATGAGCATAGTGGGTCCATTGACAACATGCAGTCCCCACGGTGGTGCCTAATGACAAAATGACATCATGCCACCTGCAAAAAAAGTAAAAATGATCAGAGGCGAGCTTGTCAGAGAAGCTTTGAACTAGGTGACTGCATGAAACATCTCAGAGGCGGAAGAGTGCCTCCCCCTCCCCGGGACTCCCACCTGGTGCCCTGAGCTCATCATCCCTTCTCTTGTAGCATATGCTGTCAATACCCAGGGCCTTTTCGAAACGGCAATGGGTCCGAAGGCCTCGGGACCACCTTTCACACCTCCCCTTTATGCAGTGTCCATACCTCCTTGGTGCTCAGCTGCTGGTCAGCTCCATATGCCCTGTGGTCCCTGCCCTCCCAAGGCCTGTGAACAAATGCTTAGTCCCAGATTAGAGTCTACGTCAATCTGGGATGTGAGCTGAGTGGCACCTGTCGTGAACCAGGCCAGAGTCTACGCAATCTGGGGTGTGAGCTGAGTGGCACCTGTCGTGAACGTGCATGCACATGGGCATTTTGTCAGTCTGCACCGGTGAATAAATGTCGCTGCATTTGCCAGCTGAGTGTCACCAGGTTCCAGGTCCCATTACACATCAGGAATTGTGTCCGACTCTTCTGGATCCGCTGATTGGACCTGAGGGATCCCTGACTCGAGCTCCGCCAAACAGACTTCCCTCCTAGAATTTGGATTTGGGATGGGAAAAGGGCCTGAGGGATCCCAGGGAGGCTGAGATGAGCGAGATATGGCGTGTTGGAGAGCGAGCTCCGGATCGAGCCTGCAAAGCTGCCGGCTGAGGTTTCCCTTTGGAGCAAAGCCAGCTCCTGTCCTCTTGGCCCAGCTTGTCCTAGGATTCCATACATAGCAGAATCCTCAGCATAAACCCTCCTTTTCATGAGCTACCGCAATGGGTTTCTGTCCCTTATAACCAAATGACTCCTGACCAAGAGGTGCCCTCCTGCCATGTTGTCTCTAGGGCAGCAGTGTCTGGCACTGGGTCTGGATGGTTCCTGCACCACGATTAAGCTTTATGGCCCCTTAAAGGAGGAGGCAGTGGAGTCAGCCTAAGCCTGGCCATTCTGCTTCTCCAGCTGGGACACTGAGTCAGAGGTGATTGGATGTCCACTCACACAGGCAGCCAGGAGGAAGTCAGGGACTGGTCCCTCTGCAGGCGAGCAAACCTGGACCTGCACCTGCCTAGACACCCAGGCACGGTGCTTGGTTCCCATGCAGGCTGAGCCTCCATTCAAGCTCTGGCCCCAGTTTACCGGTTCTCAGTGCGACCATTGCCGGCCAGTACCAATGGTTCCCACACAGACAGTGATGCCCAGCAGAAGCAAGCCTGTTCCAGCCACATGCATGCTGGCAGAGAGGGCGGCTTCCAGCAGATGAGGGCCCCGGAGACACCTGGCCCTGTGCCTGGCAGCGCAGAGACAGTGGCGTTCATTTTCTCCAAACATCATGAGTCCTTTTAATGCACTCTCCCTGGTGCTGGTCAGGCGGAGTTCTCTGAGCTTGGCACTGCTGGGGCCCTGGTGGCAGGGCCACCCCTGACTCAGCAGCACTGGGGACCACGGGGCCCAAATGTGTTCAGTGCAGAGCTTTGAACAGTCGTGGGAGGCTCCGCAAGTCCCGAAGGGGAGAAACAGGCTGAGCCTGAAGCAGAAACATCTGGCAGGGCTGTGGAGGGCAGCAGAGACGATGCCCCCAGGAAGATGGCATGGGGGTGGCCCTGGCTGCTGGCTGAGACCCCGCCGGTGGGTGTGGGGGACCTACTGACAAACCCCATTGTTCCCAGGGAAACAAGTCTGCCCTCATTGCACCTCCTGGGACTCTGCACTAGCAGCAGACTTTCAGACAGTGGTTAGAACTTTTCCTCTTTTCTCCCAAAATATTTTATTTTTTCCACTTTGGTCACTATTTCTAAAAGACAGATGCCTATTTCTATGAGGCATTTTTAGTGTCTCCAGGGATGAGTCAGGGGCCTGGCCTCGATGCTGGAGTCACATCTTCCGAGGACGATAGGGGGGCCACATACCTCCAGCTCTCAAGGACACCACATTTGTGACAAAGGCAGAAACAAAATGCAGAAAGTGTCTTCCGGTGCCAGAATGGGAAGCCGGACAGGGAGTCGGAGAATTTGGGGGCCCATGCCCAGTACCTGGATCACCTGGGCGCCTCCCTTTGCCTCCTGGCCTCCCATTCCACAAAGGCGCACTGAGCGGGGAGGACTGGGGGGCCCTGGGATTCCCCCGCAAAACCAATCAGACAGGAGGGCGATACTGGCTCCCTGCTCAGGCCTCAGGGGGTTCAGGCCCACGCGTTGGGATACTAGATGGGTGCAGAGGCGCTGCTCGCCACGGAGATGTGCGGCCAGTGTGTGATGGTGTGCGGGTCTCTCTGTCTCTCCGTAGAGCAGGGAAAAGCTCTTCACAGCCAACTCCTAGGGAATGACAGAGTGCAGCACTAGCTGAGCACCCACCGTGGGCCAGCTGCTGGCAAACCCTGTTCACCCCTTAGGTGATTTAATTCTTATGACTGACCCTTAAGGGGGTGGTCTGTTTACTGCCACTTCATAGCTGAGGACTCTGAAGCTCAGAGACATCTGGTCACTTGCTCATGGTCACACAGCTTTAGAAGCACTAGAGCCCGGATTGAATTCCAAGCCACTCCAAGGCCAAACCCTAGCTCTTCTCCCCATGTCAGGTTATGTCTACATAGATCTATCCTGACAGCTGTGATTCTATTCAGAGGATGCACAATGGACAGACGGTGTGAGCTGACGCGGAGCTCAAGGAAATTGGCCAAGGCAATGCTTTGCTCTAAATTCAGCCTCAGTAAACATTTATTGGCTGAGTGCATGCACAGATGGAAGAATGTCATCTCCTTTGTCACGACACAGAGATTTCACCTGAACCAAGTCCGCTGGAACCCCCAGGCAACGCGACTCCTCTCCTGCACCTGCATCTGCTCCCAAGAGCTGACAACCATCCACTTCTTGAGATCCAGAAAAGAACCTGTTTCAACAAATCAACCCCCTAGATTCATTTGCTTCAATCCTCTTGTAAAACTAATAAAAATGCAAAGTATTACCATAATTAAAGTTTTAAAATTATACCAAAATAAGTTAAATAGTTCCCATTACTCATATCATTTTTCAGAATGATATAAAAGATAATATTTACTATCTAGCAGTCATAATGAAAACTAATCTTTTAAGCACTTAATGGATTTTCTGATACAACTCAACCTGCTCCCCCAGTTATTCTTAAGCAGCTCCAATTTCAAATGCTGTCCTTACTGTAGCTGGTGTCAGGAATTCCCAGATGGCACTGAGGAGAATATGGATTTCAGGAACACAGTGACAGCGGCTCAAATCGCATCACCCAGGGAGGCTGCACCCACCTGCCAGCGCCTCCCTCAAGCTGCGATGTGAACCAGGAGTCACCACGTCAAGCCATCTCTCTGCCTGCCTGTGAATCCCACCCCACGCAGGGAAGAACCTGCCTTCCCCCAATGCCCTGGGAGCTCTGTTGTGCTGCAGCATATTCCAGGAAGACAGCCAATCAGGAGGGAGGGTCACAGCCAATCAGGAGGGAGGGTCACAGCCAATCAGGAGGGAGGGTCACAACCAATCAGGAGGGAGGGTCACAGGCGAGGCCCGGAGGAGTCCACGTGCTGGCTTCCTCATCCTCTTTTCCTCCCACAATGGGCCACCTGGAGCTCACTTTGCCCCAGCCAGTGAGTGAGGTTTCTACCTGAGGTTTTTACTAGGGGCTGGCCAGGTAGGTGCCCTAGGAGATCTGCCAGGACAGGAAGAGGCAAAGTTACCCCCTATTAAAAACAATCCCTCACTCTCCCATGTTAGACGGCATTCTAGGGGGAACCAGGAGTCACTGCTTGAACGTGCCTCTGAAAACTGGGAGCAGTCAGACCCTATCCATAGACCGCTGCCCAGGCCTCGCCTTGAACGAGGCAGTGCCTTCTCCGATTTCTTCCCCAACCACTCTATTGTTAGAGCACAAAGGCACAGGCAGGCAAGAGGACAAAGCTCTGTGGGTCAAGTCCTACAGGCAGGCATTTCAGGCCCTAGCAGCGAATTCCCACCCCAAGTCCCTTCAGTTTCCAACTAAACTGTCTTCCGAGGACTGGTATCATCAGGGTAGCAGCAGGATGACTGTTGCAAGATGATCCCTGAAAGGAGCTCAAGTTTAATGCTGCGCTGCCCAAAAACCGCCACTTGGCACTCCTGGGAAAAGCGCTGTGTTTCCAGGCACTGTGGTCCCACTGAGCTTGGGGAATGTCCTTGGCTCTAGTCTTAGACGGAAGACCCCATGTGGCAGTAATGGCATCAGTGTGGCTGTCCCTGAGAAGTGACTCAGAGGGTCACTTGAGGAAAAAACTGTCATTGAAACAGGGTCTATAATGAAGAAAATAAATGTGTATGGTAAATTTGGCATTTTCCTTAAAATACTCAGCAGGCACTGACTTCACATGTTGTAGCAAACCCAACTCTGTATCCAACCAATGGCATTATTCAGTTTCATTGTTTTTCTCTCAATTAAACATTGCTGACTGGGGCCAGTTTCACTTATGAGGGAAAAATGGGTTTAATGAGCTGTTAAAGGCTTATCTATGCACAGTTACATCTACTTCCAGCACCTGATTATTTTCAACTTCAGAAGCTCACAATCTCTCAAACAGATCATCAATACCCATCATTTCACAATAATCGTATTGATTCCAAGGTTAAGGGATTACTTTTGACTTTTAATGCTCTGCGGCTTTATCAGTGTTTGTGAATAAAATTTTAGGATGCACACAAGCCTTAACCACTGGAATTTCATGCACACTAGTGCGAATGTTCAGTATTTCCAACTCGTCAGGCTTTTTGAACTAGAAATCAAGACAGACATTGGAGGGCAGTTTAGAAAAACATTGGCAGCACACCAACATGGCACATGTATACATATGTAACTAACCTGCACGTTGTGCACATGTACCCTAAAACTTAAAGTATAATTAAAAAAAAAAAGAAAAACATTGTTAGAAAAATAAGGATGCTGATGACGCCTTTTTTTTTGTTTTTGAAAAAAGCTGTTTTCCATGGAAATGAAGTTCTCTGGGAAACAGTGAATGTCTCAGTGCAGAGAGGGCTGCATAGCAGCCTGACTGCTCTCTGGAGAAAGGTCCATTTGCAAGGTCAGCTTTCAGCTGCATCTGGGCACTTGGGTTTAGGGTGGGTTCCCACCACTCTCTGTGCCAAAACTGCATGTACAATGAGGTTGGTGCTGGACATCAGCTTTCCTCCTGGAAGTCTGGAATTCAAGTGCCTGCTGGGAAGAGGGTGCCTACCTGACCAGCCCCTGGTAGAAACCTCCCCCACAGGCTGCTGCATTGTTGTTGCAGGGAGGAGGGAGCTCCGTGTGGCCCGCATGGCAGGAAGACAGGAGAAGGAAGCCGGCAGGTGGACTCCTCCAGCCCCGCCTGTGTCCCTCCCTCCTGACGGGCTGTGTGTCCTGTGTGCTTCTGTGCTGCCATCATCCATCCTAACCATGAGTCCCAGTGAATCTCTGCATGTGGGGGTGATCGGAGGCCCTGACGCAGTCCCCGTCCCCTAACTCGGGTCTGGCTATGTGCAGGTGATGGCCCTCTTCCCCAGCAGCCTGGCCATGGGTTTTTTCCTGCACTTTTGTTCTTGGGTTCTAAGGCTGAGGATTGTGAGAGGAACTTCGGCTGCCTTGCGCCTGCTATGCCCTGGGGCACCCTGGAGTGGACACCTCCTTTGATTCTGATGTAGCGCATAGTCTGTTCAGGTTTCCAGGCAAAACCAGCCTTCTACAGGATGCCAATCAAAAAGGCAGAGCCCCTCCCTCCCAGGAGCTGACCGTGGCCCCTCTACCTGGGAAGAGGGATGATGGCTTCCTCCCCAGAGAGACAGAGCCTCCTGCTTAGCAGTCAGGGCGGGCTGGCTTACTGTCGTTGCCGTGAGCGAATAGCAGAGGCAAGAAAAAGGAACCTGAGATAAGAGTAAGGACTGCAGCTGCAGAGAGGAGCTCGGTGCAGTTAGGGGCGACACAGGCCATATGCTTGTGTCCCTAAAATTCATAGGTTGAAACCCAACCCCCAAGGTGATGGTGTCAGGAGGTGGGGGTTTGGGGAGAAGACCAGGTCATGAGAGTGGAGCCCCATGGATAGAATCAGTGCCTTATAACAGGCACACAGAGGGCTCTCTCGTGCTCTTTTCTCCAAGCAAGGACCCAGGAGAAGGTGACCATCTGCAGCCTGGAGGAGGCCGACCCTGCTGGCACCCTGAGCTCAGACCTCCAGCCTCCAAAACGGTGAGACGGTGACACTGGTGGCTGATAAGCCCTCAGTCCATGAGACTTTGTTGTAGCAGCCCAGCAGGACTGATGGGGGCAAGTGCCGGTGCCCTAATGACACAACCTTCCATTGGCCCCAAAGAGAAAACACGAGAGACTGAGGCCAGACGGCCCAGGAGGATCATCAAAAAGGGGACACAGGAGCTGGGAGGACACAGGGAAGCAGCAGGGGAGAGGCAAGAGGGCTGCCGAGGCTGGCTGGGGCGTGCTGTCTCAATGGTGGAGGAAGTGGTGGGGAACGAAGGCCTCCCTAAGGGCTCCACGCCGGATTCTAGTTTGCCGGCTAATCATTGTTAAATACATGCACATATTTGCTCAGAGCTTGACTGTGTTACTTCTAATCAATTCCTTTTTTCCTTTAAGATCTGGAAATCCCATTGGCTAACACAGCATGAGGTCAGCACAGCCAGGTCCAGGCCTGCACCGCAGTTGTGGCCACACCACAGCTGCCAAGCTGACGCAGGGATGCCACCACACAGCCAGGGATGGAGCCCACTTCCCCAGTGTCGGCCCAGGATGCCAGGCATCTGCAGAGCCTTCATCTGGGCCGAGGCTCCCACAGGAATGCCAACAACACATCCTCAGGCTCCTCCCTTTGAAGCACATGAGAGAACGGACACACCAACCCCCACTGGAAGCAGGTCAGAAAATAATGTAGTGGAATAATGGATAATGATGTTGATACATTCCTACAACTTTGGAAACATGTTTATTATCACAAAAAATAGAAACCTAGTCTGAGCTTCTATCAGCGGCTAAAGGAACTTGCCGCCTCCTTTTAACCCACAGTGAACAGGGGTATCAGCGGGACAGCAGGGACCCTTCGAGTATGTGGAATGTCCCATGTCATCCCTACAAAAGTGTGAGGCTGAGCGTCACATCCCAGCACAGCATAACGTCGACAGTTTCCTGCTATAATGACCTCCAAAGGAGGCCTGAGACACAACAGAAGGTGGAGGTTACCTCAAACATCCAACTCACCAAGTAGGAGTTTCAATCAAAGGAAGCCTGTGCCGATGTTTCTGTGTCCGTTCATATGTGAAGAAGCCCCTGTGGATGGAGACGGAAGATGAACTCTGTGGTCCTTCCAGCAGGGGACTTGGTGGAGGCCAAGTCTTCAAGTCTCCAAGTGAGGGGAGCACAGTCGTGGGTGGGTTCTGCACTGGCTGGGGTGGGCACATTTTGTGGAAATGCATTCTTTTTTTTCTTTTTTTTTTTTTTTTTGAGATGGAGTCTCACTCGATTGCCCAGGCTGGAGTGCAGTGGCACAATCTCAGCTCACTGCAACCTCCATGGGTTCAAGCAATTCTCCTGCCTCAGCCTCCTGAGTAGCTGGGATTACAGGCACCCACCACCACGCCGGGCTCAGTTTTGTATGTTTAGTAGAGACGGGGTTTCACCATGTTGACCAGGCTGGTCTCGAACTCCTGACCTCAGGTGATCTGCCCACCTCAGCCTCCCAAAGTGCTGGGGTTACAGGCGTGAGCCACTGGGCCAGGCCTGGAGATGCATTCTTAAGGCATTATCGTGGAAGCATATCTCCCCTATGGGCTGGAGGAGCCTGGAGAGAAAGGGGTTGCCTTTCCAAACGGCCCTGTTTATGACAATGGAATTTAGAATTTGCAGCTGAATTTTCCAAGCTCTGCAATTCTTTCTTTGCTTTTCTTCCCCGTCCATTACTTGTAGCACAGACAGAAGGAAGAAAGCTGGAGAAAAGGGCGAGATGCAAAACTGACCACGCAGATTACTCCTCGTACCTGCCATAAAAATTGCGTGGAAGAGCTTGAAAGAAAAGGCGCTAATGAGGTTTGGGGTCATCAGCGGCTCCCTGCCTCCCCGAGAACAATAACCAAGGCTTCATCACATTCTCCTAAACCACAAAGGAACCAACAGCTAAATGATAATGATAAAAAATAATGACTATGTCCCTGTTAAGTGCTCATTTCAATATCACACTCTGAGTATTCTATGTTTATGCATTTCAGAAACCAAAAATTGATCATTTATGAGTCAGACAGGTCCAGATACAGGGGTGGAAACATAATGAATTAAGATGACATGTTTACTGACTCTGTGCCAAGTGCAGATATATTTCGAAATAATCATTGTATCTACCATAATTTAGTAGAGAAAGGCCAATTGAGCCTTCACTGCATGAGGTCATGTATTATTTCACCAAAAGTTACATCTTAGATTGGAAAGTATTTATAAATATTAAGCAGCACAAAATAATCAAGCTATTATTCCCTGGGAATGAAATGCGTTTCCCCACCTCCTCCGTGCTGCCTAAGAAATGTCGGAAGATTCAATACAGAAGCCATTATGAGAACACAATGTGTTTGCAGTTAGACATTTGGATGGAATCCAGACCCCACCACTAATTAGGAGTTGGGTCTTCAGCTAGGCCGACCTGAGGTACCTCTGCTGCAGGATAGGGACAAGCCTCTATGCAGAAGGGCCCTCAGGATGGAGGATTTGAGTCTTCAGCACAGAGCCCAGCACCAAGGAAGCACTCAAATAATGACGAGACCCCAAGACGGAGGATTTGAGTCTTCAGCACACAGCCCAGCACCGAGGAAGCGCTCAAATAATGACGAGACCCCAAGACGGAGGATTTCAGTCTTCAACACAGAGCCCAGCACCGAGGAAGCACTCAAATAATGACAAGACCCCAAGACGGAGGATTTGAGTCTTCAGCACAGAGCCCAGCACCGAGGAAGCACTCAAATAATGACGAGACCCCAAGACGGAGGATCTGAGTCTTCAACACAGAGCCCAGCACCAGGGAAGCACTCATGACAAGAGGGAGACATTATCTCCTGTTTACACAGAACGGCAACCTTTCATTTGACATCTTGTACCGGAGTCTGCCTTTCTCTTAAAAGATGACAGTGGCTTCCTATCTTCTCTTGTCAGAGAAGCTGCCCCTCTTCCAAGATAACTGAGTTTGCCTCAAAGACTTCTCTTCTCAAAAGGAAAACTCCCTCGCTGGCATTCCCTGGCCTGTCTGGTGCCCCCACAAAGAACATTCACTAAAACGTCCCAAGCCTGAACCCCCAAGTAACACCCAAGACCCTGATTCTGTGGGTCCCGAGAAGGCTGGTTCTGGGACCAGAGGTGGCACCGAGATGGGATGGCATGTTCGTCCTCCTTTCCTCACTGGTCACTCGCCAGCTACTCAGGCAGTGAGGGGTCCTCTGTCTGTGGTGGCCACATTCACAGGAGGGCCAGTGGGCCTTGTCTTCCCAGACAGGTAGATAAAGAATAAATGCACGCTCTGTGTATCTATTACCCATCGTAGGTTCTACTCACCCACTCTTCTAGTAAGTGTGTGTTGTGTGTGTGCATTTGCACACACATGTGATCAGATCCTGATGTCAAAGGCATTGTTAATGATGGATCTGGTCAAGGAAGTGTGAAGTCCTCTGGTCTAGAAGGAAGGAACTGGCTCTGAGTGGTTGGCTCTGTTCCCTAGTCCACTGGGATAATTTGCCATCCTAGAATACCATAAACTCTCTTCCATGTGGTTTCTGTGTGTAGCCACTGCGGGGTGAGCAGCTCTGGATGCCCCTCGCCATTTCCCCCTGGGGATGACACATGGCCTTCACTCTGGATGGATCTCTCTTGTCGTCGGATGGTTCCTACCTGGCCTGGGACTGCTGGACTCTCTCCCACTTTCCTATGAAGCTTCTTTCCTGCTTGCACAAAAACAAGTCCATCTCCACACGTCAGAGACAGGAACATAACTGAGAAGGGACTGAACACGCCATGAATCCACCACTTCTGAAGCATGTCCTGCTCTGTTCACTCCTGTCTGCTAGGAGAAACCCCTTTATACACACTCCATGTTAACCTTTTCCTCTTGTGCTTCATGGTGAGCTCATGGCATTTGCAGACTCATTTCTGTCCCTTAACCTTCAGCTTTCTCATCTTCCCATCATCACATTGGCTCGCGATGCCCTACCAGCTGGCTCCTTCATCATTTCCACTCTGTCCTTGCCCTTAAGGAAAGGATTGTCTCTTTCTGGCAACAGGAAGTGTGTGTTCAGAGAGAGGGACGCTCCAAGCCACCCTCATCTTTTCCTGCCTCAAGGCTGAAAGACATCAGTTGCCCTGCAAGGAGTCCTGGTTGCAGTTATTGGAAAATAACACCAGGAACCACAAGCTGGAGCAGGAGGTTGCACAGGTGGTGGGGAGGTGCAGACACAGCGCTGTTACTGTTGGACAATGGAGCTGAAGCGGGCCTTTTAAGTGTTTGAATTCACCTTAATTTTTCCAAATTGCACATATTTTTAGGGCTTTGTATTTTTATATAGTATAAGATGTTATCAACGATGACAATTTTTGCTGTGCTGACAGTACAAAGGAAATAAAAAGAATTATCCACAGGGGCCCTTCGGATGGATGCAGGCTGTGCCCCCAGGAGAGCCAGCCGAGACCTTGAGGCTGAGCCAGATGGGCATGTTACCTGTTACCTGGCGGGCCACCACCTCCCTCATTCATTTTATTCAACAAATACCTTCTGAGGACCTGCTTCTGCCTCTGTCATGCTCCGATCCAGGCTGTTGTTAAGCAGCCCAGATGGGGGTGGCTGGCAGAAAGCAACAGCTTCAAGCTCTGTTTCCACCTGCACCCCTCACGCTGATCCCCGCGTGGCTCTGCACTCCCAGCTCTCGTCCCTCCTGCTTTTACGGAGGTGACATTTAATGAGTCGTTCAATCCAGCCTAATTCTCCCCATTTAGGTCATTATCTCCTTGGGGAAGCTGCTTCACGCTTGGAAACAGCCAGAGAAAGCTCTGGTCCTGCCCCCAGACCCAGCCCTTCAAAATCGCCATTTATCCCCAGTTCTGCAGCCGACACCAAGAACTCAGGGAGAGACTTGCTGCCTCTCTGGCTGGCGACTTCTCCAGAGAAGCTGTGAGTGGCACCCAGGCTGACACAGCCACCACGGCTCGCTTGTGGACAGGGGATGGATCCCCAACAATTTCTGTTTCCAAGAGAAACACCAACCTCGTGTTTGCCTCTGAGAGCTTATACATACTGATATGTTAACCGCAGGAAAGCCAACCAAGATTCTATGGCAGCTGAGCCTGACTCCTCTTCATTTACCAGCATTTTCCTATGGGCAGCACAAACCATGTGAGAGAAGCCCATGAACTGTATGAGCAAATTCACACTGGACTCCTGGGGTTCACTGCAGATCAGTAAAGGTCCCCCTATGCCCCAAAGAGTCCCTTAGCACCCAGATAGCACCAAACCAGAAGGCAATCAGTCTTGCTCAACGGGCCACTGGATCTTCCCAGCACACACACACACACACACGCACGCAAACATGCACACACATACATTTGTACACATGCAAACACACATGCACACACATGCATGTGCACACACACACATGCATGTGCGCACACACACAAACACACACGTGCACACACACGAAACACACACACTTAAACCTAGAAAGATCAAGAACAAAAACAGCTACCTGTTCATAGGCTTTTCATGAAAAAAGGACCATTAAGATCACTCCATGATCTAAGACAGTGCACATAAAGTGCCTACTGCAGAGCCTATTGCAGAGCCTGCTCTACAAGTACGTTTCTTTTCTACATTTGGTTAAAAACAGGTCAGAAAATTCACATCTAGTATAAAATTATTAATGTTTTCCACAGAAGCTGGGATCTAAATATTCAAACAGACCCGAGGTCGTCGCCCCTACACTCCGTGTCTTTAATCAGCACAAGGACAGCCCCGTCTCATGTCACTTCTCCCAGGAAGCTGACAGCACCTAGGGCTAGGGCTTCTGCAAGGAGTAGCCCTCATACGTTTTCACTTCCAATCTTACATTTTCATTTTGCAATGCAGCTACTCATGTTTCCCAGAGATTAATAAACAGTCTTTTTCCTTAAAGGCTCTGCTTGTCCTCAGAGACAGGTGCCCAGGGGTGCAAGCAATGCAAACCTGACAAATGGCCAAATCAAGAAATCAAGAGCACTTTGGGGAGTCAGCGATGATTTCCTGCACACGGATCAGCATGGTGGTGGGGCTGAGTGGCCGCCAGGCGGCCTGCTCCATCACTGTTAATGTGATGTGACAAGGCTATTTCTCTCCCCCAGTCAGTGGCTGGGCAGACGCAAGAGACTTGGCTCCACTGCATAAGTCAGTCCACTTGAAATTAAGTATTAAACAGGGTAAAACAAACCTTGTCTTTGGTGGTGAGACACATTTCCAGAGGGGAAAAAAGTCTTTGTGGTGAAATAGCTTTAAAACAACTCCATGGGGTCAAACTCTGCTGCAGCCCTGTGGCGAGCAAACTCTTGTCCTAATTTCTTTCCCATTATTTGGTTGCATTGCTTTTCCAAGTTGAGATTGGGGTGTAAATAACACACAGGCTAGTGCACTGATGGAGCTCCCAACAGCTGCAGGTGTCTCTCGTGAATTTCTCTTGTTTCTGATTTCAGACTTCACCCAGTTCTTCTAGAGGATAAGGAATAACTCTGTTCCCACTTTTAGAGAGTTGAAAGAAAGTCAAATCGAAAAGGTGAAACTCTTGAATCCTCAGAGCAACCCAGGGCAGAAAAGAAATGCAAACGTGTCATTCTGCCATTTGTAGTAAGACTCTCATTATCAAGGGAAGCTGAAATGTTTAGAACAAAAGATTTGCTCAGTGTAAGCATTTGCTGAGAAGCAACTGTGCACCAGCCATCGGGGTTACCAAGAGGAATATGACATGGACTCTGCCCACAAAGAGCCTCCATTCGAAGGGAGGAGACAAACCAGCGCCATGTGAGACAGACGGTGTAAGCACTGAGATGAGAATGGAGAGACCAGGATGGGAAAGACATGGCCGGGCAGTTATTGTCTAACTTAAGTTAGAGGAAGGACAAGAAGAATCCCCGCAGGTCCAGAGGGAGTGGAGATGGCAGTGGTTTAAGGCAGGGGACCAGCAGGGATGAGGAAAGGAGCCCACAGGTCTGGAGAGATCAGACACAAGCCACTGTTCTAATCCCAGAGAGTAGCATTGATGGTGGTGGAGCAGACAGCAAAGACAAAGTTGGGAAAAAGAGACAACTTGGTGACTGATTAGATGGGAAGAGAAGGAATGGGTGAGAAGGAGAATTCAAAGAGGACGTTGAGGTTGGGTCTTATATGAATATGATTCCTCATCCAAGACAGAAAGTCAAAGAGAAAGGTCAGTATGAGAAATGTGGCATTTGAGGTGTCATCAGGGTATGGACAGGTACGTCAACCAGGAGCCCAGAAGACAGATCTCTGTTGGAACTGCACCTGGTGTGGGTGTAAATCACTGGGATCAGTGGATGAGAGGTGTTCAGGTAGAAGTGGACCACGAATGGAGCTCTATGCAGCTCCCACACCCACAGTGTGTGAGAGAGAGGGGAAGGGTGGGCTGAGATGGTGAGAAAACTAAAAAAGTCTCATCAGAAACACATGATGCACCAAGGGTCTAGCTGAAGGTAGATAGCAGCTGGATAAGTGCCCCTGTATGGTAATGACACAGTTGTCCCTCCAATATCATTCAGCATCTTCCATGATAAAGGGACCAGATGATTGGGTCACCCTAGCTGGGCAGTCAACTCCATCTGTAGGCGTCTACTCTTCTAGGTGCTGTGAGGGACACAAAAGCATGGCCTCCAGTGTCAAGGACCCACCATCTAATAGGAGACAAGACTTACACACATGAAGTATATTGATAACAGAGCATGGAAATTCTGGATTCATGTCTAAACTTTTCAGAAAGAAAACACACAGAAACACACACACACACACAGCGGGTTGGAATTTGGTGAGTTTGTAAAGGAAGGGAGGTAAATTATTTAAGGAAATGGCACACAAAGATAACCAGAGGAGAACAATAAACTACTAGCAATAGGGTAGTTTTAAATTCAGCATTATCAATAATTATATTAAGTAGAAATGGTCTAAAAAACAACTAAAAGACAGAGATGATCAGACAATAAAGAAGTAAGATCAAAATATATGCAATCTGCAAGAAACTCACTTTTAATATAGATGAGCATACATATATGTATAAAATTATATGATACATACACATGTTAAATGCAAAAGGATGGGGAAATATATACTGTATAAACACTAATAAAAAGAAAGAGACTTGTCCTGCTTATATTAATGCCAGAAAAAATAGACTACAGAATGGGGACAATTACCAGAGACAAAGAAGGACATTATATGAGAATAAAGTCAACTCCCCAAGAAGACATAACAATCCTAACTCTCTATGCACCTGACAACAAAGCTTCAATGTACATGAAGCAAAATCTGAGAGGACTGAAAGGCAAAAGTATACAGATCTACAAAGAGAGTTGGAAACGTCACTGGTTCCCTTTGAGTAATTGAGAAAACAAGTGGACAGAAAACCAGCAAGAATATGGAATATCTGAATAACACCGTCAGCCAACTTAACCTAACTGGCACTTATAGGATGTTCCACACAATGACAGTGGAATCACATTCTTTTCCAGATTAAATTAAATATTCATTAAGATAGGCCATATTCTTGACCTTAAAACCTCAACAAACATAAAGGAAAAAAACATCATACAAAGTATGTTCTCTAATCCAAATTAAGTTAAACTAGAAATCAATAACAGAAAGATATCTGGAAAATGCCTCAAAATGCTAAATTAAATAACACGCTTCTAAATAATATATGGGCCAAAGAGGAAGTCACAAGGAAAATTTGAAAATATCTTTAATTGAATGGAAATAAAAACACAATGTTATCAAATGTGCAGGATGAAGCCAGGTCAATGCTTTAACAATAAGGTCACATAGAAAGGAAAAAGTCTCAATCAATCATCTAATCTTCCACCACTAGAAAATAGAAAAAGAACAAGTGCAAGGAAGGAGAAGGTATAAAGTAATAAAGAGAAGCACAAAAATTATAGTTTGAAAACAGAAAAATGATGGTGAGAGACATCACTGTTCTTTTCACTGTATACTCTCAGGACCTCAAGACCCAAAGCTGGGCTTCCAGCCCAGCTGCTTCCCTTGAACAGAACCAACAGGTCCCTCACGTGCACTCATCACCTTTCTCCCCAGCTGGCTCCTCTTGCTGGGTTCCCAGCACCACTCCCCTATCACTCACCCAAGCCCAAATCCTGCAGGTTGTCCTTTTCTTCTCTCTCACCAACCTCCACATCCACACAGGTACCAAATCCTATTAATTGTATCTCCCTAAAACTCCCCTTCCTCTCCATCTCTATACATAACACTCTGTTTCAAGCCTTTACCTTCTAACTCCCAGTAGTCAATGGCCTCCTCCTAAAAGATGCCCCAATCCAGCCACCAGCTCAGACTGCAGCCTCCAGGATCTCCTGAAGGCAAGTCTGACCAAGGGCACATGATTCAGTGTTTAATAGGATGAACAGGATTGAAACGGGAAGGAGCCCACTCCAAATGCAGGGATGGATGATGCCTAAACTGCACTGCAAACAACACTGCCAAACGTTTCCACTCAGATACTTAGGAGAACTGCACCTGTAAACAGTAACTGACATATTTTCTTAAATCCAATACATAGTGCCCATCAGTAAGCCACAATGCAGCAATTCCTGTTAAAGAAACCAAAAAGTAGTTTTCAGTCATTTACTTCATACCATGCTAAGACCTTGGGTCTAAAAAGGCAACATAGAATGACATCACATTTGAAAATGTCAAGTCTAAGGTCCCAGAGCTGCTGACTCAGGAGGGCTGGGGGCAGGCCTGCAGGAGGCGTCTCGCCATGCCATATGGGTGGATGCACACGGAAACACATGGGATGTTTCTACCCAAAGCGGCAGCTCGGTTTTGGAGTTGCTTTCGTTTTTCTTTTTTAACTGAGTTAAACTGACTATTTAACTGAATGATCAAGGGTTTCTTTTTGTTTGCTTGTTTCAGTTTGTTGATTTTGATGGTGGAGAGGCAGTTAGACTAAATTGGTAATTTTCATGTAGGTGTTGGCAGGGAGGGACTGGCAGTCTGGGTGCTGTTAGGCCCACACAGCAGCCTTGACCCAGGCCCTAGGATGTATTAATATCTACAGAGCCCAGCTTGCAGGCTACGGCCCACGCCCTGGTGCAGCTGGTATATCACGATGACTTCACAGGACCCAAGAATGGAAACCTATGTCTAAGTTATCAATAACCAAAAATAGCTCACAGGGGAAAGGCATTTTTAAAAAAAAACTGAATAGAGGCTGAGCGCAGTGGCTCACACCTGTAATCCCGGCACTTTGGGAGGCAGAGGAGGGCAGATCGCTTGAGCTCAGGAGTTGGAGACCAGCCTGGCCAACATGGTGAAACCCCGTCTCTACTATAAATACGAAAATTAGCCAGGTGTGGTGGTGCACAACTGTAATCCCAGCTACTCGGGAAGCTGAGGAACAAGAATCACTTGAACCCAGGAGGTGTGAGGCTGCAGTGAGCTGAGATTGTGGCTCTGCACTCCAGGCTGGGCAACAGAACGAGACCCTGTCTCAAAAACAAAAAACAAAACGAAAAAAACAAAACAAAACAAAACAAAAAAAACTGAATAGAAAAGGAAAGCAAAGAACCATCTAATCTAAAGAAAGCTTTATTTGGTCCAAAGTTAGTTATTTTCACCTTCGACTAGCTTGTACATAGGTGTCTGTCATTGACTGGACCTATCTGTTGAAAGTGAAACTCCTTCGCTAAGAGCCCCTACTACCTAACCTACAACGACCTTCATTTTATCCCATGTCAAGGGCACACCCACGGAAGAAAAGCCAACTTCAGGGGACCCAAACTTCCAGAGATGCCTCCGTGGGCAAGGAGAAGAGCTGGAGTCCCACTGGCTCATCTGTCCCCAGCCTCCTCTGACATCTTCGTGTGTCTGTTCCCTCTAATAGCGAGGAAGAAACTAGGTGTTCATTTGCATTTCTGTGAGCCAAGCAGGAGCTAAAGCAATGTTTTCCGGTTTAGAGAGAAATGTCAACAGAGCATTCTTGAACCTGCTGGAGTCTATCTGGATCACAATGGAAACTGAAAATTACATATCTGAACACACTGTTTTGTAGTTAAAATACATGCATATAGCCAAGAAATCAACTCCTTGATGTAATGGCGTACTCTTCAAGTAATAAAATGGAAGCCAGACGTTTGGGGGATGTGGCCACGCCATAGACACAGACCCTAAACCCACTCAGGCCCTGAGCCTCGAGCCCAGAGCGCTCCACTTCCCTACTCCACAGAAAACCCCCAGGACATGGTTCAAAGAGACCCCTCAGGTCTCCCTCACCGCACTGTGCCCTCTGTGGATTGGAGTTAGGAGGGGCAGAAGGTACCAAAGGGGAGATGGAGGTGCTCTCCGTGTGGACACGCCTCCTGGTGTCAGCAGGAAGAATTCAATCCTAGAAGTCAATAAGCAAACCCAACACCACCCTCATCCCTTGCTGCCCTGGACGAGGTGGAAATGAGAATGGCTTTCAGACTAGCGGGGCAAAAGAAAGGAACAGTATGCCTTCATTCTAAGACACAGAGATTAGGACTTTAATTTAAAGGGGATCATACCCATTTTTGGAGGAAGAAACTGCCAAATAGTCTGAAGTAACAAAGGATATTGAACATTGATCATTTAGACACACACAGAATGCTAGGTTGTATTTTTCATAAACATGTGTGGGAAATCTTTGTTTATGGCCTTGTCCTACATCCAAGATCAGGGTTCTCCTTGTATTCTCATTGCATTAACGTGTCCTAATGCGCCCCTGAAGATAACTCCGACCACACTGTGTGTAGAGCTCAACAGTAAACTCAGTGCGTTTTTCCCTGAGAACTTTAGAACCAGAAAGAGTGTCTTCAGCGGCCTGGCAGGAGGCTCCAGTGAGCTCTGTGCTGTCTGCCGGCCCAGGCCTGTGTGGCGTGGGTTTGTCAACACAGATGAAGAGCAGATGGGATGTTTTCTTCAAAACAAGTGAAAATTCTTTCCTCATTGTCTCTCTACCCACTCCACCAGAGGAAAGGCCCCACCCCTCCAGGCAGCATAAAGAGAGGGTGGATGTCAGCACAGGAAGAGGCACCTGCCAGGGCAGCCCAGCCTCCATGGGGGACCCTAGGAAGACACAGACAGGTAGCAAGAATGGTTTAGCATGAGCTTTGCTCAAATGACTGCCCAAAAGTGCTGCATTGAAGATCTGAGGAGTCCAGGAGAGGGAATTACTTAAGCCAAATCCATCAGTCATGAATGTTCCAGAAAGTAGACAGAAGGCATACTGATGAATAAGAACAACACTGTAAGGAACATGGCTGCACTGCAGCCAAGTGGGCATAGGCCAAGGTAAACATCCTGTGTACTCAGCAAGTTTCGAGCACAGGTGTGTAACTCCACTTGTTATCACAGCCACGTAGCCATAACACGGAAGGCCATCACTTGGCTGTAAGCCACTATTGTCTGTAAAAGGTATAACTGCCCTGCTTGCGCCATACAGATGCTCTTGGGCTCGGCTCAGCTCTTGGGCATGACTCCACATGGCTCTTGCTGCTGGCACCCAGAGAAAGAGAGAGAGAACCAGAGCTGTCCATCTTGCAGATGGACCGAGGGGAGCCAGAGAACGGCATGGCTCGACATGGCTCAACATGGCTCGCGCTCATGCCCAGAGAGAGAAAGAGTTAAGCTGCTGACCCTGAAGGCAAGGGAGAGCTGGCTGTGCAGCTGTGCATGGGAGCCGGCTGCTGAGAGAAGCCACAGAACTGGAGCAGACAGCCAAGATAAAGGCAGACAGTGTAAGAGAGCTGCTGATGAGAGAGCTGCTAGTGAGTAAGCTGCTGATGAGAGAGCTGCTGAATAAAGCCACATCTAATTTACCTGCTGTCTCTTGAGTATTCTTCCAGCTCCCTGCACTCTGCCCACCCACTCCCCTCGGACCTCAGCTGGGGCTGGAACCTGACTAACTCCTACTTTCAGATACTTACTGTGGGCCAGGCACTGTGCTCAGCACTTCCCATGCACCAGCTCCTGACTGCCCAGTTGTGTGGGAGGAGGGCACTGGCATTGTCTTCATGACACAGATAGGGAAACTGAGGTTTAAAGGGGTGAAGTTCCCTGCCTGATGTTACTCAGCTGGTACCTACCACAGCCAGGGTTCTGACCAGGTGACTTCCACAGTCCCTCCTAAATCTAGCGCCCTGAGTATGGAGCTATTCAGCCAGAGCGCTGCACAGTACAGGGGAGTGGAGCCCTTGGCACCATCTACAGACACCGACCCCAGTTGAACTTGGGCACATGGGTTCATCTCTCTGAGTGTCCCTGTCCTAGGCTGTTGGGCTTGCATGGAGGTCTGACCTTGGCCCTCTTCTGTCAGCTGCTCCAGGCGACCTCATCTGTCCTTGGGTTTTAGCCATTGCCACACCATTACCTCCAAAGGATCCTGACCTTTAATCTTGCCACCTTTAATCCTGACCTTTCCCAGAATCCCAGGCCCATATTTTAACCATGTATGGGATGCCCAGCAGGTGCCTGAAACTTAGCTTCGTTAAAAGTAACCCACCTTATTCCCCCAAGTTTGCACATCACTCTCATCAGCCATCCCAGTCAGGACCCACAGTCACCCCACCCCACCCCTGTCCCTCCCTATGTCTGTGAGGCTACTCTAGAAATATCTGCCCACCCCACCCCACCCCCACCACTGCAGTGTGCATCTCCATCACCCCTCATGGCCCATCACTGGAGCCTTCCACCTGTGTCCACTTCAACAGGGTCTCCACACTCAAAGGTAGCTACATCTTGTGATGTTGGAGGTGGGCTTTGCATTGGTGAGAGGGGACCACACACGCACACACACACACATGCATGGGCATTCAATTTAGATGGGGCTCCTGACACAGAAATGCTAAGGTGATCAAGCCACCCAGTGCACAAACAGATGCACAAGCTTCCTTAGTTTCTGAAATCCCTAATGGGGGCTAGGGGAGGGGCACACAGATGCTGTTGATATCACCACAAATTAGTAAATTAGGGTCTTAATAGACCGAAGAACCTAACTCTTCTTGTATCAAGCTTCCTTGATGCTGGGAGGTCTGTACCGCTAATTATGAAGGACTTATGCAAATCATCTTGCCCTTAATGGAAATTCTTGCAGATCTCAAACAATGTCACGGTTCTCAAAACTCATCAGGCCTGCATCACTCCTCTAACTCCAGGGAGCAGAGTCAGGGCTGGGGCGTCTTTAAATAGCACCTCCAACTTCCTGGCATCCCAGAAAGCCCCCTTCCCCATGGGTCCCGTGCCTCACTTAAGCCTCTCTTAGCTGGCAAGCTTTGCTGTTGAGCTGGTACCAAGACCTTCATTGCATCCCCCAGGATCTGATGAGTGGGCATTTGTCAAGAAACTGTGGGTTATATATGTATAGTTTCTATAATTTGAAACTGATCAGTGGCTCCCATTAAGTTTCTCTATTCTTTTTCTAGTATGTATTATATTTTTCACTCCTTTTGAATATCACCTTGGACCTACAGATATTTACAGATTCAGCTGTAATCACCAGGGCCTGTCATGGTTTTGTTTCTGAAGTTGAAATTGCCACATGTGACCTGGTGATGTCCCCTCAAATCTGACTCCACCGTCACCACCTCCCCACATTTGAATGCATCCTTGTTTTCTCAGAATAGATGTTCTAGGCCTGTCTTCAGTTCTCTTCCTCCAAATGTGGGAGTCAATAACTCTCGAAGTAGCCCTGGTTCCTTTTAGCAGAGAACGGCACGAGAAGCCCACATCTGAGCCCCAGGAGGGCACAGTAGACTGGATCACATCAGAGCAGAACAAGCTTCCCTTTTTAAAAGGCTACAGGTTCATGTTGATATTTTCCACTTATCTCTGTGTTTACCAAGCACATCGGAGAGCATGCTCGTTCCTCCTTCTGATTAGACTTCCTGGTCTTTGTCCATTGCCTTGGACACACTGTTACAGAGCCTCACATCAAGAAGGGCTTAAACTACTGTAATGCCAAAAACTGTGCAAGACTTCGCTTTCTTGTCTCTGACCCGTAGGTCAAGCATCCCGGAGTGGACTTCAAAGTATAAAGTCTAGACAACCTCCCGTCATCACCTCTCAAGCTTCAACTGAAAGAAAATGAAATTCCATCCTCTTCAGGGCACAGGGTATTGAGAAAAACTTCTGAAGCTATGGTAAAGAAAGGAAAACTACAGACTCAGTGCCCTTGAACTCTTCATTCTCATGAGCCGTGATATCATTGCTTGTCTGTTATCTCGTGTGGGTTGGCGTGCATTCCAGTTTCTTTTAGCTGTTGGATAAATACAAATACTTTACCAGTCCATCATCGCAAAATAATAGCACTGTCAGAAAATACACCAGGGTAATGGTCATGAATCTGTCGCAATTTTTAAAACTTCACCAAAAAAAAATTAAGATTAGCTTTGTAGGACCATATCATTTGCACAATTATATTGGGGTTCTAGAAGAACCAGATTACAAAAGATATCCCAAATTATTTTCATTATATTTTTCAATTTTAATTTTTTTTTTTTTTTTTGTAGACGCAGTCTCGCTCTGTTGCCCAGGCTGGAGTGCAGTGGCATGATCTCGGCTCACTGCAAGCTCCGCCTCCCAGGTTCATGCCATTCTCCTGCCTCAGCCTCCCTAGTAGGTGGGACTACAGGCGCCCGCCACCATGTCTGGCTAATTTTTTGTATGTTTAGTAGAGACGGGGTTTCACCGTGTTAGCCAGGATGGTCTTGATCTCCTGACCTCGTGATCCGCCCACCTCGGCCTCCCAAAGTGCTGGGATTACAGGCATGAGCCACCCCACCCGGTCTTTAATTTTTGTTTAGATTATATCCATATAACTTCGGCCACCAACCAAGTTAGAGGTATAGTTTGTTGTTTCTCACAGAAGCTGACATAGGAACTTTGTAACGTTACAGTCTTGGAAAATTACTGCATAAAACATCCAAATAATTGAATGGAATGAAATATACCAATCCATATCCCTAATTTTGCATAACAGAAATAAAATTTATCTGGGTAAATTGGTAGATAGAAGGCAATAAAATACCAATTATGGGTGCAGTCCTGCCAAAATCCAACCCAGCCCCCCAGGCGCTGAGATTTCCTCTTGGATCTAGATGGGGCCAGGGAGCTGGGGTGTCCTGACTTCCCACGTGCTGCTGCTGCTGGTCTTTGTGGCTCCCCCAGGATGTAGCTGCTTCCTACAAGCTGTCACTTGGGGCTGGCAACACTGACCGGCCCCATTCTGTGTGTCAGATAAATGCTAGATGATGAGATGTTCCTGGGGCAGTGACCACCTGCTGAGCACGTTCACACCTAAAATGCATTTAGGCAGGAGAGGACTGGGAGTGTGGAAGGCTCTGGCTGCCTCGGGAAGGGGTCAGAAGACTCTACTTTGGAAGTGAGCTCCCCACAGAGCAGTTCCCCTCAGAGCCCACACCTCCCTCTCGTGAGAGTTGGAGAACACCCCTCACTCTTCACCTTGGATGACACTCCTCCCTCTTCACCTTGGGGAACATCCCTCCCTCCTCACCTTGGATGACACCCCTCCCTCTTCACCTTGGATGACACCCCTCCTCTTCACCTTGGGGAACACCCCTCGCTCTTCACCTTGGGGAACACCCCTCCCTCTTCACCTTGGATGACACCCCTCCCTCTTCACCTTGGTTGACACCCCTCCCTCTTCACCTTGGATGACACCCCTCCCTCTTCACCTTGGGGAACCCCCCTCCCTCTTCACCTTAGGGAACACCCCTCACTCTTCACCTTGGAGAACACCCTTCCCTCTTCACCTTGGATGACACCCCTCCCTCTTCATCTTGGAGAATACGTCTCCCTCTTCACCTTGGAGAACACCTCTCGCTCTTCACCTTGGATGACACCTCTCCCTCTTCACTTGGGGAACACCCCTCCCTCTTCACCTTGGATGACACCCCTCACTCTTCACCTTGGATGACACCCCTCCCTCTTCACCTTGGGGAACCCCCCTCCCTCTTCACCTTAGGGAACACCCCTCACTCTTCACCTTGGAAAACACCTTTCCCTCTTCACCTTGGATGACACCCCTCCCTCTTCATCTTGGAGAATACGTCTCCCTCTTCACCTTGGGGAACACCTCTCGCTCTTCACCTTGGATGACACCCCTCCCCCTTCACCTTGGGGAACACCCCTCACTCTTCACCTTGGGGAACACCCCTCCCTCTTCACCTTCTCCTGCCTCTAACCCTCCCTCTTCACCTTCTCCTGCCTCTACCCTTCCCTTTTCACCTCCTGCCTCCACCCCTCTGACTTCCCTGGGCTTGGTTAGGTCTGGATTGTGTCAGGGTGGGAGTTTCACGCCCCTTTACTTTGGGGATGCGGGGACAAGCACCAGCAAGGGCCCCTGGGCTTGGCTCCCCCAACTCTGAGGGAGCCTTCGCCTGCTCCTCCACCTGACCCTGCCTGTCCAGCTGCTGGGCCGCACCAAGAGGCAGGAAACTCCCCTCTCTCCCAGAGCTCAGAGACTTGTAACTTCTCATGAGTCTCTTTTCAATTTTTTAACCACTTTAGTGAGGTCTGATTGACATACAAAAAGCTGTGCATATTTAATGTGTACAACTTGATGGGTTCAGAGGTAGGTACACACCTGTGAAACCATCCTCCCAGTCTATGCTGTAAGCATATCCATCACCTCCAGAGGCTCCTTTTTATTTATTATTGTAGATGATAATTTCACATCAGATCTCACCTAGGAGCAAATGTTTATGTGTACAACACAGCACTGCTAGCAGTAGGCACTGTGCTGCACGGTCGGGCTCCAGGACTTACTCATCTTGCTACCTGACCCTTGGTACACACTGACTCCTGACTTCCACCCTCTGATTCTCTGAGTGTGACTGTTTTAGGTCCCTCACATTAGTGGGGTCCTGTCGTACCTGTCCTTCTGTGCCTGGCTTATTTCACCTAGCATCAGGTCCTGGTTCATCCACATTGTTGCAAACAGTGGGATTTCCTTCCTTTTTAAGGCTGAATAATAGTCCATCGTATGGATAGACCACATTTTATTTATCCATTCATCTGTGCATCTGGCCTCTTTTCCTTAACTCCCCTTTTTCAGATTAAAATTCATACCTCTTTTTATGATATTTCTCTGCATTTTTAAATGTTTTCTACTTTTAAGTGCAACAATCTTTAATTTTTTTAAATTATACAAAAGGAATGAGAGCTGGTCAGCCTTTTTTCTCCGCTCAGAAACCACAGAAGTCATGAGTAACTGCAAACCAAGTTGTTCAGAGAACAAAGGAGGGAGGCGAGGCAGTGACCCAGAGACCCCTTCCCCGGATTCCTGGGTGTGCCAGAAACTTGGGACAGTTTCCTGGGCTGGGAGCAGAGCCAGCCCTCTTTACTTCATGTGGCTCCAGTCAAGCAAGGATGACTTTTCCAGATAACATTATTCTGGAAACATGCAAGTGGGATAACACTCTTCAAATTTTCTCAGGACCATTTTAATTCAGTATCTTAGGGAACTGTGCATTATCTTAGGAATTATAAAATATACATTGTTAACAGCTCTTATAATTAGATGACATTCAAAAATTCTGCTTGAACAAGCTACATGTTCGTATTTACCTTTCAAACAAATCACGCCTGTAATCCCAGCACTTTGGGAGGCTGAAGCGGGCAGATCACGAGGTCAGGAGTTCGAGACCAGCCTGGCCAACATAGTGAAACCCCGTCTCTACTAAAAATACAAAAAATTAGCCAGGCAAGGTGACGTGCGCCCGTTATCCCAGCTACTCAGGAAGTGGAGGCAGGAGAATCGCTTGGACCCGGGAGGCAGAGGCTGCAGTGAGCCAAGATCGCACCACTGCACTCCAGGCCAGGCAACGATGTGAGACTCTGTCAAAAACAAAACAAAACAAAACAAAACAAAACAAAAACACACTGTTTTCAAAATAAGAAAAAACAAGATTGGATGTTTCATGGGATATTTTTAATTTGTCTCTTAGAAGGGAACTTTTCCATAAAGAAAATTATTTTCAAGGCCCTTTACTCTGATCACTATTAAAAGAAAAACAAACTCAATTTACTTGTACCAATCATAGAGCTGCAAAACTGAGGCTCTTTTATAAAAAACAGAGATTAACTGGCATGCATGAAACTCTGTTTTTCCCCCAAGTTGCACATCTCTTTTTCATTAACCACTTTATATTGTCCTACCTGCTTATTTGTCTTTTTTTCTTTTTATTTTATTTTAAGTTCCAGTATACATGTGCAGGACGTGCAGGTTTACTACATAGATAAACATGTGCCATGGTGATTTGCTGTACCTATCAACCCCTCACCTAGGTATTAAGCCCAGCATGCATTAGCTGTTTATCCTGATGCTCTCCTTCCCCCTACCCCACCACCGACAGGCCCCATGTGTGTTGTTCCCCTCCCTGTGTCCATGTGTTCTCATTGTTCAGCTTCCACTTATGAGTGAGAACATGCAGTGTTTGGTTTTCTGTTCCTGCATTAGTTTGCTGAGGATAATGGCTTCCAGCTCCATCCATGTCCCTGCAAAGGACATGATCTCATTCCTTTTGATGGCTGCAGAGTATTCGACGGGCATACCTCTTTTTATATCACACAGGGAGCAACTGGCCTGTGAGAGCAGTCGTCTTCTCAGCAGCTGGCTGCACCAGTTCTCGTTTACAAACCTGGGCAGGTCTGTGGCTTCTGCCAGGATCATCCAGCACCTGTCTGGATGGTTCTCCCTATCCTGAATGTTGCCACCTTGGGGGTCAGTACTGCCCTCCCCCAGCGAGGACAGCTGGGTTCTGGTCCTAACCTGAGGCCATTCCTTATGGCCCTTGGCCATCTGTTATGGTTCAGCCTTGACCATCCTCCATGTCATCTTCCCTCTTGATGGTGCAGGTGCTGCTCTAAGGGAGGGCACGCTACCTCATAAAGACCTCAGTTAGATGCCTCTGTCTCCTTTAAAAAATAGGAGATGGCTGGTGTTATCTTGCTTTTTCTTTTCATTGCAGCTCTTAATGGTATAGAATGGCCCTGATTTTATTTGTATAGGAAATTTATAAAAAGCAGTTTAACCAGAAAGCACACACTAATCCCACACTCTGCCAATCTATTTCTTGAAGCTGCAGTGAATCTGCCCGCTCTCTCTCTCATCAGCTAATATTTTCAATGGGGCCCGCAATCTGCACTGACTTCAATTATCTGTGGGCTTATACAAGGCCTTGGTTCTACTGCCCTGCTTTCCCAAAACAGTCCAGCCAGTAGGCTCCTTTCCCACAGATTGGGGGTTTGTTTCATCTGGGACTCATGGGGAGGTTCATTGGGGGCATGATCCCCCACCCTGCAATCATTCTCAGCATGCTATGTATATAGGAATGTGTATTTCCCAAGAAGAGGGTCTCTAAAACCCATCCCATTCTCATGGAGAAGCATGCGCCCTCCAGGACTGTCTCTTGCCCACACTGGCCAATTCAGCATTGAGTGCAAGGAGCCCTTCCAGAGGTAAGAGAGACAAAGTCAATCTCAAATCCTGTCTGCTAATTGTTCATCTTGCTCTCTAAGAAGCTCCCAAAAGGACAGCCCTTGATGGACAACCCCAACCCAGGAGGTCAACAGAGCAGCCGCCATGGCAGACAGGCACAGTCGGGCGGGCTTGGTCTGCTTTGGTTGCACACGGTATGAACTGTCTTTATCTTCCCCCGACCCTGCCAACACATTATATTTTCTTTAGGCGCACTCAGGCAACAAAAATGTTAAGGCAACGACAGCATAACAAACCCTATGGCATTTTTTTTGCAAACATCTTAGAATTTAACATTGCTTTGTTCACTTGCCACTGCACAAAAATATCAACTTGGCACTCAGGAGCCCCATGGCGATGTGCATATGAAGGTATGCACTGAAGCCCACAATGCTCCATTATTCAGCAATCAGGGCTTTATATAGGAGTGAAAACAAAAAGCACCACAAACCCCAGGCACCTCTAGAATCGCAGCTGTTATCATCCTGCAAGGACCCCCTCAGACATCAGGCTGGTGATGCGGGGCTCACGATGGGGCCACAGTCAGAGGGAAGGCAAAGGTGACTTCCTAAGGGCTGTCTTCTCTGATGTATTATTCACGGACTTGAATCCTGGGACACACATCCACTTTTCACTCGAGGTCTGTGCAGTGGGAACCTAGGGACCTCAAGAGGGAGACGGCCATCTGGGAGGTCCAGTGACAGGTGGGAGAGGCGTTGGGGGCTCTCTTGCCACAGGGAGCCAGCCCAGGGGCCTCTCTCCAGAAAGTGGAGGAAACCACATGTGTCTTGGCTCTGGGTGGACCCACAGAGGGATGTCCCAGAGCCCCTTTCTCAGATGCTACTGTGCAGCAGAACCTTGAGGCCAAACCTCTCAGACAGGACCCTGCTCGACTTGTAAGAATTCCCCAGCTACTAAGGACATCCCACCTACTTTTGAACTTGGAGCCCCCATGCCCTTCAGAAAATTCCCCCAAATTCCACTAGTTTCTGAAACAGCCACATTCCATTTCAGGTATTCACGTGGGTCATTATCGCAGTTGGGAAAAGCAGAGACAGAGACAGGCCCTCAGGAGCTGCTCCCAGGAAGCAGGAGTGGGCACAGGGAAGTGTGGACAGGGAAGGTAAACAAGCCCGGAGGTCACACTCAAGGTCCCTGCCACCAGCAGCAGGGAGAGCTCCCCAGAACCTCCCAGAACTACCCATCTGCAGCACAGTGGCCCCAGCATTTACCCATTTTCCCCACTGGGACCTCCCCACAACCCCAGGGTATGCTTGGCCTCCCACAGCATCCAGAAGGCCCCAGGAGCAGAACGGAGCCCAGTGGATACCCAGCACACACTCTGGCCGCATCACGGCCAGAATCAGGCAGGTCTGAGCTCTCCTAGAACCACACGTGGCAGTGTGGCCGGTACCTGAGATGGCCTGGGGGATGACCAGCAGAGGTGTGACTAGCAGCACCCTTCACAGCAAGTATCCACTCATTGTGGCTTCATCCACCCGATTTCCCCACTCTCAGCCAACCAAGGGCTCCCTGAATATAACGTAAAGAAGAACAAGGCTCAGGCTCCAGAACCGAGAGCGGAGAGACCAGACTCATCGATTGCACGGGTGAGCTCCGTCAGTCAGCATCCGGTAGGGGTGGCAGCAGCTCTTCAGTTGGACAGGGTCTGCAAGTGTCTGGGGCAGAGCGGGGTCAGCTCTGGAGCCACCGCCTTGCCCTGTGGCTGAGGAACCCCCCCTCCCAGGCAGACAGAGCAGCCCCAGGGCTCTGAGCATAAAGCACCACCCTCCCCATAGGGCCCCTTCAGCTATAGAAAGTCACTCAGGAAGTGACTTCACAGCAGCCACTGTGGTACCTGATAGAATCACAGGAAGAAAACGGGGCCTCAGTGTGGGGTTTGACGCTGCCCTGCCACCACTGCTGGACAAATCCAGCATGGATTTGGACCCAAGGGTGAGTGTTACTAATACTGGGGCATTCTGCAGGTCATTTCAGGTGAGCACAGCTTTCGGGGCTGCCCGGGCTGGCAGGGCTGCCTGCCTTTCCCCCTGGAAGGGGCCAAGTTGCCCTCAGGGAGCAAGGCCCTGCACCTTTTGTGCATGTACATGGATTCCCACACACCAGACTCTGATATTTGCAGTGGATGCATTGCAGCCACCCAGTCTCACCGTGACACAGCCCCTGGGTGGAAGGAGCCCAGGGCATGGCAGCCGAGGATCCCAACACCCCTGGCCCCCAGGGAGCCAAGCCTTGAGGATTCTAGAGCCAGCCTTGCACACAGAATTCACTGGCACGTGTCACTTCTGGAAGACATGACTATCTCAGCGGAAGCAGAGCAGAGGGACCACTGAGTCCCAGAAGGGCTGGCAAAGCCCGGGGCCATCGCACTGTGGTTGTGCTGAGCAACCTCCAATGGGACAGACTGGCTCAGGCACCCCCAGAGTCACAGCCCCTCTGCAGGGCAGACAACGCTGTCACGAAGACCCAGAGAGCACTGCTCACCTACAGGGGGTATGGTGGGTCAGCAACATGTGAGCACAGATGAAAGCGCACGGCCGTTCACGGAGCAGCTGAAGGTGCAGACGAGGAGCACTGGAGGGCGTGCAGAGCACAAGAGCCCCCTTGCAGCCAAAGCCAAAGGGAGAGATCCAAGAGAACATGTCGGCAGGGCACAGTGGCAAGCAAGGTCAAATGCCACTCAGAGGCCCGGTGACAATGACCACCGCAGCAAAGGCGAGAACAGCAGCTTTAGCACAGACCTTGCGGGACGACCACGTGCCCATGAGCGAACCAGCTGCCTGAGGTGTCTATCTCGTTTTTTGCTCATGGCAGCCCTGGGATAAGAATGACTTAGGTTGCCACACTGCAGATCAGGAGAGCAAAGCTTGCAGAGGCTGGCTGGCCCAACATCATCCACCTTGCACCTGCCAGTCCCAGAATCTGAGCCAAAGGGGTCCAGGTCCAGACTCACTGTGATTTCTTCGTCACTGTGCTGTGTAGCCTCTGTTCAGGGCAAAGATTCAAACAGCCCTCAAATGGAGACGTGATGGTCACCAGGGACCCTGGCAGAGCAGGGGGCAGATGGAACTGGGCCGAGGGGCTCATGGAAGTGGAGAGATAAAGAAAGCAGCACAGAAACCCTTCCAAGAAAGTTGACAATGATGAGGAAGCATGAAATTGGGTAGAAGTGGAGCCAGGGAGCATCTTCCATTTCGATGGAATATCATGAAGAAAGAGAGAAGGCCAAGGTGTGGCATAGAGAAAAGAGAGCCGAAGCAGGTGGAATGAATCCAGACCAGCCTCCCAGGGCCAGGCTCCTCCCGTGCTGTGACAGAAGGAAGGAGAAGGGATATGAGTGGTGCACAGAGGTGTAGAAAAAAGAAGAGGTTCCAGAAGGCAAGTTCTCTTTCCTGTCATAAGTTGGGGGGGTGATAGTTGAGCTCAGAGTGAGTGTGGAAGCTGGACAGGCCAGAGATTTCAGGAGAATGGGACAGATTTGAAACAGCCATTGCAGGAGAAGAGAATAAACTGGCCAGAGAATTGTAATGACATTATTAGGCAGCTCCCCTGGCCCAGCTGCAGTTAGAGGTCTTGAATTTTTAATGAATTTATTACTTACACTACCAACAATCCCATAAAACATTTGAAACAGCTCACAATCAAAGGCACAAATCCAGTTGAGATTTACAAGCATAAGCGGGTAAGGGGTGAGAGGGAGAGGGCTGTATCAACAAACAGAGGAGGCGGGGCATGGTGGCTCACGTCTGTAATCCCAGCATTTTGAGAGCCAAGGCAGGTGGATCACTTGAGGTCAGGAGTTTGAGACGAGCCTGGCCAGCATGGTGAAACCCCGTCTCTACTAATAATACAAAAATTAGCCAGGCATGGTCCACCTGTAATCCCAGCTTCTCGGGAGGCTGAGGCAGGAGAATTGCTTGAACCAGGGAGGCAGAGGTTGCAATGAGCCAAGACTGTGCCATTGCACTCCAGCCTGGGCAACAGAGCAAGACTCTGTCTCAAAACAAACAAACTGAGGAAACTGGAGCATGACATTGAACCCTCCGGTTCCTGGACGCCAAAACAACCAAGAAAAGCTCGTTATCTGCTTGCAAGCGTATCTGTCTGCTTAATACCTCCTCAGCCTTGAACACTGAGAACAGTTTATTGCATGCCTGTTGTTTTTATTAAGAAATTTGTTATGAAATTTAAACAGCAGTGCTACAGAAGCCCTGAAATATAGATGAGGGAAAAACACACTCAAGATTCCACCCTTTCCGTGCAGCCCTTTTACACGAGGCTCAAGAGCAGGTATGTCACTCACAGCATTTCCAAATGATGCCGGGATGTTCCGAATGGCCATTCCCATCTCAGTCCTAGAGCAATGGGGAGGACACAGCATGGAAATGTTTCCGGGAGCTCCTCCAGGAAGCAAAGCCACAATACCAAAAACATCCCATCTTTCAGGTTGTCTGATAAACCAAAGACAGGCATCAACCAATACCAGAGGAAGAGGGGATTCAGTCCCCTTCAAGGCCAGTGCTTATTACCAAATACTGATTAAGGACCAGTGACATTGTGAGAACTGCTTGAGGCTTAAATTCAAAGCATCGATTCCTAGCCCCGTCCCTGAAGATTCTGATTCCATAGTAGAGGTGGTGGCGATGACAAGGACAACAGCCAGCACTGCTTGATCATGTCCTATATGCCAACCACTAGCATGATTCTAAGTCCTTTGCCCATCCCATTTTCCAGGTGAACACACTCAGGAAATCTTTATTTGAAACAAGGTATCCAGGGAGTTCAACAGTCACCTGGGTTTGAAGACAAACTGCTTTAGAGTCTTTTTCTCACTCTCTACCTTGAACTTTCTCTCTCTCTCCCTCGACCTTTCTCTCTCTCTCCCTCTCTGTCTCTCAATGATCAGCGCTCTAAGTCTTATCTGTCAGTGAAAGTGGGGAGGCGAGAGCAAGCATAAGAAAGAAGAATGTTTAAGGTTATCTCAAGCATTGTTTGGTGGGCAATGGAAGCAGCCAGCCAACCCACAGGAAACAGAAATGCACCTTCCACTCTGTGGTGTGGTGCCCATAGCAATTTCTGTGGAAATGGAAGGACTGTTGAACACCAGTGAGTACATTCACAATATTTACCCACGTAGGCATTGTTCACAGTCATAAGTGGTGTCAACCATTACAGGTTTTGCAAGACAGGGAAGCAAACTTGTTATAAAGAAAAATACCCAAGCCTTGCCTGGTAAATTCAGGCAAAGGGCTCCAGAAGGATGGTGCCAGCTAACCCAACACTGTCTGAGAAAAGCATGTCAAAGTATTAATTTTGTTATTGCATCTCTAAGGAGTTATCCCAAGGATGTAAGATTGGCTAAAATGTGTTTAGGAGACCACCTAAAGATCCAACTATAGGAGATTAGTTAAAATCCATGCAGTTTTAAAAATAATGTTAGAGAGGTGTAACTTATTTGCACAAATTTGTTAAAAGGAAAATGTTTCTGATATATTAGCCCAGGGTCAGAAGCCTTTGCCAGGCAGACTGAAATAGCCTGCAGTTACAGAGCACTGACAGACGAATTTCCACTAGAAAAAGAGGAACTGGCTAAAACACAGAGCCAGTATCCTACTCACTAAAGACCCAAGATCAAACCTCAGAAGACAGAGGGAATGCCCTACATTGCACCAGAGCTGAGGTGATGGACACCTGTCAGCCTCCAGAACAATAGCCCAAGAGGACCACGCCCAAGGAAAAGAGGCAGAATGGAGTTAGTCTTACTGCAACAACAACTCAGCTCAATTCCTGACTGATGAGCCGCTCAACCTGAAGAAAATAAATAACTAAATAAAAAGAACAAAAAGATCATTTTTCCCAGAGGAAATTAACGTCAGCTTCAGCTTCTATGGTTCTTTTATTTATGATGCCTGGAATACACTCAAAAATTATGAAGAGGCAGAATAAAGTAACCAACAATTCAGAAAAGAAAAACTAGAATTCAGAAAAGAAAAACATATATACAGATCCACAGATTGTCCAGATATTGGAGTTCACATGCAAAGACTTCTAGATAACTATAATTAATGCGTTAAAGAAAATTTTAAAAGTCAACAAAAGAGTGAAAAGGCCGAGAAATATTTAATCTATGAAAAGACACAAATCAAATAGATATTCTAGAGCTGAAAATAAGGTATTTGAAATTAGAATGTACTGGATGCCTTAAAGACAGACCATACAGAGAAGAAAATTGAGGAACTCGTGGAAATGTCAACTAAAAATTTTAGAGGGAAAACAAAACAAAACAAAAATCAAAAGAGAACAGAGCATTGGAGACATGTGGAATACTGCCACATGTCAAATGGTCTAACATGCATGTAATGAGAGTCCCAAGAGATAGGAGAGAAATAATGGGGCAGAAACAATATTTGAAAATACAATGGCTGAGAATTATATAGAACTGATGAAAGCCAATAACACGCAGATTCAAAACCTCAATGAAGCAAGAACCAGAGAGACACATGCAAAGAAAACTATGTTATAGTCAAACTTCTTAAAACCAAAGATTTTTTTTAAAAAAAGAAAATTATCATTGGCCAGAGGAAACAGTCTTATACCTCCAAAGAACATGAATTAGAAAAATTAAGCTTGTTAAAATGTTCTTACTACCCAATAAACAGATTCAACACAATCTTTATCAAATTTCCACTGGTTTTTTTACAAAAATAAAAAAATACAATATCTAAAATTTCTGTGAAACCACAAATGACCCTGACTAGCCAAAGCAATCTAGAGAAAACAGAAAAAAGTTGGATAAAATACCTAAATGCAAGAGCTGAAACCATAAAAATCCTTTAAAAACATAGGTCAATGACAAACTCTTCAACACTGGCATTGGCAATGATTTTTTCAATATCACATCAAAAGCTCAGGCTACAAAAACAAAAATGAACAGGTGGAACTACATTAAATTAAAAAGCTTCTGCACAACAAAGGAAGCAATCAACAAAATTAAAAGGCAGCCCATGGATTGGGAGAAAATATTTGCAAACCACGTATTTGATAAGGGATTAATATCTAAAATATATAAGGAACTCAAACAACTCAATAGCAAAAAAAAAAATGGCCCAATTTAAAAATGGACAAAGGATCTGAATAGACATTTTTCCAAAGAAGATATGCAAATGGCCAGCAAGTACATGAAAAAGTGCCTAGCATCACTAATCATCAGGAAAGTGCAATCAAAACTACAATGACATAGCACCTCACATTTGTTAGGATGGCTGTGATAAAAAAAAAGGTGAGATAAGTGTTGGCAAGGGCATGGAGAAAAGATAACTCTCTACACTCTCTCTACACTGTTGGTGGAAATGTAAATTCGTACAGCCTTTATGGAAAATGGTATGAAACTTTCTGAGAAAATTAAAAATAGAACTACCATAAGATCCAGCAATTCTCCTTCTGGGTATATCCACAAAGGAATTGAAATCAACACCTCAGCGAGATATCTACATATGTTCCCATGTTCATTGGAGCATTACTCATGATAGCCAAGATATGGAAACAACCTAAGTGTCTGTCAGTGGATGAATGAATAAGGAAAACATGAGATGATAGATATAGATAGGTAGACAGATAATCAATAGATAGGTAGATGGATAATTGATAGATAATATATAGGTAGATAGATAATAGATAGACAGATAAGATAGATACACACACAGTGGACTATTATTCAGCCTTTAAAAAGAGACTCTGCCATTTGTGACAACATGGATGAACCTGGAGGACATTCTGCTCAGTGAAAGCAGAGAGAGAAAAATACTTCAGGATCTTACTTACATGTGGAATCCATAAAAGTCAAAAACATGTCAACAGAGAGTAGAAAGGTGATTACTAGAGTCAGGGAAATGGGGGAATGTAGACTCGAAGGGTCCAGACTTGCATTTACGTAAGATGAGTAAGTTTAGAGAGCTAACATAGAGCAAGAGGACTGTAGTTCATAGTATTTCGTTGTATCCTGAAAATCTTCTAAGAGAGTGGATTTCGGGTACTCTTATCACAAAAGAAAGTAACTGTGAAGAAAGGGATATGTTAATTTGCTTAACTGTAGTTATCATTTCATTATGCATATGTATCTCAAAACACCACGTTGCATGCCTTAAATATATATAATTTTCAATGGATAATAACAAGACTAACAGCTAGATCCCAAGCAAGAACAACAAAGCCAAAAAAGAAGAGAAAAGTACCACTATCGTGAATGAAAAGGGGACATTACTACAATCCTGCAAATCTTAAAAGCTAAAGGACGTTTTTTAAAATTGTATGCCAAGGAATTTGAAAACTTAGATGATAAGAACAAACATTTTTTAGACAATGGAATGCAATGGTAAAATGCTAACAGAAACAAATAATCCCAACTAAAAATTCTGTAACTAGGGAAAAATCCTTTAGAAATGAAGGTGAAATAAGGATGTTTTCAAACCAATAAAAACTGAGAGTATTTGTTGCTAGAAGATCCACACTGCAAGAAATAGTAAAGGGAGTTTCTAATGGCAGAAAGAAAATGATTCTAGATGCAGGTACGGAAATGCATGAAGCATCAAAGAGCACCACAGAGTAAACATGTGAGTAAATATACAAGAATACGTCCTGCTTCACACAACACTAACAGCAATGTCTGAATTGATAGCATATGTAGAAGTAAAATACATGAAAACAATAGCACCAATCGTGGGAAAAGGGTAAATAGAATTAAAACTGCCACAGCACTCAAATATTAATAGGGAATGGTTAGAAGTATTGAGGTAGGCTGTCATGAGTGAATGAGGCATTTGACAATCTCCAAAGTAACCACTAAAACAATACCAAGAAAAATGAGACCATAGAAGACAAACTGGAATAAAAAAATACTTGATTAACCCAAAGCAAAGATGGAAAGAAGAGGGAAAAAGGTGGAACAAATTGAAAACAAATGGTAAGATAATAGGCTTAAACCCAACCGACAACAATATCAGTACCTACATTAAATATAAATAGAATAAACACTTCAATTAAAAGACAAAAGTTGTCAAACTAGATAAGAAGCTTAAGCCCAGTTGCATGCCTTTTATAAGACGCACTTTAAATAAAAGACAGAGTTAGGTGAAAGTAAAAGCATCGGAAAATATACACCATGCAAACACCAACCAAAAAAAGCTGATTTGAGTCTATTAATATCAGATTGTTTACATGTAATGTCAGATTCTGTAACACTCTCTATATTACTAGAGGAAATTTGGAATATTTCATGTTGATGAAGGAGTAAAGGCAAAGCAATTTAAATGTATCTGCATAATTATTAATAAACACAGCTTCAAAATACAGGAAACAAAAAACTGGTAAAACTAAAAGGATAAAAAAGCAAATCTACAATCACAATTGGAGACTTTAGTACACCATTTTCTGTTATTGATTAAATAGACAAAAATTAAGATTTGAATTAAGATTTGAACATGATTAATGAATAGGACCTAACTGGCATATTCAGAACTCTGCACGCAGCTGTAACAAAATACACATGCTTTTTAGATGTACATGGAACATTTACCCAAATAAATCAATCTGCTGGGCTGTAAAGCAATCCTCAACAAATTCAAAACATTAAAATTTTACAGAGAATATTCTCTAATGACAGTGAACTAAAAATAAAAATAAAAATAAATAACAGAGAGATAGTAGGAAAGCGCACAAATGTTTGGAAACTTAACAATAACCCAAGGGGGAAGATTAAGTAAATTACAAGGAAAAATATTTTGGCGTGAATAATAATGAAAATATAAATATTAAAAATTGTGGCATGACACTAAAATGTGCTTCGACGGATATTGATGGATAGCCCAAAATGTATATATTGAAAGAAGACAGGAAGAAATTATTGAAATCCATTCTCTAAACTTCCATCCCCCAAATCTAAAAGAACAGCAAATTGAAGTGAAGAAAATAAATAATAAAGATAAAAGCAGATAGTGAAATTAAAAGCAGATAGACAATATAGCAAGGCAAAGCTAAGTTATATTATTTTGAAATAGTAATAAAGCTGAAAAACCCCTCGCAAGAACCATGAAGCAAAAAGGGGGAAATTACCACTATCTTCAGGGAAAAAGGGACATTACTAAGATTCTACAGACATTAAAAAGAAAATAGAGGGTATTATGAAACATTTTATACCCTAAGGAATTTGGAAACTTAGATGAAAAGAAAAAAACCTCTTAAAGAACAAAACCTTAAAAAACTGGCATGAAGAAAATTAGAAAATGTAAGTCGTTGTATATCTGTTTTTAAAAATTCAGTCAATAGTGAGAAACTTTCCCATAAAGAAAACTCTAGACTCAGGTAGTCACTGGTTAATTTCTCCGAGCCTTTGAAAATAATACCCATCTGAAAATATACTTTCAGAGAAGAAAAGAAAGAGGGCTACTTCCCAATGAATTCCACGGACAAAACATAACCTCAGTACTAAAGCATGACAAAGATGCTAGAAAAAGAAAATCATAGTCCAGTATCTTTCATGAACACAGATGCAAAAATCCTAAACCAAATATTAGCAATTTTAATCTAGGGACTGTGAAAGCATAATATATCATGACCAAATGGGGTTTATTCTAGGAACGCAGGATTAAATTTAAATATAAGTAAATGTTTATTCACAATAACAGGGTAAAACGTAAGACCATAGAATTGTCTCAACAGATGAAGGAAAACATTTCTTAACATTCAATACCCATTCATGACTAAAATGCTCAGAAAACTGGGATTAGAAAAGCTCTTCTAAAATACAATGAAGAGTCTATTTTCAAACGCCTACAGCTAGTAGTAAAATAGCCAGACTCCCCCAGCAGGTTAGGATCACACATCATCATCATGTCTATTAGATGCTGAGCTGGAAATATTGAGCCAGAGCAATAAGCAAAAATAAATAAATACATAAAGATTGGAAAGGAATAAATACAACTGTCAGGATTCACAAAGGACAATTGCATAGATAGAAAATTCAAATAATCAACAAATTAGAATTAACAGATGAATTTAGAAGGGTCACTGGAAACATGGTTAATATAACAAGTCCACTTTGTTTCTATGTAATAGCAACAAAAATTAGAAAAATAAATAAATTCTGATTCATATAGCATCAAAAAATTCAATACTTATGGATACATTTATTTTTTTCAAATGCAAGACCTCTTCATGAAAAACTATGAAACATTACTGAAATAAATTAAAGAAGACATGAGTAAGTGGGGAAGATGGTCCTTGTTTGCGGATTAGAAAATCCATTATTTTTAAAATGTCAACCCTTTCCACATTGATCACCAGATTTAATGCGATTCCAATCATAATCCCAGCAGGAATTTTTGTGCACGCTGACAAGCCAATTATAAAATTTGTATGGAAATGCAAAGGACCTGGAAGAGTCAGGACCATTTTGAAGAACAGGAAGTGGGAAGACTTAAACCCTCTGACCTAAGACACACTATACAGCTACAGTAATCAAGACATGAGGTGTTTCTGCAGTGATGGATAAATAGACCAAAAACAGACACACCTATGCAGTCATTTGCTTTATGAAAAAAGTTACCTAAATTCAGTGGGGATAGGACAGTCTCTTTAATACATGGTAATAAAGCAAATCAATATCCACGTGGAGGGAAAAAACACCATAAACTTCTATATCTGCTTCAAGGTATAACCAAGAATTAATTCAAGATTTATTTTAGATATAAGTGTGAAAGGTAAAACAAAAAAGTTTCCAAAAGAAAACATAGAAATGTATTTTCATCATCTTGAGTAGGAAAATATTTCTTATCACAACAGCATTAACAGAAGCAAAAACTTGATAAATTCAACATATTAACATTGAGAACTTTGTTCGCTTAAAAACATCACCATTAAGTGAGGTGGGTGGTGGTTATGTGGGAGTACACCTATGTAAAGTTGTGTCAAACTATATGCTTAAGGTTAGTGTACTTAAGCATATATAAATGCAGCTTAGTTGAAAAGAAAGGAGGTAAGGTGCAATCCACTATCATACATGCACACATACATAAAAAGTGTAGAAGAATATCCGTCAAAACACTGATACTTGGTTGATTTTAGGTGCTAGGAATATAGGTGATCTGTATTCATTTTTTAAATATCTATATATTCTTGTATTCTTACATTCTATGAAAAACTCAAATCACTTGTGTGATTTTCATGAAAAATGTTAATGGCTCATAAAAGATCTGCAATGCTTTTGATCATACTGAGAGAAGAGCATGAAGTCAGTCCGGGTGCAGGGTGCCTCCCTGCTCCTCTGCAGGTGTAAGAAAATTAACTCTAGGACTGATGCCTAAATGTTGCTTAGAAGGAACCATAGCTCGTTGTGAGGATGCCACGTGGCTGATGGCTGCCTTGGGATTGCAGAGCACATGGTGTGTGTGGCCCTAGGTCAGCAGGTCTCGCCTGGGTGCAGAAGAGCAGGACGTCCTGTGTCACCTGCAGTCCAGCTCTCTGCCTTTCCCTCATCATTGCTCTCAACACAAGTCCTCTCGAGCAGGACGGGAACAACCATAGGATGACAGGCTGGCTCCGAGGTCATGTTGTTAAGCACAGTGTCAGTTTTATGGCAAAGAGCGAAAAAAGCCTTTTTATTGCCACCTACATTGGCAGGCCCTTCATCTGCCTGCCTTTTTACTGTCTGACTCACTGGTTTATTCTCCACATGGGGGGTGCTATCACCCAGTGAGTTACGCCCACTTCATGTTTGCTAGAGCAGATAATTCTTAGATCTCATAACCTATTTATTTCATTTGGATCAGCGTGCTTTCCCTGACTACCTCCCAAACCATAAGCAATTGTTTCTACATATCTCTCCCTTTATGACTTACCATTAAGGGACTCAGAACGCTTCTTTGACCTGTGTAATTGCAAACCATATTCTCAGTCTGGGAATTCGAATGGGGGTTACATATTGTGCACATCAGAGACGGTGAGTTATCCCAGGGACTGCCAGTTAAGGTTATTGAATTACGCATTTTCTGAACCATTTCAACAAGAAATCTTACCCTTAATGTATATTTTCACTTGATGGAGGACCAAGTCTCACAGGGGTTGAAGAACTGTATTTATCGACTTCCTATAAAGTACAAAAAACCCATGAATCAGCCCCTCTGATCTTATTACAAACACCAAATTTAGGATCTGTACTTTCTTTATACAAAATCTAGTTACAGAACCTCATAAATCTTTAAAGAAGTCATACTTTAAGCCTTTTAAAAAAATGGTATTTATAAGGTTGCAGACTTCATTTCAAAGCACAGATCAATGAAGAGCAGCACGACCATGAGCTTTTGCATAAGTAAAGAAGAGGGGAAATTCAGCACATTTGGAGGGAAAATATGAGCTTCATCATCATTTGCTAATTTTAGATGTAATTAAGGAGGCAATAATTGTCATTCCTGCGGCAGCACTAGCAGCCTATCCAATTCGCGGTATATAGAGAGTTAAGATAAATGTAAAACCAAAAAAAGCAGACACCTAAAGACAAATGCCTCATACTCTATCAAGCCCGTAGTTAATCACTGTTGCCCCAAAAGCTACTTCATTATGGTAACCGAGAAAAGCAGAGCACAATTATGCAGTTTAAAAGGTTTCAATCAGAATGATGAATGGTGGTCTTTGGGTAGCTTATTAACATGTTTAGAAACTTATTTGTTTGAGTGGGTTTTTTTATTGAAAGAAAAAATAAATCCCAGAAGGTCAGCACGCCTCTAAAGACTTTCTGGTTGGAAATCTCTAGCTGAATGGCACTGAGGTGAGTCCCGCTGAATCCGTTCTCAAGATGGCAGGGGAAGTACCAGAATTCAGAGGGAAGTGTCCCTAGGGACTATCTCATCCGACCCATCATTTTACAGTAGAGGAAACTGAGATGCAGACAGGGCACTGATGTACCCAGGTCACAGAATACTCGTGGCTCTCCAGGACCCTCACTCAGGATACGTCCCTCCCCCTCGGAAACCTCTCTGAAGATATATTTGGCATCTAGTTAATTGAAATAAAGACAACACGCTGAACACAAAGAAAGGACATGCTGAGATATAAAATACAGAGGACAAAAGAACGTAAAACTACAAAGCATCCTTTTAGACCAAAGGTGTGTGTTACGTCTTCCATGGAGAATTTGAGTGCTCAGAAAAATGACGCCTTCAAAAGTTGGAAACATCACTTTACTCCTCCTTTTTTCTTACCTTTTCCCTGCACCTTTGAAAAAGATGATAGGGTGACATTCTCACAATTTTTACTTTAAACACATCATGAAAACTTCATGAAAGGAACCCGTAGGTTTCCGTTTAATGGGCATTTTACGCGGTGCTGCAATTGGGAGGCATAGGCTGCTTTTAGCCAGAATTGTTCCGTGCATATGCATATTCCACTTCCTGCAGCAAAACACCATCAATGGTCTTCACTGGAGTCGGGTGAGGAGGAGACTTGGGAGAGCTGACCAGCACTCATTCTGAAATTGATTTCACATGAAAACCGCATTTCGGGGGCTTTGCCTGCTGCAGCTCTCTCTTTCTCTATAAACGCTTCCCCATGCTGGGAGGATCAGGTGCTGGATCCGTTTCCTATTCCAGCTGTAAACAATTACCACAAGCTCAGTGGCTTTAGAAAATAGATACTCTTCTGAAGATTCTCCCTTCCAGCGCTGGAGGTCAGACACTTGATCATGGCGCGAGTAGGGCTAAGTTCCGTCTGGAGGCTCTAAGGGAGCGTCTGTTTCCTGACCTTCCCCAGATCCCAGGAGCATCTGCACTCCCTGGCTCGAGACTCCTCCCTCCACCTCACGGCGCATCCCTCCGGCCGGCGGAAGAAGCCTGTGCTCTGGCGCCGTGTCTCCTCTTCTGCCTTGGGTCTGCCTCTATCTTGTAAGGACCCTTCTTGTGATGACATTGGCCCAGCCAGGTAATTCAAGATGATCTCTCCCTCTCAGGATATTTCATGTCACTGCATCTGCAAAGTCCCCTCTACCACGTAAGGCAATAGAGTCAGTTTTCAGAGATTAGGACATGAACATTTGGGGAGTCCTTTTCCTGTCTACTGGAGGTACCGTGCGTGACATGGGGGATTTAAAGTCGAAATGGGATTCCTGTCCTTCCAGGAGGTGGTATCAGGCAGGGAAATCAACACAGTCCAGAAACCGTGCTTACAGCACCCATGAGCCAGGTGTGCTCAGGGAGCACAGAGAGGGAGACGCTGTGCATAGAAGGGCCTGGGAGAGACCCTCAAACAGTCCATCTCACAGGTGCCTCTCACCACCACAACCCCTACCTACAATGATGTGGCCATGCCGAGCCCGCCAGGGCCTGCCTCTCTTTTCTGTTTTCCAGGGCAGAAGTGCCAGGCATCCCTCATGTGTACCCTTGGCAGGAGCCTCCAAGGGCATAATCCTGTCTCTGAGTAGATCCCAAGATGGAATCTGAAGCCATTGTCTTCATGTATCTTCATGACAGCTGAAAGAGATATTTAATGGGATCCAGTATGCCTGGAAGTCAGGGTAATGTGTTTTTATTTCCAAAATAGCCTCACCTCGACTCCCATAATTAACAATGATGGTGCCAAATGGATGGAAATCCAATTCGGAGACCTTCCCAACACTGGGGTCTCCCAAGCTCATGAGGACTAAACGGACGCAGTCAGCACCAACAATTAATTACCCAGGCCACAGGCAATTACACAAGAGCATCAGCGCAAAATGAAGACCGAGACATGAGAAAGGGAAGTCGATATTTAAGTGAGCTGTTGGATACAAGGCCAGACGCACCAACCTGAACCGTCAGGTGACAAGGCAAAGCTTCACCCCAAGGAGTGGCTCTGGATTTCCGGGAGGCACCGCTGAGCAGATGTGAAGACTTGGGACTCCCCAGGAGCCAGGCACCCAGCAAGGGCTGAGCCCCCTCCCATCACCCCTTCACACCAGAGGGCACGCACCCATTTCCAAGGAGACACTCCCTGGCTAGAACTGAAGTCACATCCCTCAACTATGTGCCCCTAAACCATTCTCCTTCACAGACACCACACAGTGACAGGCACGGGTCCAGCGGGCTTCTAGAAACCAGACAGTTTCGGGGCACACTCTGCACTGTGATGTCACATGTCAGGCACTGCATCTGTTGGAAAATTCTAACCAGGCCACAAATAACCAGCAGCATAACATGCTGTCAGGAGTTGGGAGGGACTGGCTAGCGCAGTTTCTAAACTCGGTGCGGGGATTCACTGAGATGCCAAGTCTGGACTCCCTATTTTGGAAGGAAATAACAAAAGCCTGCTGGATGGCTTTACATACGTAAGAGTCAGCTTATTGAAAAGTAAGAACTCTCGGCTTAGAGACCTGGGACTCGCTAAGGGTACAAGCTGAGACGTGTTGAAAGAAAATATCTGGCCAAGCAGCAAGGCCATGCTTTTCTGTTTCTTTTCATTAAGTAAAGTAAATTGCAGTTCAGAATTTGTTTTAGAAAATGATTTTGTAAAGCTATTATTCTTGTCTCAAAATTCACAAGTTCAGAAGATGCCTTGAGCAAGAGAGGCATGAGCAAGATAAATGCATCCCTGTCTACAGCTGAACTCGTGAGGCATGAAGAAGAAATTTGGTAGAAGGCTGCCGCAGGGATGGAGGAAGGTGCCTCAGCAGCCAATTCACGTGCTCCCAGGAAGGCCTCCCTGGGGACTGCTTGACCCAGTTGTCAGGGGAAATAAACCACACAAGGGCTCATGAATAGGCCAGACCCAAACTGCACAAGGCACAAATTCCCACTGCTTGTCAGCACCCACAAAACAGGCAGCGGGAGGGGGGATGGTGATGATAAACCACGCGCAGGGGATTTGCAGTTTCAGAAAGTGTGCTTTACAGGTATGTTCTCACCTCATGAAGCAGGCAGGACAGGTGTGAGCCCACCAGGTAAGCAAACCTGAGCCTGGAGAAGGGCTCAGGCCCTGCAGCTGGGAGAGGGTAGCGTCCGCATGCTCAGCCAGGTGTCTGGTTTCCAAGCCCGGCTCTTTCCATCTCGGCCATCTTGTGAGCCAGCATCATGGTTACTATAAGCAAGAAAGCAAGAAGCATGGTGCAGTGGGGTGCAGTGGGGTGCAGGGGGGTGCAGTGGTCATTTGAACCCATATGTTTGTGAGCAATGGACCTATACCGCAGTTTAGGGTTTTGACACAGCCTGTACCCCAAACCTTGCCCCAGAGTACAAAGGTCTACTCCACGTGGCCACCTTAGCAGAAACCTAATAGACTATGCCCGTGGGATCTTGCCTCAGAGGTTACTTCACCCTTCCAGAATGCTTACTCACAACACTCACAACCTTATACTTAAGGCTCATGAGCCCCCCCAGAAATCCCAGGAAAAACTGCAGACTCACAGAGGGATGGGGGTGCATGGGAAGGGGCAGGAAGGACAGTAGATCTCTTGCTCCCTTGCCAATTGCTCTCAGATTTACATGGTCATTCAAGTCAAAGAGCCCAGCTGGGCTTCCCAATCTCATCTCAACTTCACATCTACACATTTAATCATTGATTTGAAGCCCTCGCACAAGGTGGGGCTGGAGGAAGTTCCAGAACCAGCCCTTTCCCAGGATAAGTGTCTGCCCCGACCCTCTCCACTCTCAGAGCCAGTTTCCCCTTGGAGGATCATCTCTGCCCAAAGATCTCAGTCCTGAGCTCTAAGATACTCTAATGACATTGAACCTCAAAAGGGAGGGAGATGTGGTCTTCATTCCCCTTTTTCCAGGTGTTCCCTTGACAATGATACAAACTGCTGACCCCCAAGCCATGAATCGTCAATGACCTTTGAGTTCCGGAACCTGAGAGGTTTGGGGCAGGGCACTTAGACAAACCCCACAGCCCTACTGCCCATCAGCAGTTACTTTACAAGTGCTTCCAATGCCCCATGATCACCACCATGCTGTGTTTTGCAGTAAAGTGGCTATGGAAGGAAGGCCATGGTCAACTGGGGAGGTTGTCCTCGAGAGCTGCCTCTTCAACATTTTGAAAAGAAGAGACTGTTATTAGGAGGGAAAGCACCATCATGACCTTCACCTAAGCACCTCTGAATATCCACAGTCAACCATTCACCCTCTGCAAGGGGCAATCCTATTAAGCCTCATTGCCTAGCACAGATGCACGTCCTACAAGCCAAGAACAAATGACTTGCAATTTAGTCTTGTTTTTCTTTTTTTTTTACTTCTCTGATCTGAAGCATTTAAGGAGGTATGTCAAGGCTGTGACCCCTATCAGACTCCCTGGAGTAGCAGGGCAGGCAGAGGTAACTTCAGAATACCAGAGCAGAGGGGAGCATCCTCAGATTTTAGGTGAACAGCAGAAGATGTGCAGTTGAAGATGGGAAGAAGGGATGTAAGTAGGGCGTGGAAGAGAACTCATTATGCAGGAGCCCACAGGAAACAGCCCTGGCTCTTAAAGATGGTAAGAAGGAATCTTATTCTAAATTCACCTGCTCTTGGCACATTCACCTTACCAAGCTGGAATGGCAACAGGTTTAGTTTTCTGAGAGTCCCTGCAGTGATGATGGGTGGGCTGTGCTGCAAGGGCAGTCTAGGGGCAGGGGCCAGGCTCACTGTGCAGCATCATCTCCCTGGTGGAGAGTCAGTGAGGAGAGTGAGCAGAAACAGCAGAGGGAAGTCACAGAGATTTAAAGGGATGCATAGAGAAGGAAAAAGAAAAAACACTATTTTGAAAGAGGGAGGAGGAAATGCAAATTAAAACAATAAGAGACCACTACACACTATTATTAGAATGGCCAAAATCCAGGACTCTGACAACACCAAATGCTGATGAGGTTGTGGAGCAACAGAACCTCTCATTCACTGCTGGTGGAAATGCAAAATGGTACAGCCACTTTGGAAAACACTTTGGTGGTCTCCTACAAAGCTAAACATACTCTTATACCATACAACAATTGCACTGGTTGGTATTTGTGTTAGGCTGTTCTTCCTTTGTTGTAACGAAATACCCGAGATTGGGTGATTTATAAAGAAAAGGGGTTTAATTGGCTCACGGTTCTGCAAGCTGTACAGGAAGCATGGTGGCATCTGCTTCTGGGGAGGTCTTAGGAAACTTGCAATCATGGCAGAAGGTGAAGGGGGAGCCGGCATATCAAGTGACTAGAGCAGCAAGAGAGAGAGAGAGGGGAGGGGCCACACAGTTTTAAACAACCAGATCTTGTGAGGACGAACTCACCATCATGAGAACAGCACCAAGAGGATGGTGCTAAACTATTCACAAAGGATTCACTCCCATGATCCAACCACCTCCCACCAGGCTCCACCTCCAACATTGGAGATGACAATTGGACTTGAGACTTGGTGGAGACACAGATCCAAACCATATCACTATTTATCCAAAAAAGTTGGAAACTTATATCCACACAAAAAGCTACACACACGTTTATAGCAGTTTTATTCATTATCGCCAAAACTTGGAAGTAACCAAATGTCCTTCAGTAGGTGAATGGATAAACTGTGATACCTAAAGACAATGGAATATTATTCAGCGCTCAAAAGAAATGAGCTGTGAGACCAACAAAAGACATGGAGGAAACTTAAATGCATATTACTAAGCGAAAGAAGTCAATCTGAAAAGGCTATGTACTGTATGACTGTGACGATATGACACTGGAAAAGATAAAACAATGAAGACTACGATAAAATCAGTGGTTGCCAGGAGTTGGGGAGGTAGAGGGAAGATAAATAGACAGCTACTCTGTGTGATACTGTAGTGATGGATGCATGTCATTAGACATGTTTCAAAGCCCACAGTGTGTGCAGCGTCAGAAGTGAGCCCTAACATAAACTACTGCCATGGTTTCAATGTGTTCCCCAAATTCATAGATTGCAAACTTTTTTAAGAAACAGTGTTGGGAGGTGGGGCCTAATAAGAGATGACTATGTCCTGAGGGTGGAGCCTCATGAATGGATTAATGTTGTTATCATAGGAGTGAGTTCATTATGACAAGAGCAATTGGTTATGAAAGGTAGCCACTCCCTGGTGCTTTCTCTGTCTCATGCTTGCTTCTGCCTTCTCTCCTCCCACCATGGGACAACCCTTGCCAGAGGCCAGCATCATGCTCTTGGACTTCCCAGCTTCCAGATGTATGAGAAAGAAATTTCCTGTCTTTATCAACTATCCAGCTTGTGATAGCTTGTTGTAGCAGCAGAAAAGTGACTAAGACAACCTTGGACCTTGGATGATAATGATGTGTCAATGTAGGCTCATCAGTCATAAGAAAGGTATCACTCAGGCGGGGCATGTTAATAATAGGAGAGGCTGTGGATGTTTAGGGGTAGGGGGCATACGGGAAATATCTCTACTTTCCTCTCAATTTTGCTGTGAACCTAAACTGTTCTAAAAAAAAAAATAAGTATTTTGAAAATTAAAAAAAAAAAGAAAACAAAAACGAGTGGAAGAACTTCCAGCCAATCACACATCAGATTGGACAAACTCAGATGTACAAGATGCATCAGTATGAATTCTGAGGCCCAGCCCAGCCCCATCCTATCACAATTCCACCTCAGTCATTGCTGGGAACTTTTTCTTTCTACCAAACACCTGTCATTACGGTTTCAGGAAGTGTGTTAGCACCTGGTATGGCAGGTGTATCAGCTTCCTGTGGCCTCTGTAACAAAGTACCACACACTGTGTGACTTAAATCAGAAATTTGTTCTCTTACAGCATCATGGTATCAGCAGGGCCATGTTCCCACCAGAAGCTCTGGGGACCGATACTTTCTGGCCTCTTCCAGCATCCGGTGGCTCCCAGGGTTCCTGGGCTTGTAGCCGCGTCACTGCAGTCTCTGCCTCCATGGCCGCAGGAGCTTGTTTTTGGTGTTCCATCTCTTCTTCTCATAAGGACTCCAGATTTACAGTCCATGCCAATGCCATTTGACCTCATCTTAACTAACTACATCTGCAAAGACCCCGTTTTGAAACAAAGCCACATTCTAACATTTCACAGTCAGGAACGGAGAGGGGGAGTGGAGGGGAGAGACGGCAGAGAGTGGAGGAAACACAGTTCAACCTGCCCACCAGGGCATCACCCAGAGTTGACTCTTCCTATCATCAAGACCCCTTCGAGGCAGGCAACTCCTGTCGCTCCCATGTCTTGTGTGGGATGCAGCACCTTCTGCTGGGGCTCCCAGTGGCCTTCTGTCATCTCCCAAGGAGCACCCAGAGCCATCCCTCTCTACGTCTTCAACCCTCCATGCAGACTTTCCAAATCCAGCCCGTGCCTCCCAGGAGCACCCAGTTTTCTCCCTCCCAGGGACATCTCATGAGCTGGTCTAGGAGAAGCTCCTCTTGTCCCACTCCCTGAGTTGCACTTCCTCCTTCTACAACTCTTCCCCTCATTTGGGCTGGAGCTACACCAAAGCCCACAAAGCCTCCATACTCCCTTGTCCCTTCTTTTCACCTCTCCTCCCCGAAAAGAACCAAGCCTGGACCCAGTTGCCTGACTGTCTGCAGGGAAGGGCCAAAGCAAGGGTGAGGGCAAAGGCAAGGCCACCACCTAATCAGAATGGGGTCAAGTTTTTTCTCGAGAGCACCTTGTTCTCCAAGATTTCTGTAGATACAGAGAGTCACAAAGAAGACGGGCAGCTGAGATGGAAGAATCCACAAAGTGCTGGCCATGCCTTTGAGCACACCCGGGTCCTTAGAGAGCTGGGCCAAACTGTGGACTGAACCACTTTATCCATTAGCTGGCAAGAGTCACATGCTGTTATAACACATTGAAATTAATTTATTGCACTCAAAGTGCTATTTCAATCTGTAGCTTAAAAACTGTGTAAGCTTTATTTTTTTTATTTTGCCAGACATTGAGTTTTCCCACTCAAATATTGCTTTGCCCTGAGAAAATTTCTAAAAACTAAGACTATATCAATATATAAATAATTTAATTTAAATCTGGAATGTGCCAGATTTTTACATATAAAAAACTTATATAATTTACTGACAATAAAAAGATTTTAGAAATATTTTACCAGAAATATATTGGTTTTTAAAGGTTGATTAGATAATTGTAGACACTTCACACACACACACACACACACACACACACACACACACCCCACACACTGAACAAAATGAAGAGATGATCCAGAGAATCCAAGTTTCAAAAAACTGTTACATTTGTTTAATTTTCTACAGGTAGGCATCTTTATTTCACTTTGAGCCTTGATATGGTTTGGTTTTCTGTCCCCGCCCAAATCTCACGTCAAATTGGAGGAGGAGCCTGGTGGGAGGTGATTGGATCATGGGGTGGATTTCCCCCTTGCTGTTCTTGTGATAGTGAGTGAGTTCTCACCAAGGCTGATGGTTTAAAAGTGTGTGGCACTTCCCCCTTCACTTGCTCTCTCTCTCCTGACACCATGTGAAGAAGGTCCTTGCTTCCCCTTCACCTTCCGCCATGATTGTAAGTTTCCTGAGGCCTCCCAGTCATGCTTCCTCTTAAGCTTTCAGAACTGAGAGTCAGTTGCACCTCTTTTTTAATAAATTACCCAGTCTCAGGTAGTTCTTTATAGCAGTGTGAAAACAGACTAATACAGGCCTAAACTATCAGAATAATCTGTTTTCCAATTCCCTTCAGAAAAGGCATGAATGAGCAAACACTAGCATTTCCAAATATCCACTGTTGACTTCTCCCTGGGGCCTGACCTCTAAAGTTACAAGGCTTTGCATCACTCACACCTGCTTCTTTGTGACAAACTGACCGGGTGTGGGTATCTGTGGCACCCTACGAGCCCCAGACCCTTCCTTGGCAATGGCTGTCTGGCCACAGCTCCTCTCCTGGCCCGCCTGCTCTGAAGCCAACGTCTGCTGCAGCTTTGCCAAGAGATGAAACGCCCCACCATGCAGGCAGGCAGCTCTCGCTAGTACTATGCAGACCCTGCAGACGTCCATCTGCTTCTGACCAAAACCACAGCTCCACAGCTCCCTTGAGCTCCAACCAGGACATCTGCAGTGCCTGCAAGTTGGCACGCATGTGTCAAATCGGTAAAAAATTTCTCAGCCCCTGCTTTGAAGTAGACACTTCTGGGCAGTGAAAGCTCAGAAGACATTTGATGTTGTTTGGGCTGAAATTTTTATGTGCTTTAAACCATTGTAAGTGAGGAAGTACCAACCTCCAAACACTAATCCTGTCAGCAACATAAGGTAGATTCGATTTGCTTTAATAATATGGATAATTACTGGCATTTCAAATTTAATTAAGAAAGATACTTCTCGCTTTATTTGCATTGTGCTGCATATTTCTACTCATCTAACATCTAGGGATTAACAAGAAGAAGAACCATCTACACAAGATCCTGAGGGCATACAGAGAGCATGAAACTCTTCTCTAGCCAGCCCGGGTCTCTGTGTATATTGTTTAGACACCGACCAGCTCCTCTCCACCTGCAAATCCTCTCCTACAGCACAGACTCTGCCAGGCACAGTGTCCAGGGGCTGCAGATCCAAAGGTGGATGTGGACTTACCTCCCAGGCGTAGGAGGGGTACAGGCTCCTGTGGGAAAGGCTGCAATGGGGGCTCCCAAGCAAAACGGGAGTTTCCCCATGAGTTTCCGGTGGAGGGGCGTCAGGGAGAGCTTCGTAGAAGGCAGCATGAGGCTGGACTTAAAGGAGGTCAAAGTGGAAACCAAATGAGATGGAGAGGACAAGGAGAAGCTGGATTCCACATGGAGAAAAAACTCTCTTTAGAAACCTGGAAATCATTGGAAACTTTTGATCTGACCACTTAGGTTTATAAACAATGAGATTGAGGTTGTTTATAAAAACATAAAAGAGATTTCCTCAGCCTTGTGACACATGGGTCATACCATATGAACAACTGTGACCAGCATGGATCCTAAGCATTTTTTTTTTTTTTTTGAGATGAAGTCTCACTCCTGTTGCCCAGGCTGAAGTGCAATGGCGCGATCTCTGCACACTGAAACCTCCGCCTCCCGGGTTCAAGCAATCCTCCTGCCTCAGCCTCCCAAGTAGCTGGGATTACAGGTGCCTGCCACCACGCCTGGCTAATTTTTTGTATTATTAGTAGAGACTGGGTTTCACCATGTTGGCCAGGCTGGTCTGGAACTCCTGACCTCAGGTGATCCGCCCACCCCGGCCTTTCAAAGTCCTGGGATTACAGGCATGAGCCAGCACACCGGGCCGATCCTAAGCATTTTAACATCATAAATGTTTTGTAGTTCCTCATAGTATGGTTTCCTGTCCAGTCTCCTCCCAATTCTGCCTCCTTGTGTCCCAATGAGGTTAACAGGTAAGGTGAGAGGCAGGTTCACGATGTTTACCTTTAAGGAACCTTATCTTTTGTGAGAGTCCATGAAGTTTCGGGGATTTCCAGCTTACCTTGAGATGTAAAGATACTGGGTACAGAGATCCCGCCTGTTCAGAGGGTCCAGTCGGGGTTGGCTGAGGATCCAGAGTGGAGCAGAGGTGCGATGTGGCAGTTCTTGAAACAGCCAGTGCAGCTGATCCTGGCCACGCTGTAGACAGAGGTCAAATGCATTCCCACTGGCATCAACATCAGACTTGGTGTTTGAATTAAAAGAAAGAAAGAGGGAGAAGGGTAAAGAAGGCCTCAACTAGAGTGGAGGGGTGAAAGTGAAATGCTGGAATGGGCAGAGGTGAAACCCAAAGGATTTGGATAATGATTGCATGGAGTGAGTGGAGAGTGGCTAGGGGAAGCCTGGACACATGCAGTAAATTCAGGATGCAGTGGGCTCGGGGGAAGCTGCGTGAGTTTAGTCTTAGACATGTGGTGTGTCAGTCAAGATCAGAGCAGGCAGCGATGTCAGCTGCAGGTGGCAGCAAGGTGGACACCTGGTAGTGCACGAAAGAACCTTGGTCTCCGCGTCGGTCTGGGCTGCCACTCTGCCATGCCACCCTTCAGCCTCAAGGATCCCATCCCAAACATGGAGAGAAGGTACTGGTGTCTCAAGGGCAAGGTGAGCATTAGAGGTCCTCAGTGTGGGTAACTAGGAGCTGATATTGTTGGCGCTGGCACAGGTCTGGCATTTACTGAGAGCACGGGTTAGGGTTCATCAGCACAGAAGCAGCCAAGAAGCCAACCATGTGAAGAGGCTGTGATGGGTCAGCTCTGTGGAGGGCGCCTCAGGCAGGCAGTCAGTTGGGCAGTGAGAACCCATGCTTTCTTTCACAGGATGGGAAAGAGAATGTGAAGGCAGGGAGTAGAGGTGCCTCCTTAGAGAAACGTGGTGATGAAATGGGGCAGAGAATAGGAAAGGGCCTGGGGCCATGATGGGTAGGAGAGGTGTAACAAGATTGGGTGACCCCAATCCCCTCACCCACTCTTGCTTCCCTTCCCCATGGCTGGTGCCCTGGTTCCACTGAGGCCACCAGCCCGTGGCCACCTTTTCTAGAGCCATCCTCTGCTCTCACATGACCGGGCCAGTGCAGCTGAGCTGCCTTGAGCAGGGCCAGTGCACAGGGTCCTTGGCTTATTTCCAAACTTGCCATCATCTACAACCAAAAGGGTTTGGCAGAGACAGATTGGCATGACCCGCTGGCAGTGCCAGCTTAAATGGGTGGTCTTAAACTGAACTAAAGACCGTTGCTGGAAGAAAGAGCCCTGTGTCTGAAAAAGCCACCCTCTTTAACCAAATTCCCAGGCCCAGGAGGCCACACTGGAAGAGATGCCTGATCTCAGCCAGGGTGTGCAGGGACAGGATCCGCATGTCACTGTCTTTATGTCTCACTGTGGCATTGAAAACTCCAATGGCCTTTAAGTTCTGGTAAAGGTAATAGCTAACACTTAATGAGCACCTACAATGTGCTGGACATGGTGCTCAGCGTTCTGCAGAGATGAGCGGAGCTCATTTAATCCTCCTGCCTGAAACACCTGCCTCAGGAAATGGCCTTCATCCCTGCCCCAGATGACCAAAACAAATACAGAGAGGCTAGGGGAACAAAACTCAATGCCCCTGTCCTAGCCAGACTCAGAGATGAAGGATGTGGCAGTGATCACAGAGCCCGTGGGCTGTGGGCTTCAGGTCTTCCCACATCCCCAGCCTCCAGCTCATGCTCCCTCCTCCACTCAAAATACAGCAGGGGCCTCCTCACCCATCGTGCATGGAAGTTCTAGTGAAGTGATTTTCATTCTCAAACACAAGGAATCTGTGCTCTATGAGATCCTCCTCACCTGTTCAGCTCAAGGAGAGAAGCAGGTGTAGGGCTCTTTGTACAGACTCTGACTCCAGACACAAGGCTCCTGGCACTGTCGTCCCTGCCTCTCCTTACCCATGTCCTCTCTCCACCCAGACACACAGAGGTGTTCACATAGCATGCTGGGTGCACAGAAGAGCAGCCTGAGGCATCCGAAGACGGCAAACTGCAGTTTTTAAATTCTATAGATCACAGTGTAAGCACACACTGTGGGTAACATACTTACCCATTAACAAAAACAAAAAAAATCACATTTTCATCGCATTGTAAACATCTATTGCAGTTCTACAAATAACGTGCAGATAAATACTGGGCATCACCTCTGCTTAACGAATCGAGTGTAGTCAAGATTTCCAGTCACAATCACGTTGCGTCTGTGAACGCTGCAATTTAGGCTCTGATTTGCATGCAGCCCTTTTCTAACATATCTGAAATAGTTTTTCATTTGACCCCCGAAGTGTCACTCATTAAAGGGCAGTTTGTTTATGTATGAAAATAGACAGAAAAAGTGGAAAGTTATTTTGTCTTCAGATATTTGGACTCTACAGCTCAAGCACACAACACCCTGAGCACTTGGCCAACAAAGAGGCAGCGGGTAGTCCAGCAGCAAAATCAGCTGCAGAGGCCGCGGGGTCTTTGGCTGGGAAGACCCAACAGTGCTGGAAGTAAACATTCCTCAAGGTGAAGGCCTTCTGGGGGGATTCCTTAGATAGTAAGCTTCTCAGGCTCAGGCCTCGAAGTGAACTTTTAAACAAAGATTAAAAACTGTTTAAATTATTGAGAGGGTTTAATTATTTTCCTATCTTTTTTAGCCTGCAGTTTCGTACTGCTGAGATGAAACTTCCGAATGTGGGTGACATGTTATGTCCACCTTCCTTACCAGCTCATGTTGACTTTTCTCTGAATCCCCCAAGCATTCAGTTCTCAGTTTCTGTGATCACCTACCCAGAGCTCATCTCCCTAGAAAACTTGCCTATTTGGACACAGGAATGATGCAGGAGGGCAAAAAAGACTCTGGAAGGCAGAGCATGGCACAACTTTGGGCATCACTGTTCAGGGCTTTTCAAGAAAGCTGAGGCCTGTTTCCAAGTTGCCTCTGTAAACATTCTGCCCTCCTCAGACCTCTAGTTGCCTGATACTCTGTGTAGGTTTCTACCGGGGCTGCAGATACACGAAGCCTTTGGGCTTTAGTGGGAACACCGCTGCCTTCTCATTCTTCCTTCCAGCTAATACTCTCTTTCCTCAGCTGATGAACCTTCAAACCTGGCTGGAAAAGCTTTTCCACACACATCAACAATATTGGAATCACAGCTTTTTATCCACTGGCTGTGCACACGATATATTATTAAGCCGCTTTCACCGCTGATTACAGTTATCAGCACGGTAAGGCTGTAATATGTAATATTTCGGAGGATACGGACTGTGATCTCATTCATTACATAAAATGATGGAACTGGATTTTGCAGGAAGTCAATACCTTGAATAAATGTCTATTTTTCCTACAGTAGGACACACAACATTGTCCAATGTTGTGAAGCACAGAAGATACGAAACAGTGTCACTATTCTTCAGATTTTTTTTTCCATGAGCTTATTTTGGAGCAGATTCCCAAGCAGGATGTCTCATGAATCGCACTCATCCACCAACAGTGTGTGAGCACCTAACCCTTCAGTGCCCAGGATCGTGTGGGTGGCAGAGAACAATGGGTGGCCAGGACAGGGGCCCCTCCCTCCAGGAGACCACAGCTTGGTGAGGGACAGAAATAATTCCAATTCAGTAGACTTAGCAAGACCTCTACAAATATTCAGAGGCACCAGCAGCTTGGGCAATTGACACCCAAAGTCTTTACTAAGATGAAAGTTGAGTAGTAACTCTCAATGGTTACTTTTTTTAGCCATTGTGTCATGGCCCTGATGTCCTGAGATTAAGTTTTGTCCAAGGCCTAAACCCACTGCATAGAAACACAGGAGCGTTTTGATCAGGAAAGCTATGGTTTCCTTGGTTATCTCCACTTAATAGGAGCACCCACTTAGTAGTCGGGGACACCTCTTGATCTGCCCCCGCCATGGGTTCAGCACCTCTTCCCACCTTCCCACCCTAAATGCCAGCCCTGGCTCCCCCATCCCCTCTCTGGAGACCACATCTGACCTTGCTTCCTGTCACTCCCCATCCAGGCCTCTCTGGACCTGGATTCTGGATGACTTCTCCTGAGGGCTTCTGTGGCACAGCCTCTGCCCTATTCAGCACCCTTTCCCCAAGGGAACAGGACTGTGTGTCAGGCCTTCAACGCCTGATTCTGTCTCTCCCCGATTCTACTCAGCAGAGCACAAACTCCAACAAAACCAAAACATGTGATTTCCCCATCGCCAGCCCACCTTCTCTATGCTGCCTCACCCTCCACCTGCTCCAAAGGCACCCATCCTCCCTGGGTCAATCCAAATGCCACCTCCTTGAAGTCATCCTTGATTCTGTGGGTACCATCTTTCCAGATCAGCTTCTCCCCTTTGAGATTTGAGAGCACCATGTCCACTCCTATCTGAAGTGAGTGACCTGGTGCTGCTGCACACTATGGCATTCCTCCCACAGGATCCCTTCTCCACTGTGCTGCCCGTCCCATTCCTGTGGAGAGCCTTCTTCCTCCCTTCCTCTTCTCTCCATCTGCCAGCAGAGATGGAGACCACAGGCCCCTGAACTAAGCAGGCCTTCAACACAAATGTATAATTACTGCTTGAATTAAATTCCAGTCAGGTTCAAGTGGGACTATGTGGATTCACCAGCTCTGGAATGTAGCACAAAATCAAGTAAACCACAGGTACAAAATATAAGACATTGCCCAAGGACTAGCACTTACTAAAGAATGCCATAATTTATAGAAAAACAAAGAGGGAAAATATTTATTGTATTCCCTTGAATAGAGTATGCAAACATCTATTTCTCTAATGGCCAAATTCAATGGTGGTGGTATCCACTCCATTCATTCCTGAGATTTACTGAACATCTCCCATGCACCTGGCCCTGGGTTACTCCATAGAGAACTGCCCTTCACCCAGGTCCTTGCCCACTGGGATTTTCCCCAGTGGAGAAACTGCCACTGGTAGCAGACAAATCCTCTTCCACATTCTTCTCACTGTTCCACAGATGCCACTAGGAAAAGTACAAACTAGGCAGAGAAAAAAGCCCCCATGGTCTGGGGCCATTTCGTGGAGGTGAATGGCTTTGCACATCTGAACGGCTTTAGAGCTGTCCCCACATGGCATGGTGAGAGCTTTTCCCACATGGCATGGGGAGATGGCCATTCTAGTTCTCTCAGTCACCAAGAAAGCATTGTTTACATTCTACACAACCTAAAAACAACTTAAAACCTGATATGTGAGAGAATCTTAAAGTATTGTTCTTTAAAATGATAGGTGCTGAGGGGACACTGCATTTCGGCTTGTGATTTGGGCCTCAGGGAATGACATTTGCTCCAGGACACATCTGCCCAAGGGAGCCCTGGGGTGATGTGAGGTCAAGGGCCCGCGGCACGTCAGGCCACAGGCCAGTGTCCCCGTCCTGGGCACAGGCCTGGACTTCATCTGCTTCCTGAGGTCAGGGCCCCAGGTGTGACCTTGAGGACTGCCACCTGTTCTTTAAAGGTGAACTTTTCAGGAACCATGGGAAATGAGGAGAGTGTTTTCAGGAAGCCTCCGACCCTTGTCTGGGCTTCAGTCTTGAGAAGAGCATCAGGGGGCCCTGCAGTGAGCAGGAGGGTCTAGGAACACCGGAGCACATTTGACCTTGTGTGATCTCGTGCTGCTGCACCTGCAGCGACCCTCCCCAGGTGCCCTCTCCCCATTACACCCTCCATCTGATTCATAGCGAGAGTATTCTTCCCCCTTCTCCTTCCCTCCATCCACCAGTAAAGGCCACAGACTTGTCCACATCCCCCTCTGTGACCCTACCACACTGATAGCTGGCCAGGGGCAGGACCACAGGCAGCTCACGTGGCTCCAGGCTTCTTATCCTGCCTCAACCCCGCTGAAGAAAGAAACACTTGTCTCATTGAATAGTTAGAATATGATCTGTGGCTACTGACGATCAAAATTCTCTCTCAAATTCTCAAGTGGAAGGATTTGTATTGTTTTACCTCATTTTACTGACTTTTATATATCATTTATCCTCAAGATGGTCTCAGAAAAATGGATGAGGAAGGATGTATTGAGTTCAGAACTTTTGTCCTGACCATCCCCATTGATGGGCAGATAAGAATCCTCCCCAACCAGCCACCCAGCCATGCAGCAATACCTCTCAGACAATGGTCAGCTCCCTGAGTCCTGGAGACACAAAATCACTCAGGATCTTCAGTCCTGGTGCCCCGCCTGGCATGTGGAAGATGCCCAAGGAAAGGCCAAGAAATGAGGGATGACCCTACCACAGGCAGAAAAGACGTTTTCAATGTTTCCCTTAAATACATCCCCACGGGACACTGGTACAAGTCTTGACCTGTATGAAAATCCACAGGAATTCTGCGTGATTTCAGTTACTGCTCATTGGTCAAATCAGTCATGCGTGTTGGTCCCATGGCCCCTCACCTGCCCTGCAGACCACCCAGGGGCATGGCTGTTCTGATCTGAGAGGCTCAGGCTTTGGGGAACAGAGCACTAAATGTGACAGGTTTATATTTTTCCAGCTACTTCTGCCAAGAAACTAGTCATTTGACATTTCTAAAATGTATATGTAAAGAATTATATGTGGTAATTGAAAGCATCAGGAAGCATGCTATGTGCCAAACAATTAAAAGTAAAAGGCACACTAACACAAGCACATGGCTGGTTAAAAATCTTTAAATTGTAGGTTGTCATTAATCCTGCCTGGGCCCACAGGCTGACACGTCGACACTCCTAAAAGTTTTGTCCTATCTTGAGTAGAGGCCTTATACATTCATCCATGTGGAGGAAGTGCAGGGTAGGGCAGCTGGGAGCCAGAAAGCCAGGAGGAAGCAGGAAGCTCACCAGTGTGCGGCCTGAGGAGAGGCTGGAAGCGCGTTGGTTCCTGCGGCTGCCGTAGCAAATTATCACAAACTGGATGGTTTAAAGCAACGGAAATTTATTCCCTCAATGTTTTGGAGACCAGACTTTCAAGATCAAGGTGTCAGCAGGGCTGGTTCCTTCTGGAGGCCGGGGTAGGGGGAGAATGTGTTCCAGGCCCTCCCCCAGCTTCCAGGGACTTCAGGCCATCCATGTGTCCTGCAGCAACGTCACTCCAGCCTCTGTCTCCATCCTCACATGACCTTCTTCCTAGGGTTTCGGTGTCTTCACACAGCCTTCCTACGGGAACACCAGTCAGTGGATTTTAGGTCCACCCCACCCTAATCCGGGAGGACTTCAGTTTAACTAAGTACATCTGCCAAGACCCTGTTTCTAAGTGAGGCACATTCTAAGGTTCTGGCAGACATGAACTTTGGGGCATGCTGCTGTCCAGCCCAGTACAGGCAGCAAGGCTCGCAGTTTCCAACCGAGTGGGCCAAAGCCACAGCTGTCCCCATGCTATGAGGGCAGCAACATCATCACCTGCTCTAGGGCAGTTCAATCAACTGCGCGTCAGGGCACAGAGCTCTGCCTTCTGCAGCCCCCAAGCCCCGACTGCATCCCTGTTGGTCCCTTTCAGATGTGTGGTGGCGATGCCTCTGAATGCTTCCTATTCAAAAGCTCACTGGAGCTTCTGGTTCTTCCAGGCAGGAATGGCTTCGTGGCAGTGAGTTTCGCATCCCTGAAGATGGCCCTCATTCCAGAAGGCATTGGTGTGGGCACCAGGATTAACCCAGAATGCCACCCGCCCCACCTGTTGCCTGCCTTCCATGAGACTCGGCCCAGGGCAGGTGTTCATCTGAATTGCACAACCCTGGGCAGCCATCATCATGAGAGGAGGGGAGACCACACTGACTTCTCCAAGGGCCTTGCAGAAGAGACATTACTTGAAGTTGTCCTCAAGTAAAGAGGAGAGTGTTCAGAAGAAGGAGTCGTGTGAATGCAGGAGGGTGGGAAAATGCAGGGCGCATAGGAAGCCCTAAGTGGCACAGTGTGGATAAAAGCACAGGACATGTGCAAGGCCGAGGCTGACGGGATGGCAGGGAGGCAGCGCCAGGGATGCTGGGCTGCGGATCCTTGCTTGAATCCTGCAGACCGTGGTCGCCGGGAGAGCAGGTGACATCACCTCATTGTGCTTTGGGAAGATTAAAGAGCAATCGTATGAGGCTGAATCAAAGTGGCTGAAGAAGAAGACAGAGAAGCTATTCCCAGCAGGGACAAGGGTCTTACCACGTCCTGAGGCCCCTCTCTCAGAAGAATGAGTTTTTAAGGCAGAAAAACACACACGTGATTGCAATAGAAATCCATTATAATGAACTATGGTTTTCAAATGTTTTGGAAAACAAATTTGTGATATGGAAACATATGAGCTCCTTTATGAATATGCTAAACAAGCTCTCAGGCAGCAGGTCCAATAACCACAGGACTTCCAAGCACTGGTGAACATGAATGGATTTCTAGATATCTGCAACAACTCTAAAGTGATACGGAAGAGGTCTGCATTGTTCCCATGGATTTTAATGACGTTCAAGGCTTCAAATGTTCAGTAAGATCAAAGGTACAACAGCGCCCCCCAGAAGCCAGCCTGCTCTGGGGACAAAGTCCCATCCCAGGTCACTGCTCATAGCACTGAGCTTTGAGATCTGCATTCACAGGGAAGAAAATGTTAAATTTCAGTTAGAGGCTAATGAGCGTAAAGATGTGATTTTTCCCCATCCTAGTTCACAGGTGCCCTGTGTTCTATCCTGATGAAAACAACTGCTAGAGCTACACAAGGAGGTGTCAGCCTACAATGGGGTGGAGAGTATGAGGGTGTGGAAAAGAAGACAGAAAAAAATGTTAGAACCAACTGATGGGGGCCGCAACCTCAGTGGGGAATAGGGAGGCCTGAGATCCGGGAGGCTGAGCCTCCGCCAGGGTCCCAGGAGAATGAGGCCCCCCGAACAGGAAGAGGAACAGCTGAAATAGGGGCCATGTAGGCAGAAGGTGACCTCAGCTTTGGTGACCACTAGAAACAGGATGTCTACATGGAAATGCTCAGCTGACCACTGAGACACAGGCTTGTAGGCAAGTAAACAACGCTGGGAGTCTCCCAGGAAGCAATCGCCTGTGCCTGCTGGAGAAGTGGCATGGACAAACATTCTGGCTGATGTGCTTTTAGGGCCCTCGTACAATTTCAGCCCCCCCCCATTATAGAATCTTCAAAAGCAACTCTCACCCCCGCATCTCCCCACCAGCCCTTCTGAATAAGAAAGAGTACCCAGGGATGCTTGGGGGTGTTTAGCCTTGGCCTGAGACCACCAGAGATCTGGGAAAAAGAAGAAACAGACAGGTTAAGAAGCGGGTGGTTAAGCTGGGCAGGCCAGAGATGAAGGGAAAGGCTACAACTGAGAAAAACAGGGCAGAATGCACCACGTCAGAGCGGTATAGAAGGTACAGAAGGTCAGAACGAGGTATAGACTCTGCTGGGGGCTGGGGACAGGCACAGATCTCAGGAAAGGTCAGGACAAGGGCAGCTTTGGGCAGACGGGCTGCCACGAGGACTCCCGCCTTGTGGGGCACAGGAGGGGAGAGCCGTGGCATAGCATCCATGTTTGCCCCTGCAGGTCAGGCTGAGCTGTGGCTTCAAAAGAACCTTGGCTTCTTTGGCAGGCTGAACACACAGTCCGGTGATGTTTTGCGGGTGCTGTTACCAGTGTATCTGCAACCACCCCCTACCCCCACCAGCTTGTTCAAGCCCTTGCACCTGGAGCAGACAGTTCAGGCACCCCCACTGCCCACCAGGCTCCAGACCTGCCCAGAGCTTTGTGAGTGACTGGGAACCTCAGGTGCACGGCACAGTATTTGGCTATGAATAGTGCCTGGACTCTGCTTGTCACCCACCTGCTTTGGGGGCCCATCAGAGCAAGTGGCAGGGGACAAGGAAGCATAGAATGTGCCAGAATCTCCAGAAGCTGTTAGCATTGATGTGGAAAGGCCCGAAGAATGTGGGCCCGTCAGACATACCCTCTTTCTGCGGGGATGGAAACATGCTCCATTCCAAGGCATGAATTCAGGTCACACCTCGTTTTCTTTAGTTTAAAAAATGCATAGATAACAAACTATTTTCATCTTTAGAAATGGCATAAATGTCATTAGAAGCTAATCTGAGCTTATTGGCTTTATTTAACTCGTGACAGGTATAGAATACAACATTAAAAATGCAATTGACTTGGGCATTGGGGAAGAAACAAACCCATCGGATGGATGTCCTTTTGGCAAGAAGAGATATTTATGTCTCATGGTTCTTAAAATTCTTACAGTCACATCCCAAAGTAGGACTATGGTACTTTATTATTCCGAATTTCTCAATTCTTGGCTGTTAACATTGATCAGATGGAAAAAAAAAAAAAAAGGACTCTCCTGAAATTAAAATATTTCCCAAGGAAATAAAGTCGATTGAGAGTCGAAGAGAGGTTTGGTCAACTCACCTAACAGAAAAACACTGTGTCTGTGATGGTTGATTTCATGTATCAACTTGACTGGGACATGGCTGCCCACACATTTGGTTAAACATCTTCTTGGGCGTGTCTGGGAGAGTATTTCTGCATGACAAACATTTGAATTGGTAGACTGAGTATAGCCGATTGTCTTCCCCACTACTGGTGGGCCTTATCCAGTCAACCGAAGACCTGAACAGGACAAAAGGGCAAAGTAAGAGGGAGCTCCTCCTGCCCTATGCTTGGCTGGGATGTCAAGGATTTTCCTGCCTTCAGACTGAAACTTGCACCATCCACTCTCCTGGGTCTCCAGCTTGCCTGCCAACCACAGATGGTGGGACTCATCAGTGTCCACAATCATATGGGCCAATTCTCTCTCTCTCTCTCTGTATATATGTATGTATATACACACACATACACATTTATACATGCACACATATATACGTTAGTGTATATATACATATATATGTGTGTATCTAGACACACATATACATATACATGTGTATATATACATGCATAGATTTATGTATGTCTATGTGTATACATATACATATATGTCTACATACATGTATACACATATATACAGTCACATATATGTATATATATACCCATGTATACACAGACAGACACACACACACATCTTGTTGATTTTATGTCTTTGAAGAGCCCTGACAAATATACTATCTACCTATAAACCATTTATTCATTCAGTGATTTAACAAATATTTGTTGAGCACTATGATACACTTTGCTAACTTTATACATAGCATTGACTATGGCATTATTCAAAAACGATACCATGATATTCTCTGGAAGCCAGCCCCACCCTAACTCCAAGCTTGTGTGTTTTGGCTGGGACTGACCCCACCTCTCTTGCATTTCAAGATTTCAAGTAAATGCAAGACTTGGGCCTGGCAAATCCTCATACCCCATGCTGCAGCCATGAAGATCAGTTCAGGACGGGACATGTGACCCAAGATCACCCAGTGAGAATCCTGGGACCCCAATCTTGGAATCATCAGGGAAAGACCCTTTCTTTCTGCTGTAATTTTCAGGGAAAACAGGGAAAGCACTGGAGTTGCTGGGACCAGCCCACGGAAACCCACCCGAGAGCTTAGGTGGCACACACAGAAGAGACCACACAATGACAGTCTAGCTAAGGCCCTGAATCTCCAGTGCTTTTCAACTCTGTGTGCAAATGAATTTCCTGTTTGCCACTGAGATGGGGGTGCCTGCCACTTGCAACCCAAAGAACTCCACTTTTCTTTCTGACACCAGGAAATGTTCTACTACGGCGAAGACATGAGACTACCTTTGTTGGGTTCAACAGAGCAGATTCCCAAGATGAAAGCAAATGACTTCCCATTCTAACCCACACAAAAATCTGAGACACCAGCAACCACCTTGTCCCCTCCGTTTTCAGAAAATGAAGTCATGCAAGGTATGACGTGGCTGGCTCCTGGTCACAGGGCAAGTGGTTCCTCAGGGACAGAATCTGGTTACTGGTTTGGGGTCAAAGTTCTCCAGAGCATGGACCTCTCCCACACTCCAGAATGAGGAAATGCTGTCCAGAATAAGACCCACTGCCAAGAAGAGCACCTGGGGAGCCTAAATAGAGAAAATGGTGCCTGCTGACCACTGGCTGTACCTGCACGACTTTAAGAAAAAGAGGGAGGTATTTTACATCTATTTCTCCCACACACGTATGTTTGTTGCACATCAGCTATGTCTGTCCTCCTTATTGGTTGTTAATCTGATTTTCTTCCACTGTCTTCTCATTCACTGACTTAAGAGGATATAAAAATTCACTCTAACCAATGTGGACACCTGTGAAAATCAGGAAAGAGAAAATGAAGGTCTGGAGTAAGCTGGATTTCTCTTCACGACTGCCTTGGCATCATCAGGACACCAGTGTGTAACCCATATTAATCTCATGGGTGTGTAACTGTTGTGGCACCTCCACCAGCTCATAGTACAAAATGTGCTCACACACCTGTTAGTAATCAACTTAGTAACACTGTATATCTAAGCTGCTTTTGTGAGAATGCTTTTTCTTCCTTCAGCTTGGGACCTCCCTATCATGAAACCCCAGTCCCAGGCTCACTTAGTCTCCTGTGGAGCAGAGGGAGAGACCCAGGAAGTCGGCTCAGTCGGCCTGAGGTCTGGCTCCTGCTGTGGTCTGTGATGCAGCCCCATGACATGCCAAGTGGCCCAGTGGCTCAGCCCAGATCCTGCCCAGCACGGCATCAAAGGCAAGGTCCCACCACTGGTCCAGCGCTGGTTTCCCCGAATTAGTGGAAGAAAACCTCTCCACAGTGTTATGCTCAGCCGTGATCATGTCAAGCCACTACAGGCTTGGGCCGGACGCCCAATTCTTTAGGGACAGTCCTCTTAATTTACATGTACACAGCAATTTTCCTGAGGCAACTCGAGGTGCTGGGTGGCTGGGTCAGACGCTCCTTGTCAGGCACACACTGTGTCTGGACATGTAGATGTGGTTCTTTTCTAGGACTTTGGAAAGGAGCACCATTTTCTTGGTGTCCACAGGAAGTGTGGCTTGCCAAGGTTCACCAGCATAACTGAACCACCGCTAGCCCAAAATTTAGGGGGAGGGATACAGGAGCTGAGTAGGGGGTTAGGCCTGGGCTCATTCCAAGAGAATTGAATGAGAAACAACTCCTGCCCTTCCCACCATGCGTACACACGCACACACACACACACACACAGAGAGAGAGAGAGGAATCTGCTGCAACGTGCCACAAATTCCTGCCCTAGGAAAATTGACAGTGACTGTCAATGTCCCCATGGCTCCCAAAAGGCAATTACAAAAAGAAAAACAAACCAGTGTTGGTCCACTTCCCAGAGGCCAGGCTGACCAGCCTTGCTGGGAGTCACCTTGTGAACCAACGCTGTGCATTCCAATCTTCTTTGATACAGAAAAGGCTCGGCATCAATCAGTGCTAATTGCAGGTTTCTGTGCTTCTTTCCTGGCTTAAGCTGTTTTGCAAAAATTACATTTCATTACATTTTATACTAATCAGCTTCAAGAACAGAGTGCAAAATTAACTTGAAATAATTTCATGCTCTCAGGTAACCTTTATTTTCTAAATTGTGGTGTTTTGCAGTAACTGTTTTATCCTACTGTATAATAACAGTGTTCTTTGCATTAGGGTATAGCACTTATAGAACAGCTGTTATCTTAATCAAATATCAATAGCTCATCTTTATTTCAGTACTAAGTCAACAGCACATGCCATTTGTTACTTCATAAACTTCAATACCATAAGTGTTATCAGTTAAATAAGTGCTCTCTAAAGTGTGGTTTAATGAATCAGAATCAATTTAAAAGACAGTGTGTCTTGAAATCCTGAAATCTGCAAAATTTCGTACTTTGATAAAATATCAAAATCTTCAGGTAACCAAATGTTCAGCTGTATTTTGAACATGAACCCTCTTCTAACGAGTCCTCCTATAATACGGTTTCACTTAGAATATAAGATAGAACATAAATGTCTAACACCCACCTAACTGGAAATCTGCCTCCTTCTTTTGTACTTTTGTTCTTTCTCAATACATTTTTAATACAATTTTGCCCAAACTTGCCCCTCAGAAGCCAGTATTCAAGCAAAGAAATATCATGCTTATTATAGCTTAACAATCACATATGTAAATACGATTTGGAGATTCCAGTAAACTGTAAGCTAGCTCCAGACAGCAAAAAAACAGAAAACATCAGAAAGTCCAAAGTAATCTTGCACTACCTTGATAGAATCCTAACATCTAGGAAGCAGGAGGTAAGAGACACACCCTATCATTGGAACTTGCCTGTAGTGTCATACTTAAATACGAGCACCTCACTTGGAAGGGAAAAGAAACAATAGTTGTGTTTCAGTGAAGAACAACCTAGATGGAAAAGGAACTGAAATCAGGCCCTTAGAAATACAGAGGAAGGTTGGTCACAAGGCTTGCATATATGTCAGAGTGGTGGTACTCAGCTAATCAGTAAAATTTACAGGTGAGGAGGCACTTTCTGACACTTACAGGTGACCAGACATGAAACAAGGCACTGTAATAAGGTCAGTTGATTATACTTCTAGATGGAAAGCTGTAGAGAAAAGACATAACAAGTGGTTTTCTAGTATCTGCCATAAAAAGTAAGTATTCATTGAAATATCCTGTAAGCAGAGACTGGCAGTCTCCTTGAGTTAAGGAGATTGAGCAGGAACTCCACAAATGTCAGAGGCCAGAGTTCACAGGGTGGATTACACTAGAGGAGGGAGCTGCGCACAGGGCAGAGTACACAGAGGAGGGAGCTGCACACAGGGTAGAGTACACAGAAGCAGGAGCTGCACATAGGGCCGAATATATGAGAGGAGAGAGCTGCACATACAGCAGAGTACACAGAGGAGGGAGCTGCACACAGGGCGGAGTACACAGAGAAGAGAGCTGCACACAGAGCGGAGTACACGAGAGGAGAGAGCTGCACGCAGAGCAGACTACATGAGAGGAGAGCTGCACACAGTGCAGAGTACATGAGAGGAGAGCTGCACACAGGGTGGAGTACACAGAGGAGGGAGCTGCACACAGGGCGGAGTACACAAGAGGAGGGAGACACACACAGGGTGGTGTACACAGAGGAGGGAGTCACACACAGTGTGGTGTACACAGAGGAGGGAGCTGCACACAGAGCAGAGTACATGAGAGGAGAGCTGCACACAGGGCGGAGTACACAGAGGAGAGAGCTACACACAGGGCAGAGTACACAGAGGAGGGAGCCGCATACAGGGCAGAGGACACAGAGGAGGGAGCTGCACACAGGGAGAACTCCAAAGATCTGCAGAAAGTTTCTCTTGAATATTCAGCAGAGCACTGATTAGTGCATCATGTTAAAAAAAAAAAAAAAAAACAACTACCCAAGACCGAGAAAAGAACTACCTGAAAATATTAGAGGGAGCAATCACTAACACTTACACAGGGCCAGGAGTACACAGAGGAGGGAGCTGCACACAGGGCAGAGTATGCAGAGGAGGGAGCTGCACACAGGGTGAAGTACACAAGAGGAGGGAGACACACACAGGGCTGAGTACACAGAGGAGACAGCTGCACACAGGGCAGAGTATATGAGAGGAGAGAGCTGCACACAGGGCAGAGTACACAGAGGAGGGAGCCGCATACAGGGCAGAGGACACAGAGGAGGGAGCCGCATACAGGGCAGAGGACACAGAGGAGGGAGCTGCACACAGGGCGGAGTACACAGAGGAGAGAGCTGCACACAGGGAGAACTCCAAAGATCTGCAGAAGGTTTCTCTTGAATAGTCAGCAGAGCACTGATTAGTGCATCATGTGAAAAAAAAAACTACCCAAGACCAGGAAAAGAACAATCTGAAAAAATTAGAGGGAGCAATCACTAAAACTTACACAGGGCCAGGGATACTGCCTATTCCCACCAGCCAGAGTGGAAAAATCATAAGTTACAAGGCATAGGGTAGAGTACTCAGAAGAGTTTTACCTCAGTAGTGAGGAAAGTTAACAGATGATTAAAAATTTCTGTGTCCATCTAAGTTTTTTGTCCAAACTTCACCCACCAAAGGGCAAGTTTGGACAAAAGTGTATTAAAAAATTATTAAGAAAGAGCAAATTACAAATAAGGGAGGCAGATTTCCAGTTAGGTGAGTGTTAAACATTTATATCCTATCTTATATTTTAAGTGAAACCATATTATGTGAGGACTCATTAGAAGCATAAAAGCAAAACCTGAAAGGATCAAACTATTTCCAAGGAACTTAACCGTGGTGCAGAACAAAGCTCAAGAATATGTATAGGAATAGAAAAATAGCCAGCATACAACAAGGTAAAATTAACAATGAGTGGCATCCAATCAAAGATTACCAGGCATACAAAGAAGCAAGAAAATAATATTCATGATGAGGAGAAAAGGCAATCAGTCAAAACTGGCCCAGGATTGACACAAATGATAAGATTAGTAGAAAAGGGGATAAAACAGTTATTGTAACTGCCCCATGTGTTCCAGAAGATAGAGCAAAGACTACACATGTTAAGAAGAGCTGTGAAAGACATTTAAAAGACCCGAATTAAAATTCTAGAAATGAAAACTATAAGTTATGAGATAAAAATAAATATAATGGGTGGAGTTAATAGTAGATCCAACATTGCAGAAGAAAAGTAGTGAACTTGAAGATACAGCAATAAAAACCATGTAAAATTAAACACTGGGAAAAGGGCTCAAGACACCCGGAGTGTTAGTTACTCCGTTTAGTAAAAATTAATATTGTTACTTCATAAACTTCAATACCATAAGAGTTATCAGTTAAATAAATACTCTCTAAAGTGTGATTTAATGAATCAGAACCAATTTAAAAGACAGTCTGATTTGAAATCCTGTAGTGGAATCCTGGCTTGAAATCCTGTAGACTTCAAATGGCCAAATATACATGTAAAAAGAGTTCCTAAGGGAGAGGAGAGGTTGGGGATAACATGGCCAAAGTTTTCTAAATTTGATGAAAACATAAATACATAGGTCAAAAAAGCTCAACAAACCTCAAGCACATTAAACATGAACAAAACTACACAAAAGAGCATTATAATGAAATTGTTCAGTACCAGTAATTTAAAAAATCTTAAAAGCAGCCAGAAAAAAAGGGGTCACATTACCTGGGGAGGAAAATAAGGATAACAGCAGATGTCTCATTGGAAACAGTGCCAGCTGTCAATCTAAAATTCTTTACTCAACAAACATACTTCACAAAAATGAAGACAAAATAGTTTTTCAGGAATACAAAAGCTATAACTATTATTACCAATAAAATTGTACCACAAGAAACACTAAATGAAGTCTTTCAAGCAAAAGGAAATGAGAACAATTGGAAACATGGATCTACACAAAGGAATAAAGAATACTGGAAGTGATAATTTATGAGTAAATAAAAGACAATTACTCTTATTATTTAAATCTCTTTATACTTGATTGTTAAAACCAAAAATAATAATGCATAGTGTATTTATAATATATGTAGGAGTAAAATGTGTGGAAAGGATAGATCAAAGGGTGAGAGGGGAGACATAGAAGTACACTATTACGAGGTTCCCACAAGATACATAAAGTCAGATAATATCACATGGAAGTAGAATGACAAATTAAAGATATAAACTACACATTCTACAGCAACCCCTAAAACAACAAAACAAGGAGTTATAGCTAAGAAGCCAATAAAAGAGATAAAATAGAATCATAAAAAATATACAATTAATTCAAAATAAGACAGAAAAAGAAGAAATAGGAACAAAAAACAAATGGAACAAATGGAAACAAATAGCAAGATAATAGACTTAAAACTAACTACGTCAGTAACCTCATCAATATAAATGAGCACAACACAACAATTAAAAGGCAGATCATCAGGACAGACTTTAAAAAGCAAGGCTGAATTGTGTGCTCCCTAGGAACCCTTTTTAAATATAAAGACACAAATAGTTTTAATGTAAAATGATGGGAAAAGATATATCATTCTAAGTCCAAGCAAAAGAAAGGCACGGTGGATATATAATATCAAAGTCAACAAGCAAGTTAGCAGGGATGAAGAGGCTCATTTTATACTGATAAAGGGGTTGATTCATTAAGAAGCTGTATCAGTCCTAAATGTTTATGAAGCCAATGATAGAGCTCAAAGTACATAAAGCAAAAATTAACAGATCTGAAAGGAGAAATAAACAGATCAACAGTTGCAGCCAGAGATTTCAACAACTCAATGATGGAAAGAAAAAATAGACAGAAAATTCATAAAGATATATCAGTAGAAGACTCAAACAACACAATGAAGCAAGTCGACTTAATTCACAATGATAGAACACCTCACCCAATAACAGCAGAACACATATTTTTTTTGAGTTGCATGTGAAACATTAACCAAGACAGACTATACCTGGTGTTATAAAACATGTCCCCCAACATTGAAAAGAATTCATGTGTGTGTGTGTGTGTATACCTATTCTGCTCTCTGGCCAGAATAGAATTGCATTAAAAATCAATAACAAGGCCGTACATGGTGGCTCATGCCTGTAATCCCAACAGTTTGGGAGGCCGAGGCAGGTGGATCACGAGGTCAGGAGATCGAGACCAGCCTGGCTAACATGGTGAAACCCCGTCTCTACTAAAAATACAAAAAAATTAGCCGGGCATGGTGGCAGGCACCTGTAGTCCCAGCTACTCGGGAGGCTGAGGCAGGAGAATGGCGTGAACCCAGGAGGCGGAGCTTGCAGTGAGCCGAGATTGCAACACTGCACTCCAGCCTGGGCAACAGAGTGAAACTCTGTCTCAAAAAAAAAAAAAAAAAAAAATCAATAACAAAGATAACTGGCAAATCCTTAAGTCACTGAAAACTAAATAGCACACTACAGGGAGGTAGGTGAAATAATACCCCACAAAAATATCCACATCCTAATCTCAGGAACCTGTGCATATGTTGCCCTACATGGCAAAAGGGACTTTGCAAATGTGACAGAATGAAGGCTCTTGAGATGGAGTACCCTGGGTCACCTGGGAATGGGCTTTTTCCCCTGTAGCCTCCAGGATGAATGTGGTAGATTCCAGCACCTAGATTTTAGGAGCATTACCACAATAACAAACGTGTGCTGTTGTGAACCACCAAGTTCGTGGTAGGAAACTACAACAAACGGTAAGTTCCCAGGTGGCAGCTTCCTCCCCAGCACACAGCCCAGCACCCTCCCTGTGGGAAACACCCAAGAATCCGTGAACACACACACGACTGGGTGGACAGTTCTCTGGGACAGCTAGAAAATGATAAGTGACAATATCAGGGTCATTTTCTTTTCACTGCACTGAAAAAAATTCACACAGAAAATTAATTAAGAATTTTAATTCCCACTCCCTCCCAATAAACAGCAACATCAAGAAGATCTGAGATGTCAGAACAACTGAGTCAAATCTGAGCCACATCTGAGCTCAGCTCTGGAAGACAAAGGTATGAGGCTGGCACAGGGGAGGTGCGGGGGAGAGGGAGACTCTTCTAGTGCCAAAACGCTTAACGAAGGCCTCGCAGACCCTGGAAACCCACAGTGAGACACATTCCTCTAAGCATGGGGAGACACATTAAGCCAAGTGAAGTCAGCCAGACCCAAAAGGAAAAATGCTGCATGATGTGTCTTATATGTGGAATTTTAAAAAATCAAATACGTAGAAACAGAGAGAAGAACGTGGTTACCAAAGGTGGCAGGGGGTGGGGAGAAGTGGCTCCCTCCACCCGCCGAGGCGAGCACTTCTTTCTGACTCGTAGTCCTTCAAAACATCCTCTCCAGAGGGAACTCACAGCTGCGTAAACAGAGTGCAGTCACTTGACCTCTGATGACCTGCTTCAACTTTCTTAAAGGGAATAGTAATATCTATTTCACCGGTGATGGTGGGAGCATAAATGAGGCGACGTGTGGATGTGAGCACCTGTAGAAAGAGGCTCCTGGAAATGTCAGCGGCATCAGAGCTGAGCTGTCATCCTCAGATCCAATACAGCTTCTATGGCAAGCTCCGCGTGGGGCTCTGCATTCTTCCATATCAGTGACTTGAGTTTCATAGCACACATTGCATCTTTTTAGGGTAAGCCTGTTTGTTATCTTGTCATCCTCTTTGGTTGACTTTTCATACTGCCTCTAGAGCAAATTGTTAAAACTTAAATTAGGAAACAACCCTGCTAAAAACAAAAATCCATCTCCAACGGCTCCCGGATGTCTCCAGGATGAAGCCTGCCCTCTTTTGCCTGGCATTCAAGACCTTTCAAGAATACCCGCTACCTCTATCACTCCACTCCAGACTCAGACAAACTAGAAATCCCAGACAGATGTGCTTGGAGCAGTCAGCCCCATGCCTAGCACCTTGCAAATGTCCATTATTTCTCTAGTGAATTCTTGAATTCAGGGGCCATGGGTACTCGTATCTCCAGCACCTAACCATGCCTGGCACACAGACAGAATTGCGTGCGGATGCAGAATGACGTGTCCTGCAAAAGACATCCACGTCCTGATCCCTGGAACCTGGGAATAGAATATGTTACCTGTGAATAGAATATTGCTTTTCTTTTTTTTTCTTTTTGAGACAGAGTCTTGCTCCATAGCCCAGGCTGGCGTACAGTGGCGTGATCTCGGCTCACTGCAACCTCTGCCTCCTGGGTTCAAGCGATTTTCCTGGCTCAGTTCTTGAGTAGCTGAGATTACAAGTGCCTGCCACCAAGCCCGGCTAATTTTTGTATTTTTTTAGTGGAGACGAGGTTTCACCATGTTGGTTAGGCTGGTCTTGAATGCCTGACCTCAGGTGAACTGCCCACCTTGGACTCCCAAAGTGCTGGGATTACAGGCGTGAGCCACTGCGCCCAGCCAGCATGTTAGTCTTACCTGGCAAAAGGCATCGAGTTGATGCAAAAGGAAGAATTAAGGTGGCTACTCAGCTGACCTAGAGATGGCAGACCTATCCTGGACCTTCCTGGTGGGCTAACGGAATCACAAGGGTCTTTATAAGTGTGGAGGGAGACAGAAGAAAGAGAGGCAGAGAGATGCAGTGTGAGGAGGACTCAGCCCAACGGTTGTTGGTTTGAAGATGAAGGAAGGGGTCACAGGCCAAGGCAGACAGGGCATCTCAGAGCTGGAACACACAAGGGAACAGGTGCTCCCTGGAGCCTCCAGAAGGAACACAGCCCTCCTGACCCCTTGCTTTTAGCCCGGTGAGACCCATTTCAGATCTCTGACCTCAGGAACTGGCAGATAATAAATTGTTGCTTTAAGCCTGTACATTTGTGAAGACTTGTTTCAGCAGTGAGAGGAAACTTGTACACGCAGCTCACTCGGTGGATGAGAAATGAGTGGATGAAACTCCTGCTGCCCTCACACTTGTGGCTTCCGTATTACACATTATTCGTTTTTGCTTCCCAACCCCCATGCCTTTTCTTCTAGTGGCAGCACCTAGATTTCCTCTGGAGAGCCACCTGCCTTCTTCTCTAATCCAAGGGGCCCAGGGGAGGCTCACATGAGCCCGAGGGGCCAGGCCCCAGGTCTGGTTTGTCCAACCAGAACACACGTTCCTCTGGCCAGGGATGGGTTCAGAAATGGAGACATTATCAGAACCGACCCAGCAACAGCCAGCCATGGCACTTTCGCTGCAACTCTTAGAAAAGTCGAGGTCGCAGGTCTTTGTCTGTGGCAGGAAAGTGAAGGAGGAGGTGCTGAGCTGTCGAGTGAAGATGAGATTACAGATGACATGAAGACACGGGGACGGATGCTTAACTGTGCCGCTTGAACTCCTAGATCCAGCCACGCCAGGGACACAGGCGAGCATGGTTCTTTGGAGCTTAAGTTATTTTGCTAGGTTTCTGTCATTGCAATTTTTTTAAATGTAGTCTCACACCTCTAGAACCTTTGCTCAAGCCACTCTTTAACCTAGACAGTGTCCTCCCCACCCTCTAGAACTCAGCTAAACTCCTGCTGCACCTGAAAAGCCTTCCCCAAACCCAGATGATGCTCGCCTCCCTCCCAACACTCCCAGGCGGTTCTGCAGTAACCAGGAAGGCTCTTGCCCATCCTCACATGATGTTAAATCCTTGGTCCATGCCTTGTTTGTCTTTACAACCCCCGTCCCTGCTGCTGGAAGCTGGCCTTGGACTTACAGGGAGGCGCGTGTCTGCTAAATGGAATTCTTTGTTGCAAGGAAACAGCCATGCACACATCACTACCCATCTCACTGCCTGCCGGCTCCTGGGAGTTGGCAAAGACCGGATGGCAGTTTCTGCCGTGAGCTGCTATTTCCCATGCAGGGAAGTGAGTGACACTGAGAACGGGAGCCTTCAGCACCATGGGGTCGGCGAGAACAGCATTCTATCATGCTCCACCAACCTTTGGAAATTGCAATTCTGATTCTTGAGGCACTACATAAAAGCTTACCTTGACACAAAACTAATTACGTGTGCCTCAAACAATTATGCAAAACAGGTAGAGTGCTTTCAACATAAAACAATAGGTATAGAGGAAATGGCACTGCAGATACTCTTGTAAACATGGTGAAGGCACCACCCTGCTCAGGAGAAATCTACAAAGGCTTTGTGAAAGTGTGCCACTGAGATTCAAATGGGAACTGGCCATTCGCCATTGTCACAGAACACAGTGGGCCTCATGCATCCCACAAACACGTACTGAGTCGAGGCCACCATATTTTCACATTCGTGAAACATAACGGGTCTCATAGCAGCCTCTATACCTGATTTAAGTGATAAAAATAGGACATTACTCTTTCCGCATAGTTCTAACGGGCACCTCAAACTTAAGGTGCCCAAACAGAACCCCAGAACTCCTGGCTGCTTTTCTTTTTTTTTCTTTTCTTTCTTTTTTTTTTTTGAGGTGGAGTTTCGCTCTTGTTGCCCAGGCTAGAGTGCAATGGCGCAATCTCGGCTCACAGCAACCTCTGCCTCCCGGGTTCAAGCGATTCTTCTGCCTCAGCCTCCCGAGTAGCTGGGATGACAGGCAAGTGCCACTACACCTGGCTAATTTTGTAGTTTTAGTAGAGACGGCATTTCTCCATTTTGGTCAGGATGATCTCGAATTCCCAACCTCAGGTGATCCGCCTGCCTCGGCCTCCAAAAGTTCTGGGATTACAGGCGTGAGCAACCAGATGTGTACGTCGTTTCCCTACTCTGAGTCCCCAGTTCCTCAAGTGGAAGGAGGGTGTCAGAGGGGCTGAGATAACCGACATCAAGCATCAGCCTCCAAAAATGTTGGATGTGCCATCATCTCTCTTCTTTCTCCTCAGTGTGACCACAGTAGACTGTTAGCAGGTCATTTCACAATTTTTATTTTAAAGCCTTCAATAAGTCAGCATTTTCCAAACAGCATATAGAGATCGTTACAGATGACACAGAGTTGAATGAAATCCATGGTGTTGACAGACGGAGGGTCCTAATGTGTGCAGGACAATGGGATGACCGACCCTTTGCTCTAACAGGATCCTTGGTGAGGAAACCAAGGTCCCCTTGTGTGATATCACACTCCAGACACCACACTTCGGAGCAAAACACTTTCTGCATTTAACGAACAATCTAGCTGCAAGGTAAAGAAGCCATTAGTCATGGCCAGAGTGATCAGGGTTGCCTTCTTGGAAAATTGTGGGACTTCAGCAAAGCCTTTAATGTGACAAGAGAGTCAAGGGGGCTGGGAGGCCTCCCATAGACTCTAAGGCTTGCACCTTTGCTCACACTGTCTGCTCCCATCCCCCATGCCTATCCTGCCAAAGTGCTACACAGAAAGTAGCTGACATGCATGGTTTAAGGTGACACCACTCTCAAGTCCTAAACCTCACCCCCACCCCAACCAACTGTGAACTCTTGGATTAATTTCTGGTTTTGTTGGGGTTTTTTTGTTTGTTTGTTTGGTTGGTTTTGTTTGTTTTTGGAGACAGGGTGTCACTCTGTCATTCAGGTTGGAGTGCAGTGGTGTGATCAAGGCACAGTGCAGCCTCCACCTCCCAGGCTCCAGCAATCCTCTCACCTCAGACCCCCAAGTAGTTGGGACCAGAGGCACGTGCTACCAAGCCCAACTAATTTTTGTATTTTTTGTAGAGAGGGGGTTTCCATGTTGCCCAGGCCGGTCTTGAATTCCTGGGCCTAAGCAATCTGCCTGCCTTGGCCTCCCAAAGTGCTAGGATTAATCCAAGAGGCCTTCAGTCACCACACCTGGCCTCTTGGATTAATTTTATAACCTCCTAGAGCCAGCGGTCTTCTCTTGCAAAGGTGATAACAGTGCCTGCTTTTGCAGATTTGCTATGAAGATGAAAAGAGATCCTGCACATAGAGTGCCTAGCACAGCACTAGACACACATCTTGTTACCAGGAGCCCTTGCCGCCTAATGACCTCCTTTCATGGGCCTCCCCTAAGCATTTGGCCACAGCCCTCACAGCCCCATCACCATTGGGCCCGAGTAGTTATACATTGCTGTGTGCCCTCATCTCAGGGTGAGTCCAAGGGATCTGGCAGGAGCCATGGAGAGGCCTGGGAGGTATTCATAGAGGAGCCCAGGACTTCACGAGAGCTCCCACCCACTCCTGCACATTGGATGGAGTCAGTGATGATTATGATAATGATGATGATAAAATATCAGCTAAAATTTCCAGGGGACTTACTCCATGCATGTTGCATTGTAGATATGATTTCATTTAATCTTCAGACCCTCTGAGAGTGGCACTCTTACTCCTCCCATTTGAAGATGATAAAACTGATGCCTATGGTTAATAACTTGTCGAATGTTATGGACAGATGTCTCGCAATTCTTGCCATAAAATGTTCCATAATATTCCTTTTAGGTTCTTAAAAGTCTGTAAAATCTGTAATGATGCCCCCGTTCTCATTCCTAATATTGATCATTTGTGTCCTCTTTCCTTCTTTTGAATCAGTCCAGCTAGCGTTTGGTCAAATTTATTCATTTCTTCAAAGACCGAGCTTTTTTTATTGTACTGATTTTTCTCTATTTTTCTGTTTTTAATTTTGTTAATTTCTGCTCTTGTCTTTATTATTTCCTTCTTTCTGGTTGTTTTGGAATTGATTGGCTCTTCTTTTCCTAATTGCTTAAGAAAAAAACTATATTCCTGATTTGAAATCTTTCTTGATTATAAAAAAATTTAATGCTATAAACTTTTCTCAAAGTGTTCCTTCAGTTGTATCCCACAAGTTTTATGTTTACGTGTTTTCATTTTCATTCAGTGGAAAATAATTTATCATGCTCTGTGCCTTCCTCTTTGACTTCTAGGTTATTTAGAAGGTTGCCTTTTGGTTTCCAAATTTGGGTGAATTTTCCAAATATCTTCTGTTATAGATTTCTAATGGAATGTCTTTGTGGTCAGAGAATATAGTTTATATCATTTAAATTCTTTTAAATATCATGAGGTACTGAAGTTTATTTTATGGCCAAGAATACAGTTTATCTTGGCAAATGTTCTATGTGTACTTGGGGAAAAAATGTGTATTCTGCTGTTGTTGGATGGATTGTTCAATAAATGTCAATTAAATCGAGCTGATAGTGCTATTCTGGTCTTCTATACCTTTACTGATTTTCTGTTTACTCATTCTATTGATTACAGAGAGAAGAGTATTATAGTCTCCAACATAATTGTGGACTTGTCTATTTTCCTTTCAGTTCCAATCAGTTTTTACTTCACATATTTTTTTAGCTCCTTAATTAGCTGCATACACAGTCAGGATTATATCTCTTGATCAGTTGACCTCTCTTCTTTATGTAAAACCCCTCTTTATCCCTGGCAACATTCTTTGTTCTGAAGTCTATTCCGACTTCTATAAACATGGCCACTCAAACTCACTCTAAATTGGTGTTTGTGTGGTACATTATCTTCCATCTTTATACTTTTACCCTATCTATGTTTTCATCTTCAAAGTGGATTTTTTTTGTCATAGTTTATTGCTGTGTCTTGCTTCTTTATCCAATTTGATAATCGCTGCTTTTAAATTGTTTTAAAATATTTAGAATGCTTAGGACTCTTGCATTTAACACAATTATTAATATTATTTATTTAAATCCACCATTTTGCTAGTTATTTTCTTTTTTCCCCACCTATTTTTGGTTCTGTCTTCCCTCTTCTTCTGACTATTTGGGGGAAGTTTTGGGTGTTCTTTGTTATTTCATTTTTGTCTCCACTACTGGCTTATTAGTTATGCTTCTTGTAAACTGTATTAAAGATTGCCTTGCTTTAAGAAGATTCAATAAATAGGAATCTAGATTTGCCAAAAGAGAAGTGGAAAGTTTGGGAAATGGATCTGCTAGGTGTTGCGCTCTAATCACCTTTAGCAACGCATTTGACGGGGTCCAATTTACACATAGAATTGACAGCCAGCTTTTCAGCATGATGGCTGCACATCCACACCAGTGAAGGGGCAGAGATAGAGCGAGGTTCCAGGGCTGGCCAAAGCCTAAGGAGTCAGGATCCCGCTCATGGCTGTCCTCACCAGCCCCGCTGCAGAGACTTCCCCATACTGCTGGCTGAGCTGAATTCAGGAGGAATAGCCTCGACTTGAGGGGTCTATTTTCTCCCTCCCTCTGCTGCTACTTTTCCTGAGAGTCCTGTGACCACACAGGGAAACACCTAATTGACTCCATGTTCCCCCAAAAGCACCAGGACATCCATCATTGCCCTCCTGAGGAAAAACAATGGGTTCTGCTTCATTACACACCAGAATCTTTAAGGATGAATCTCGACAGTTCTATCCATTTCCAAATGTCAGTTAGCTGAGCTCAGAGTTGCACAATAACATTAGCATTGTCTGACAAGCTGAGCACTCAAAAGGTGAATAACATTCTCAAAGACAAGGAAAAAGATCGTTTTCTAACTTCCAATTAATTAGCAAAGGCAGGTTATTTCTCCTTTGTTGCTAGGATCACTGAGCAGCCATGAAACTGTACAGAAGCAGTTAAAAATTAGCACCTTGACTTTAACAATGGGGGGTGCCATGGTTTGGATGTGTCCTCAAAAAAGCCTGTGCTGGAAACTTACGCCCCAGTGCCATAGCATTGCACAGTGAGGCCAGGCAAGAAGCGTTTAGGTCACAAGGGCTCCACTCTCGGGAACAGACTAATCCCAGTTATAAAAGGGCTTGAGGCTGCAAGTTTGATCTCTCTCTCTCTCTCTCTCTCTGCCTCTCCCTCTCTCTTTCTCTCTCTCTGCCTCCCTGCCTCTCCGTCCCTCTCTGTCTCTCTCTCTGCCTCTCTCTCTCTGTCTCTCTCTCTGTCTCTCTCTCTCTCTCTCTGCCTCCCTGCCTGTCTGTCTCTCTCTCTCTGCCTCTCTGCCTCTCTGTCTCTCTCTCTCTGCCTCTCTGTCCCTCTCTGTCTCTCTCTCTGCCTCTCTGTCTCTCTCTCTGTCTCTGTCTCACATGATCTTTTGCCCTTCTGCCTCTCATCATGGGATAAAGCAGCAAGAAGACCCTCACCAGACACAGGCCCCTCCACCTTGGACTTCCCCACCTGCAGACTATAAGAAATAATAGCCTGTTCTTTACAAATCACCCCATCTTGGGCATTCTGTTACAGCAGCAAAAAACAGACTAGGACAGAGTGTATGGAGCATAAATAATCCACTGGAACAAAGTCTCATTAAGGAGACAATCCATCACTCGGAAAATCTCAACAAATGACAAGACTTGTCCTCCAATGTTCCCTTTTTAACTAAACACTATTCTTCTGCCCAATATTCTGATAAAACTCCAGTCCCAAATCTCTCAGCAATGATCTCATCACACACATCTCTGAATCCAGCCCTCCACAGCCTTCTTACATGTTCTTCCAAGTTGGCTGGACTAAGAAAGTCCTCTTCCTGTTCCTTGGGTCTTAGCAGAAGCCTTGAAACAAGTCAGACTATTGCGCTCATAAATTAAAGTGAGAGCCCACGTTCATAACAGCTATTAGGGTTGGTCCACATGACCAGGCACTGATCCTGTGACAGACTCCGGGCCATTCAAGTGCTCTCTCTGAAATTTCACTTGAGGGCACAGCACCTGCTCTCCCAGCTACAGGACCTGAGACCCTGCTGCCTGGATTCTTAGAGCTTCCAGTCCTTCCCAAGCTTCATTTTCTGTCTCTATTTTGTCAGCCACATTGTTCTTCCAATAAGTTCTCCTCTTGCTTGCATTCAACCTTAGTTCCTTTTTTTTACATATATATAAAACAGCAGTTGTTGCCTGAAAAGAGGCGGCAGGTAACAGACCTTCAGGGGATGAGGAACACTTGAACTTGGCACCTGGCTGCGCTGGCAAGAGAACAAGGAAGCTCATTCCTGCTCTGGGCTGGCCATGTGGCAGCCTGTGGTGCCAGATACCAGAATTGCTAATCAAGTTATCTTCAGTGCTCCCCTGAGGCCAAGTGCTCACTGGGGACAGGTGCCTGGCTTTGGAGACAGACAGCTGCTATGAAGGGAACATATGATGTTGGAAAGAGGGCTAGCTGCTTCTGGGAGCACTGGCCAGCTTGAAGCAAGATCAGCTCATATCCCCCAGTGCTCACCTGAAGGAATGAGCTGAGACCCAGAGCCCTCCCATGACCTGCTGAGAGAATCTCTTATCTCCACTATCCACCGGGCTGAGACCAGCCAAAATTAAATTCAGAGCTTGTTCCGGTTGCTGAATCCTAACAGCTTTTAAGCTCACTATGTCACCAGGTTGGAAAAAAAACAGGACACTGACAATTGCAAAGAGGAAATTTGGAAAACCTGGGGGACCTGAACCTCTCCCACCACACTCCAAATTTGGGTCTTAACTTCAGTTTACATTGGGTTTCTTTGTTTGCTAGCTACATAAATCAACCTGGAAAACTCAAGCACTCAGGGAATTCATGGGAAGGATATGAACAAAGTTCATAGACTCAAACAAAAGGTCAAGGTGCCACGAATGACCACCATGACCAGAGAGACCTGGGGAATTGCAAAGCCGGCACAACTGTCTCCACAGGGTGAAGCATCTCCAGCCACTTTCAACTTTTTGTCATTTTGCTCAGGATTCAAAGTCTACAGAGGAAATGGTGTCTGATGGTTGTGCCTGGGTGGCATGCCTTCCCCTGGGAGAGGAAAGCTCGGGCACCTTCCCCAGGTCCCATCAGAGTCTGTCACTGGAGATGATCAGATGACATCCCCAGAGGAAAGTAGAGTGGACATCACACAAGGGACAAGCAATCGAACATCCCCACCCTAACGGAGAGCCTGGGCCTGGGGTCAAGGCCACTCTGCAGAATGAGGCTGCTCCCAGCTGCAGAGCTCTGGCCACATCGCACCAGTTTTGCCTTCTAGAGTAAAAAGGACAAGTTCGCACGGTAAGGGTGCTGAACAAAGCCCAAGGCCATGATCAGAATTAAATTGAAAAGGAAAAGTAGTTCCTTAATTTGCCAGTTGTTCTGGCTGCTGCTACGCACAAAGCCACTCGCAGGCCAGAAGTATGAGCTACACAGTTGGTGTCAAATCACTCCAGGGTGGCCGGCAAGGCAGTCAGTCCCACAGGTCAAGGCTGGGTAGCACTTGAGGTGATTGTACACGGAGCCCAAAGGGAGGCTGCAACATGGTTCCCCGGGACTGAGGGAGTTCCTGGAGCCAATGACTTTCAGTATTAAAACCAGGATAGGCTCTCGGTATGCAGAACCGTCCATTCTAAAATCAGGAAAGTTCTGGGCAAACGTGGGGCCACATTACCTGTTCACTCTAACCCAAGGGCACAGCTAAGACTTCAGTGTCTAACTTCAGCATTATCACGGCTCCTCTGTAACCCAGGGTTCCCAGGAAGCCCCTGCTGACCCATTCCCTGTGCTCTGGAACAGACTTGGCCTTGGAAAACTACAGGAATCAAAATGTAATTTAAGACATTTAATGTACAAGGCATTAAAAGACCAGCAAATTCCTTGAAATTCCTAAGCTCACACCATACCTTTATAGGCAGAATCTGACATGGTGCCATGGGGCTGCTAGCGTGTTATCCTGGTTTTCTACTAACAAAGTTTGTCTGCTTTCTAGGTCACTCAGTACCTGGAAGGCAGGCAGTGGGCAGCCGTACACTTAGAACCCCCCAAGTACTGGGCAAATGACTGTTATTTACCATTCAGCAGAATAGCAGGGATTCATTTTACACTCCAAAAAATGATAATAATAATAATTACAGTTTCATCAACATTCGCATTTAGGTACGAAATATTATGGCACCAATGTCTAATTAACATAGTAATTGACATGTTAATATATTTCCTTCTTCATTTCAAATCCATAATCTACACTAATTGCTTTTAATGTACTCATTTTGGATGGATGCTGATATTTGAGAGTGAACACTACAACTTACCCCTTTAACCAAAAACCAATGGCAGCAAAACTCTCCCTAATGCAATTATACTTCTTGTCTATGTTGTTGCCAGCCAGCGGTACCAAGGAGACAAAGGTGTATTCATTTGCAAATTACCTGAAGAAAACTGGGTGATTAGGACTAGGAATTAACATTTCTCTCCCACACTGTAGCTTCACAGCTACCCCAGAGAGAGCAGTGGGCGAAGCTCCATCAGTACTGAGAAAAGCAACTCAGGATGCCAAGTGTGGGCGTCATTCTGACATGGCGGTGTTCTTCCCTGTGTCAACAGCAAACAAAGGGGCCGAAGCCCAGAATCTTCCTGATTGGCTTCATGAACCTGGGACTTGGGGCAGCTGTTTAGTTAATGGGATGGACTCTCTCCAATCCAGGTCCCACATAATGAGACAGAGCAGGGACCCCTCTTAGGGGCCTATTGGCCCCTCCAAGCATGACAATAAAGAAAAATCTTGAGTTCCTTCAAGGAAATTCCAGGTACTTAGCTAGCCCTGAGAAGTAAATGAGCAGCATGATGTGCAAGAAGATAATAGTAGCTTAAAACAATATCCAAGGAAGTTAGAGCCATATAATGCATGGTTCTCTTTAGAAACTAAAGATAACACATAGGTCCCTGAGTTGTTTTTCAGAAACCCGGACCCATACCAAATTAAAAATGCTACAGGCATGTGGACCTTGGGTAAGGAAGAACTGGGGACTGAACTCTGATCGCAGTTCTTTGTTCTTAATTTCTCCCTGACGGGCCTGGAAACAGTCATGCCCACAGCCCAGACCTTAATGTTCTTTTCTGCTGACCCCAAGTTTTTAGACAAAGCTTTGCTTCCTTAACCAATTGCAAATCAGAGAATCTTTGAATCCACCTATGACCTGTAAGACCCCACTTTAAGATATCCCACCTTGGGCAGATTGCTTGAGTCAGGAGTTCAAGACCAGCCTGGACAACAGGGTGAGACCCCTTCACTACAAAAAATGCAAAAAAATTAGTCAGGCATAATGGTACATTCCTGTAGTCCCAGCTACTCAGGAGGCTGACATGGGAGGATCCCTTGAACCCAGGAGGTAGAGGTTGCAGAGAGCTGAGATTGCACCACTGCACTCCCACCTGGACAACAGAGCCAGACTCTGCCAAAAAAAAAAAAATATATATATATATATATATACACACACACACACACACACACACACACACACACACACATATATATGTGTATATATATGTGTGTATATATATACACATACATATATATATATATCTCACCTTTTTGGGCCAAACCAATGTATAATCTCCATGTATTGATTTACAATTTTGCCCTTAATGTCTGTTTTCCTTACATTTACCTCTGCCTTTAAAAACTCTTCCTGGTAAGCCATCAGGGAGTTGGGTCTTAAGTGTGAGCTGCCTGATTCTCCTTGCTTGGTGCCGGCAAATAAAAGCCCTGCTTTCTCTCGCCACAAACCTTGGTGTGGATCTTTGGCTTTCCTGTGCCAAGTGAGCAGATCCAGGTTTGGTCTGGTAAGAAGAACATTCCTTGTCATGGCAGAGGCTCAGACTCAGCATCTGCAGACCCCCAGGCCCTGCTGCTCAGCCACTGCATACCTGCACCCATCCTCACTGCTCCCCGTCTTTTCCACTGCCCCTGCCATGGCCAATCTTGGTGTCTCAGGGCCCCTCGCCTGCTCAGTGCACAGTGAAAGGAAGGCCACTGCAGACCAGGACGCAGGGCAGCCAAGGGAGGCTTCCGTCTCCTTCAACCTGAACAGCCTCAGTGGAAACGCGTCTGGAAAGAGTCATTGTCCTGCACCAAGGTATGCGGCCTCCATGACCTCCATGATCAGCTGAACTGTTTGTGTGAATAATGTCGGCCTGACCACCTCTGTGAGCTGATCCTGCCCACAGCACAGGGATGAAGGGCCCAGCAGAGGAGAAAGCATTGTCTAGGGAAGTCCTGGGCTCCAACCCTGGCCGCTGACCACTGCCTCTGGGCTAGTTCCTGTCCCTCTCTGAGGCTTGATTTACTCATCTGAAAAGGAGGAGTGTGGAACAAAAGCCCTCTAACATCCCTTCCAATTCCAGCATTGGATCAAATGTCAACTAACCTGTGCATTCTTCCCTGCAGCCCAGGGCCAGTGGCACCAGGTGAAGTTACCCCTCCCTCAGTAAGCTTTGAGCACACGCCTTTAACAAAAAAACCAAGCTCTGTAAAATATTTTATAGAGGTTTATTCTAAGATAATGAGTGACCATGGTCCAGGGAATGCAGCCTCAAGAGGCCCTGAGAAAGTGCACCCAGGCAGTCAGATTACATATTTTGTAATTTTAGGTTTTATACATTTTAGGGAGGCAGAAGTTTCAGGCAAAGACCTAAATCAATATGATACAGACAGGAGACAGGGAAATATTGGGTAGAAGAGGGCGGCTCCCCAGCGAAGGCCCCACCCTCAAGGCTGAAGACCCGCAGCCCTAAGTGAAGACAGGCATTACTGTTTCACACCCAAAAAGTTGTCTTTTGGCCCACCACAGCCCCCCATTCTGCACCCATATAAACCCAAGACCTTAGTGGTCACACGCACAAGCGGCTGAAGGTCAGAACCAGCAGACCAGCGACAATAGAACAACACAACAGAGAAAGAGAGAAGAGGAGGGGCATCTGGATGCCAAGGGGAGTTCAGCCGGGGGCAGTCAGAGAAGAGTCCAGCCACAGGGTGGCCTGACTCCAGGGGAAGACCACCTTCCCACTCCATCCCCACCTTCCCACCCCATCCATCTAGCTGAGAGTCACCTCCACCACTCAATAAAATCTTGCACTCATCCTTCAAGCCCACGTGTGATCCGATTCTTCTCATACACTGGGCAAGGACTCAGGATACAGAAGGCTGTGACACTGGCCCCCTGCCCTCACGATAAGGCACAGAGTCTATTGAGCTGATTAACACAAGCGTCCTGCAGAGGACGAAGCTGAAAGAGCACACTGTAACACATGCCCACTTGGGCTTTGGGAGTCACAGACACCCACCCCTAAATGAGGCTATGGGGCTGGAGCCCAAAAGTGCTCCCCACGGCCTCTGCACCTGCCCATCTACATGCTCCCCCTATGGGTTTGAGCAGCAGGGGCCACCAAAGGAGCAAGCCCACCCCTGTCGCACATCCTGCAAGGCGGATAAAGGAACTCTCCTGTTTCAAATACATGGAAAGTATACATTGGTTCAGTCCAGAAAGGTGGGATATCTTGAAGTGGAGGCCTACCAGTTATAGGTGGATTCAGAGATTCTTTATCTGCCACTGGTTGTATTAGTTCGTTTTCAAGCTGCTGATAAAGACATACCTGAAACTGGGAACAAAAAGAGGTTTAATTGGACTTACAGTTCCACATGGCTAGGGAGGCCTCTGAATCATTGTGGGAGGCGAAAGACACTTCTTTTCTTTTCTTTTCTTTTCTTTCTTTTTTTTTTTTTTTTGAGATAGAGTCTCATTCTGTCACACAGGCTGGAGTGCAGTGGCGCAATCTTGGCTCACTGCAACCTCCGCCTCCCGAGTTCAAGGGATTCTTCTGCCTCAGCCTCTGGAGTAGCTGGTACTACAGGTGCCTGTCAACACGCCCAGTTAATTTTTGTATTTTTAGTAGAGATGGGGTTTTACCATGTTGGCCAGGATGGTCTCGATCTCTTGACCTCATGATCCACCCGCCTCAGCCTCCTAAAGTGCTGGGATTACAGGCGTGAGCCGCCGTGCCCGGCCTTGAAACACATTTCTTACGTGGCAGCAGCAAGAGAAAAATTAGGAAGAAGCAAAAGCAGAAACCCCTGATAAACCCTCAGATCTTGTGAGACTTATTCACTATCACAAGTATAGCACGGGAAAAACCGGCCCCCATGATTCAGTTACCTCCCCTTGGGTCCCTCCCACAACACGTAGGAATTCTGGGAGATACAACTCATGTTGAGATTTGGGTGGGGGCACAGCCAAACCATATCACCGGTTAAAGAAATAAAGCTTTGTCTAAAAATTTGGAGTCTGCAGAGAGGATTGTTTTAAGTTAAGATAAGGAATTCTCTGTAAAAAGTAAAGTAGAGGTTCCTCTTCAAAGACAGTCCTCCCCATCTAATTAGGAATAAATAGTAACTTCTCTTAGAAGCAAAATTTAGTCAAAGACCCGTGCAAACATTCTTAAATATCTGCTAGCCACGATAAAGAAATCAATGTACTTTATGTTCTTAGCTCCCACAATTTAGCCTAAATATTTGCCCTGGCATGCTTACACTGGTCCAAGCAAGCATTAGGTCATAGCCTGTTCCTCTTCCTTATTTGAAGGCGTTTTTACCTTTCTCAGCATTCCACAAGTTACTTCCTCCTTCCTTTGTTCTCCTCTGCCTTTGCCTCTTTTTAGAAGTTCTAAGTTGCTAGCCAATTGGGACAAATACAGAATGTGAGTTCCCATTCCAGCCAATGGAAACCAGACACAGCAGTAGGGTGGACGTGTCAGGTTATAAATGACCCTGTCTCCTTTGTTCGGTGTACTCTCATGGCAAAACTGCTGGCGAGTGTACTCTTTCTGCAGGAAGTAAAAATTGCCTTGCTGAGTACATTAAATTTATGTTCAAGTGCTACTTCTTTACAGCACTGGGGAACAACCATTTCAAACATCTCTTAACCAAAACACTGCATCAGAGTGACCCACAGGGGTGTGTGACTTAACCCCTGCCTGGCACAGCCTTGGATCTTGTTAGTAATTTGGTGTCTCATTGTCATGAAGAGTGTGTTTTGTCAGCCTTATAATGTCTATTTTAACATTAATGTTGGCCCATTGTGGCTAGACTCCAAAAGGGAGGGAGTATAATAAGGCTTTTCCGACCTCTCTTCCCCTCATGGCCAAGAACTCAGATTTTCAGGTTTCTCTGAGGTCCCCTTGGCCAAGAGTGGGGGTCTGTTCAGTTGGTTGGGAGGCCCACATTTTTATGATGCCCATAAAGAGATGTGCCTTAATTGACCCATGCTGGCAAGTGTTTCCTGCATTCCAAGAGCAGAGCCTGTGCCGCATTCCCTCTGTATCCAAGGGCTGCACAGCACAGACTGGCTAGGAGGAGGCAGCCATCATCGGCCTCATGGTGGAGAGGAGATCCACTGGCGGTTTCCGCTGATTCTCCAAGGCTCCCACACCATTGGATGTTTTATTAGTCTTAAACACCAAACGCTATGCTAATGAAACATCAGCATTCCAAATCTAACCTCTGATGTTAGGAAGATGCATTTCATTTTTCAATTAAAACCTGATTTCCAGTGTTCAGCCCCGTGCTGCATTAGCATCACCTCTTTAATTAATCTGGCATCTCTCAGCCAGAAGTTGCTAAATTGCCCAAGCAGAGATGGGAAAACTAAAGGGAAGCCTGCTCCCAGCCCAAGGTGAGCAGGTCTCTCAAGCCCGGAAGATATTTGGCTATTTGAATAAGAAACAATTTATCTGACAACACTTAGCTTAAATAGCAATTAGTCAAGAAGGGAAGACAAAGCCATTTAGAAGGGGCCGGTTGGCAGGCCCCAGGCCAAGCGCAGGGGAAGATCTTCAGAAACCAGCTACTTTGCACTTAAGCAGGAAGCTTTAATTAGTTCCTGGGAGAACCCGACCTCCCCTGTTTGCTGTTTGCATTTCAGGAAGCTTTTATAAAAGCTTCTTATTTGCTCTCCTAGGGGTTTTGTTTTTGCTTTTGTTTTCATTCCTTTTGTTCTTTAGAACAACAGTTCTTCAAGGCCTAAGTCAAAGGAGACTTCTCTGGCTCCCTGCAAGCCAGGACCTAAGGCCCTCAGTGGTGGGCCTGGGCTTCAACTGGAGCATCTTGGCTTGACCCCCTGTCTCCCCGGTCCTGGAGAGATCTGGACAGGAGCCTAAGATGACCGCAGACCAAAGAGCCTCCATCTAGAACAGGGCCCTCGTAGCTGCACCCCACACCCTACCACTCCTCCAAATGGAAGGCCATGCTGTTACTCACTCTCAACTTGTTTAAAAAAAATAAAGCTTTGTCTCAGCAAGGCAGCCAGATCACCCCTTATGAGGAAACTAGAGTGCCCCAAGCAGTGCAAGTCTGTAAGGAGCCCTCAGGCTCTCCCTTGAAAGGTATCCGAGCCTGCGGTGGCTAGGGGTATCCATGGCTGGCTCGCTGATTAGGACTCAATCGTTTGGTTCAGGGTTTACACTGTTACAGAGGAAAGCCAGGGGCTGACCTTGTGTGGGGGGATCTTGAGTGGGACCCAAGGACACTCACCCTGCCACTCACTCTCAGGGGGCTCAAGGTGGCACCACTGCCCCAGAGACACCTCTCTGGGAAAGCCAGAAAAAATGTGCTCAGTCCAGGCCACCAGGGTGGCATCTGCTGAGCCCTCCTAAATGCAGGGCAGCTCCCCGCCATGGAACAAGGCGTTATTGATGATGGGTATCCGAGTTACCAATGGCAGATCCATACAGGTCTGCAGCAACAATTCTTGTCCTCAGAAGAAAGAATTCCACTGAGGGGCATAAGGCAGAAGAAGAGACCAAGGCAAACTTTAGAGCAGGAGTGAACATTTGTTGAAAAGCTTTAGGGCAGGAAAGAAAAGAAAGTAAAATATACTTGGAAGAGGGCCAGGCAGTCATCTTGGAGGACAAGTGCCCTGTTTGACCTTGGACTTTGGGTTTTCTACGTTGGCCTACTTCTGGCATCTTGTGTCCTTTTTCCCTTGATTCGTCCCTTGGGGTGAGCTGTCTACCTGCACAGTGGCCTGCTAGCACTTGGGAGGGGAGCATGCACGGTGTTTACTGGAATTGTGAGCATGCTCACCTGAGGCCTTCTTCCCTTTGCTGGTGGAATGTTGCTGGCTCTGACCCGCAGACCCTGGCTGAACAACAGATGAAAAAATGCGCTCGGACACAGGTATGCAGTGAAAGAGCGGGCTAGGGGACTGGGCTGCTCATAGAATGAGTTGTAGCAGCCACAGCCCTGACAAGCCAGTGCTGCGGGCATTTATTCAGTGCAGATTTAATGACAAAGGCTTTGAGTCAACACACTGGTGGGTAATTAACATGGTCACCACCACCCCCACCCCCTGGAGAGGACAGTCCTGCGTGGATGATTAAAGGCCAGGTTCTGAGGCCTAAGTAAACTAACTTATCTAGATCATTTTCTTACATCCCCTTGTTACCTAACCGTTGCTTTCAGGCTCCAGATAAGAGAATCTGGCTGCCTTCACCAAATTATCTTTCAAAGCTTTTGCAAAACCTCCTGGCCTTCCAAGAAGGTTTGCATCTTTTTTCTATAATTTCTCTCACCACCCTCGCCAGTCTCCTACAGAATATCCTCAGGTCATATGCCAGTTAAACTCTGCCATTTTGCCTCTCAATGTGCACGCTTGAGCTCACTCACCCAACTCCTGAGATCTTACTGGGAAGCTGCTGATCACCTGTTTCAGGCATTTCTATCTTTTGGGAGACTGCCTTTCCCTGGCACTGGCTGTGACCTATTACTGTTTTAGAGAGACAGTTAACAACCACCTAACCATCACCTGATGGTCACCTGACATTCCTGGTTGAGGGGCCCTCTCCTTCCCTGCTCATGTCTGCCTGACTACCTACTGTAACAAAGGGTGAACTAATGTCCTTGGAGACCTGAGTGCAACCAGCATCGGCACCAGCATCGGCAAGCTTTGGACACCATGGGAGTGGAGAGGAATGGGAACCTGTCACTCCTGCTTCCGCTGGCCCAGTGGTTTTCCACCTGGCTCCACATTAGAATCACCTGGGGAGCTCTTCAGACTCCAGATGTGGGGTCCCTCCTCAGAGGTTCTGATCTATTTGGTCCACTATACCGGGCTGCAAAGTTCAGCAAAGACCCTGTGCCCACCCCAGGTGCCCAGGACCACAGCAATGCTGAGAACAGAGCAAGCCCACAGAATCCCTTCACACCTACAGAGAGGAGAGCAGATCCTATTGATTTGCTCCCACAACAACATATGACATGAGCCAATGCTAGACAGAAATGGTTAGAGCTGGTGTTGGATTCCCCATGTTCCCTCCCTGCATCATGGCAAAACCTGAACTCTCGTGTTGAGACTACAACGTCCAAGGACAACGGAGCCTTGGTCATCCTGATTCCTTGGGTGACAACAGAGGAAAGAGCCCCCTCCTGGCCTGCATGACACGAGAAGCGTGAACGGTAAACAAAGATGCATTCACTGTTTTCACCCACTGAGAATCCAAGGCCATTTGTTACCTCAGCATCACCTTGCCTGTCCTGACTTTTACAAGCCTGGCTACACAGATGTACTTGGGAACAGCCTCCCCCAAAGAGAGCTGGCCAGTCATTATTAAAACAATCTCAGCATTTCTGAGAAGTCTTGCTTGCCAATGGTTACAAATTGTCCCTGACTTCAACTATATCAAGCACTAGCAAAGGTAATCTCTTCCAGACTTCCAGGAGCTGCTGGCTTCAGGTCCTCTCTTGAATTTTCCACCCATGCCACTTCCAGATGTGAATTTCAGCCTGATTATTGGGGGCCTGGCCCCCCGACATGCTGAAGACGGATCACAGAGCATCAGGCCGTGTGTCTGACATCACTGTTCCACAATCAACAGAGAACACATTTATAAACATTAAATTGCCCCAGACTAAAGCATTTCTTGCCAAAGAGATACAGCATAATTAAACTGCAAATGATAGCAAAAACTAATTGTTACTGTCTTGTGAGGTGTTAGCTAAAAGCTTTCCCTCGTGTAGCTCACTTTTCTGGATGAAACTGACCTAAGTGCATTCATTAGTGGACATTTGGGGTTTTTTTAGTGGAGTAGACATAACAAACACTGCTTTGGATTAGCAGTTAACACAAAATAGAAGCCTTTTTGAATGTGGTGTTTATAGGTTCACTTTTTATTTATCTAGTCATGGAATGACTATTAAGTGCTCACTATGTGCCGGGCACATAGAAAACATGATCACAACCAGAGGCTGAATTTGAGCGGTGACAGTAAAACAGCGGCCAGAGGTGCAGTGGAACCTGCTCTGAGGCAGGAGTACTGGGCTTCAGTCCTGGTGCTCAGCCTTGGGATGCCCTGGCGAGTCCGTCTACCCAGAGCCGCCATTGCCTCCTCTGTACCCGAGAAGTATGCAGGTCTGGTGACACCCAAGTTCCCTTTTATTCATTCATTCATCACACAGTGCTGGGGAGCTCTGACTGTGCCAGGAGCAGCTCTAGGCTCTCCAGGTGTCGTTTACACACAAGAGACAGAATCAGTGTCCTCGGGGATCCTGCCTGCGACACAGGAATGGACAACATCAAGATAACTGAGTAGCAGAGGCAGCACATGAGGTTGTGGTGCATGCAAAGGAAAGCAAATGAAGCAGGCACAGGGAACGTGGAGGGGCACAGGGAGGGAGGGGCATCAGGTGTGTAGGTTGGCGGGTGGCAGCTCCCTCTTGAACTCCTCACTTGAGCCTTGGCTCCACCCTACCCCATGGTGTTTTACCCAGTGCCCACTTCTCCATCCTCCTCTCCAGAACCTATGCAGAGCCCTCAGCACAGTTCATCATTCCTTCATCCCAGAAATGCCTTCCTTCTTTGGCTCCAGGACAGCACTCCCTCCCGGTTCCCTCCTCCATTTCTGGACGCTTCTTGAAAGTGTCTTGCTAGGCCCCCCTCCCCTCCATGAGCCCTGCAGGCTGCAGGTCCACAGGGCTCTGCCTCAGACCACTCCTCCCTCGCTCCACTCACTAGGTGGTCTCGCCCAGGCTCTGACAGTTCCCACTCATAGCTCCAGCCAGGATTTTCCCCTGAACTCCAGACCCACAGAGCCTATGGGGTCTGTGACATATGTGTATTAAGCATGTCCTTTCTGATGTTTGATACCCAGGGCCTTGCTGACACCGGAAGGACAGCCCCTCCCAGGGCTGGCAAGGTCCTAGAGACAGGAAACTACTGGGGGCTTTCTTACAGGAACAGCCACTCCAGAGTCCACACCCCGACCACCTCCTCCATCAGGCTCTCATATGCAAACAGCCACTCCAGAGTCCACACCCCGACCACCTCCTCCATCAGGCTCTCATATGCAAACAACCACTCCAGACTCAATACCCTGACCACCTCCTCCATCAGGCTGTCACTCCCAGGGCCACTCTCACCTGCCCTACCCAACTCAGGGCCAGGTACCAGACAACCTGGGAAGTCCCTGTGCACCAGGGCCCACTGAAATTATTCACCCTGGCCAGTCCTAAGCCAGCTCACCGTGCCTCACCCATTCCTTCCCATGGAAGCCACGGTAAAGGGCCCTGCGTCTGTTTTCCCCTCACTCCCTCTGCCTCTGGAGCAGCCCTAGGTGCTTCCCGTAAGACATCTTGCAGCCTGGTGAGCCCCCTCCTTCCCTTGGGAACTGTGAGCAACAAACTGTCTTCCCAATGGCAGAGGTGCCTTCTGACCTCTTGGCTTCACCATACCAAAATAATAATAAAGCCTACATTTTAAAACCATCTGTACTGCATGTCAGGTCGACACCTTTATCAGTTATGTGCTGCTTTATATCAGTTAAGTACTGCTGTTAGCATCTCTAGATGCTAATATCCCAAATGCCTGCACCAAATTATCAATTATCAATGGCTAAAAAGGGTCAACTGAATCTCAGGGTCCAAGTTTTAAATGTCTTCTTTCAAATGTCATGCCAAATCTTAATGAAGTAAATAAGCCAATTTGCTATGATCCTGTGAGTCAGTAATTTGAGCTGGACTCAGCTGAGTGGTTCTTCTGTTGGGGTCATTCATGTAGAGGCCATCACCCAGAAGCTCAACTGAGGTTGGATAAAGTAAGATGGCCTCAGTCTCCTGTGCACTTGGTCTTGGCTGTTGGCTGATGGATCTAGGGGACTCAGGACAGTTTTACTCTGCTTCACATGGCCTCTGATCCTCCCATGGGTAGACCAGGCTTCCTCATAGTGGTCTTAGGGCAGTTTCTCAAGACAGTGAGAGCAGGAGCTGCAAAGTCTTTTGAGACTAAAGCTCAGAAGCCACACAACATCACTCCTGCATTTTATCAGCCAAAGCTATTTGCAAGGCCAGCCAGACTCAAGGGTTGGGGAATTAGACTCCACTTCTTGATGAAAAAAGCAGCAAAGCCCCATGGCATGAACATGGGGAAAGGAAGCTTTGTTGTAGCCACAGCATCCTGAGCATGTCCAACATGTCCTGACTTGCCCCAAACCGAGCTCTGGCATTCGCCCCAGCCAGCTCCTCCTACGGCCTTCTTCTCACCCCTGGTAGCCCCATTCTTTCCATCGTTCAGGCCAAAAGCTTCAGTGGCACTCCTGACCTCTCTTCCACTCACAGCTCACTTCACTCTATAAGCAAACCCTGTAGGTTTCACCTTCAAACTCAACCAATAATGGAAACGTATCTCACTATCACCATTCCACCACCCCCTTGGTCCAAGCCACCAATCTCCCCCACCAGGATGACTCTAGAGGTTCCCCTTCCAGAGTAAATGTCCTCTCTTCAGTGGTGATGCTGCTGACAGAACCTAAGGGGTCTCCCATGGATGGCTTTGCATCTCATGTGACTCACTGCACCCATACCATCCTCAGGGGTTTCAAGCAATCCATCTCTAGATGCTAACACCTCAAATGCCTGCACCAAATTATCAATTATGAATGGCTAGAAATGGTCAACTAAATCTCAAGATCTAAGTTTTAAATGTCTTCTTTCAAGTTTGTGATTCCCAAAATGGTTTGATATTTTGCTCTCATCAGTTAAAAAATAAATGAGCACATTCTCCTAATGTATGTACACTTATTTATTAATTATAAATTATAAATATAAATGACCAAATTAATAAATAACGTACGTGCCAGATCTCACTAACGAACCCCTGCAGGCCTATATTCCCAGCTCTTCTCTTTGGTTCAGTGCCTGTTCAGCATGGACCGTATCAATAGCCCCCTTGCCTTCTGGCTTCTACTGGGCATAGCCCATGGGTAGCCCTGGCAGATGACCGAGGAAAGACTATGAGGCCAGGATGCTTACTTCCCATCTCCTCCTATGGGGATGCCTTGGCCTGGGTGCATTCTCCATCTGACCCCAGCTCCTCTCTGCATAGCCCTGGAGTGCTGCTGCCTATGCCCATGGTTTCCCTGCAACCTGACATATCTTCTAAAGAAAGGATTCCTTTGCAGCAAGGTCCCCACAGGAAGCAGGTGGCACACACAACTAGAATAATTCAATAAGAGTTTGACAAATTTGCTATCTATAAAGGTGTGGGCAGGGGTGGGAGAGCCACAGGGATGTCACAGTGACTCGGGCTGCTCTAGGTCAGTCACTGCCCCTGAACCTCTGGGGAAGACCGGCAGGCCTGGGGAGAAACAGGGGCCTCAGGTGGAGCGAATCAGCCCTCACCCCAGCAGTCTCACCTGTGGTGGGGAGAGGAGCCAGCGGGTAACTGCCAAGCCCTCCTGCTCCTCCCTCTTCCCAAATGCAGACCATAGTTCCACATTGTCAATCCCAGTGGGAAGCTCCCGAGGTGAGACAGGGATAGGGAATGGAGGAGGTGGGGCAGGGATGTAGCTCCCGTAGGCATAGGTCTGGGTATAAGTGGAAAATGCACCTGAAGACAAGGACAGTCAGCTCAGCACAATTTCTATGCAGTGCTCCTGGGACTATCCGAATGCCGCAGGCACCTCCTCTTTCCTGCCAGGACTCTGGCTGATAAAATATATTTTATGAATGTACAAGAAAGTATTGTGTCATTTCTTTAGATTAAAAATAAGTAGCCACCGATGTTCTGGTGTTTTCCATGTGCACACCGCCTGGGAGACCCCTTCAAGGAGTGCCTGCCAGGGTTGCAGCTCTTCTGAATCAGGAACAGGGAAGACAGGTGAGGAGTTGAGTCCAGCTACCACCTGCTACCTGGAGGGCAGCCACCGGCCCAGCCACCAGGGTGCCTGTCCTGACAGGATTCTCTGCAGGTGGCTGAAAGGCCTGGAGCTTATCTGCCAAGTCACCTGGCCCTCCGGTCAAACAAATCTCTCCAGGGGAGAGAGTGCACAGCACAGTTCTGGTGACCCGACCAGAGCTGGTCAGCCTCACGTACAGTGAAGGTGCCTCAGAGATAATTCAGGAGTCAGGCTCCCAGCCTCATCAGCGTCCACTGACCTTGGGCATCTGCCTGGGAAGAGAGATCTTCCCTGTGGTTGGTACACAGCCAGCCAGGGAGGCAGCAGGCACAGAGGAAGGATAAAGGTCTCTCATGAGGGTGACAGGAACCCACCCTCCAACCTGAAGGGAAGCAGCCAGAGCCTGCGCTGTCACCTGATGGGTGTCTGCTCCCACCCCAGGCGCGGTGGCTCACGCCTGTAATCCTAGCACTTTGGGAGGCCAAGGTGGGTGGATCACCAGGTCAGGAGTTCAAGACCAGCCTGGCCAATATGGTGAAACCCCATCTCTACTAAAAATACAAACATTACCCGGGCATGATGGCGAACCCCTGTAGTCCCAGCTACTCAGGAGGCTGAGGCAGAAGAATCACTTGAACCCGGAAGGTGGAGGTTGCAGTGAGCCAAGATCACACTACTGCACTCCAGCCAGACTCTGTCTCAAAAAAAAAAAAAAAAAAGTGGGGAAGATTCCCGTGTACAGATGCCTACAGGCTGGGTTGAAAACAACAGAATCTATTCTCTCACAGTCTGGAGACTAAAAGTTTGAAATCAAGATTTCTGCGAGCCACGCACCCTCTGAAGGCATTGAAGGGAGGCTCCTTCCTTCTCTCTCAGTGTCTGGTGGTACCAGCCAGCACTCCTTGGCTTGTGGCAGCATCACTCCAACCTCTGCCTCCGTCCTCCCTCCTCTTCCCTCTGTGTCTGTGCCTCCACATGGCCTTCTCATCTCTGCCTGGGTCTCTTCTCATAAGGACATGAATCACCTTAGATTAAGGGTCCACCCTACTCCAATATGACCTCATATTAGCTTACATGTTAACTACATCTGCAAAGATCCTGTTTCCAAATAAGGTCACATTCACAGGTCATGGAGGCCAGGACTTCCACCTATCTTTTGAGGGGACACAAATTTAATCCACAATAGAAGGTTGCAGGGTGACAGTTGCCTCTTCTAAAACGAACATGAAGAATGCGGTTTGGGTGCCGCCAGCCACTGGGAGTGGTCTTTCACCTGTTCTCCTTCCTGTCCAGACCTCCACCCTGCACCCCTAGAGAAAGTCTGGGAAGCCAGGCAAACTCTCATCCTGAAGGAGCCAAATTTAAGAGAATCTTTTTTCTAACAATGTTTTCTATTTAAACAAGGTATTAGAGAAAAAGATTTGCCTAAAAGCCCTAAGAATCACTGTTAAAGCTTCAGAACAAAGCATTTAATTACTTTTGACACACTAATGGCAATTTTTATTTTTAAACAGCCTCTGCACTAATGTGATTTCTTCCTAAACTCCCTGTTAAAACTCTGCAAGAAGCATTTCTCTAAGGCAAACCATCAGAATCTGTGGCACCATCAGAATCTGTGACACCACCTGCAAAATTCCTTCACTAACTCTGCACACACGTGTGTAGGGAGCCACTTCAAATGCATGAAACCGGCAAATGACAAGTCACTTCCTCATCAAGGTCCAGTAAAGGAATACGCTAAAGATCTTCAGATCCTGACTTCTCTGAAATCTCCCAAATTTCTACTTTTTATGGAGAAATTGATAAATTCATCTCTGTGTTTTTATCCTACAAGTCAAAAGAAAATGAATGTGAGCTTTCTGAAGAGTTCAATTGAGTTTTGTATAAGGAGCATCAAAGTTCAATATCTTTATAGAAAAATGTCAACACCAATTTCCAGGAGAGGTAGGAGATATCAAAGTGTCAAAAAATATATATCTAAAAGTCCCCTGATAAAAAGAGACATGGTGTAGAGAAGAGGATCCAAATGATGAGAATATTGAATTGTCTTTGTTAAATATTCTCAGCAATTGTGTCAGAATGGATCCAAGGCCATCTTCCCACAGATATACCCTTGTTCCTAAGTTCCAGGCCCACACTCACTCAACTTTTTGGGGGAATTAACCACAGGCTTTCACCAACGTTGGAAGAAATCACAATACTCACAGACTCATAAAGCAGACCAGAAAAATCTTGCTAAGGTTATTTTTAGATATAAAAACATTTCACAGATATTTTTAAGTTGATGTGAATAATTTAAGATGCAGATATGATACAGGAGTCAAATAATTTGGTTTTAAAAATACAACTAAAAATATCTAAAGCAGTGATGCCAAATAAATCTGAAAACAAACACTGCAACAGAGCAAGAAGGCAGCTCAAGAGGAGAGGAATGAAAAGAGGTGACGTCTATCAGACAGCTAGCTGGTAACAGAGAATGAGAGGCCAATTAGGGAGAGTAATACTGAGCTTCTGATAAACTTGGAAATCAGACCATAGAAGTTAAAATAGCAATTAACGAAAACACCCAGGAAGCAAAGAAACTGTACCTGACAGGGCCCAGTGAATAATTTAGAAGCAAGCAGTTCTTTGCGATGTTGTTATATTGTAGAGATCAGTCACAGAAAGGCTCTCCTGCTGTCACATTTCAGCAAAATGAAACACTAGGAGATCATAAGAGAGGCTATGAGAGAGTGAAATCACTCATTGAGTGATGAAAGGCTAATATAAAACCTATTCATTCCGTTGTTTATCACATTTGACAAGAAATTGAACACCACAAAACTGAAATCATCACAAAATTAACACATTTCATTAGGTGAAAAAAAGCTTAAAGCTTCCGTAGAACAACTCCTCTGCCCATTTTCAATTTCTTCTGAGATCTTTGTAGAAATTACGTGAATAGAGAAGGAAAGAATTTTGAATTTCAATGAATTTCGAGATTCATGGGGATTTAAAATTTGCCAGTAAGTAGTCCTCTGCGACAGAAAATTAAGCTTCAGAGGCCAGCACAAGAAACAACAAACCATCCACACATCCAGCCCAGAGGAGGAAAGCGGTAATGAGATACTTAACCAAATTGCTTAGTTGCTGCCTGGAGGAGTCAAAAACTTTGCAAAGTAGAGGACATTGGGATAATGGGAAAAGGAGGGTCACCTCACATTTGCAAAAATCCTCATTGCCAAAGCCTCTGAGCAACTGTGCAGAGAAGTGAAAACAGATCTCATTCCAGGTCAGGAGAAAATAGTTTTTAATTGCCAGGGCATTAGACAATGGAATCTCACCAAAATACATCTCTTAAGACAAAACCTAACTTTCAACTTAAATTGACTTTTATGAACTGCATTAAGTATCATGGATGTGAGAAGTCCCACAGCCCACTAAGATGGAGCACCAGTTAAACTCAGAATGTCAGAATTCAGAAATCTGAATCATTAAAGTATTTTATGTAAAGTATCATCTCTAGGAAATACAGAGAGGCAGAGGGGCTACAAGTTTACAGGAATTTGCTCCTAAATTATATTTGTTTGGTCAGTCAACACTATTAGGACGAGAAAAACTGTATCCCAAACTTCTTGTGAAAGAAAAAAAAAAAAAAAAACAGAAGATTGCTAACTCCAGAAAGGTGCTTCATTTTTTTGGTTGGTTGGTTTGTTGGTTTGTTTGTTGATTGGTTGGTTGGCAGGTCAGTTGGTTGGTTGGTTGGTTGGTTGGTTGGTTGGAGGTTGGTTAGTTGGTTGGTAGTTGGTAGCTTGGTCATTGGTTGGTAGATTGGTTAGTAGACTAGTAGATTGGTTGGTTTGTTGGTAGGTTGATTGGTTGGTTTGTTGGCTGGTACATTGGTGGGTAGGTAGGTTGGCTGGTAGGTTGGTTGGTAGATTGGTTGGTTTGTTGGTAGGTTGGTTGGTTTGTTGGTAGTTTGGTTGGTTGGTTGGTTGATTGGTTGATTGGCTTGTTGATGGATTTGTTGGTTGGCAGATTGGTTGGTAGGTTGATAGGTTGGCTGGTTGGTTGGTAGACTGGTTGGTTTGTTGGTAGGTTGGCTGGTTGGTTGATTGGTTTGTTGGTTGGTAGATTGGTGGGTAGGTTGGTAGATTGGTGGGTAGGTTGGTACATTGGTTGGTTGATTGGTTTGTCAGTTGGTAGGTTGGTAGATTGGTTGGTTTGTTGGTTGGTAGATAGGCGGGTAGGTTGGTAGGTTGGTTGGTTGATACATTTGTGGGTTGGTAGGTTGGTTAGTTGATTGGTAGATCAATTAGTTGGTAGGTTGGTTGGTAGGTTGGTTTGTACGTTGGTTGGTTGGTTGGTTGGTTGGCTGGTAGTTTGGTTAGTTGGTTGGTAGATTGGTTGGTTGGTTGGTTGGCTGGTTGGTTGATTGGTTTGTTGGTTGATTTGTTGGTTGGTAGATTGGCTGGTAGGTTGGTTAGCTGGCTGGTAGATTGGTTGGTTGGTTGGCTGATAGGTTGGTTGGTTGGTTGGTTGTTGATAGGTTGGTTGGTAGGTAGGTTAGTTAGTTGGTTGGTAGAATGGTTGGCTAGTTGGTAGGTTGGTAGGTAGGTTGATTGGTAGGCTGATTAGTTTATTCCAATTGTCTCTGTGTGGTGAATAATCTGTGTTGACTCAATCTAGGTTTGTTTTCAGATCACTAGGTGTCTGGTAGGAGTGAGCCATCTCTTCCTCCCTCTCCCACAGGATGGCCATGCTTCTCTCTGATACCTGAACTTTTTGTCCCAGCATGCCAATTTTTCCTATTGTTGAGCTCAAATCAGAAGTTGCCTGACCTCCAGAGGACAAGATTCACCAGGTTTTATTTTTATTTCAAGATATCCTTGGGCAGAGAGAGGCAGAAGCAAGCAGCTCCTATATGGGTATGAGGGTAAACCCCCCATAGATTGAAGGATGGAGGATTTTGTAGGCCCTGTCTGGAACAAGGGCCAGAGCCCACTCCCAGCAGGACATGAGGGGAATCAATCACTCCTCTCATTCATGAAAAACTGCTGAGGACTCCTCTGCTTGTGACTAACAGAGTTGGAGGGGCAGTTTTACACTAAATACAAGGTCTGGAGAGGAGAGATTGGTTTCAGCAGAACTCCCTCCATTCCCTCAGGGTGTGGAGCAGTTCAAGCCCTGTGTGATAACAACTGTGTGACAGAGCCCAGGAGATCAGACAGACAGGGAAAGCTTTACAACCCAAGTTCCCCAAGGAGACATTTGAGCACTAAGTTGCCTTTGCAGCAACAGAAGGGAGAAGCAGGATCTGGTTTCCCAACCCAAACACCCTTGAGCAAATCCTGGACCCCTGGACTGCCTGGGGAAGGAATTCACTCAAACTCACTCCCATGCCACTGTAGGCTCCACTCTTCTCTACCCAAATCTGCATTATTCATAGATACACACCAAAGAAGAATTCTGCCTAGGAAACATTACTCAATGTTTTACTCTATTGGCAATTCCCAAAGTACATTCACATTTTAAAGGCTCTGAGAAGGCCTGCAGTCCACTGTAGCCTTTCCTTCACTTATTTCAGGTGGAATCTGTTTTAAAGCACAATATGAGAAAAAAATAAGAGGTCTTATGCCTCTCATGTGTCAAAAAAAATGAACCTTATTGAATTCACATCCCTAAGTATTTTAATTCAACAACAATAAAACAAACCTGGAGATAAGATATTCAATTTTGAAAATGAAAACAAGCTAATACCCTTTTGTTTCTATGGTTGTATTTCACAGGTCAGGCAGAAGTCTACCAGGCCACCTCCTGGAGCCCACCCTGGAGCCCAGAGCAGCTTTCCTGAGGTGGCAACCCAGATCCTTCTGGGAGTGTCTACAGTGTTTCCAGTTGACCAGCACTGTACAGCTACTTGGATCCTTTTCTGAAATTTCATGAAGGTCATGTCTCAATTACCATTATTCATAACAGAAGCACAATGGCGTGCTTTCCTTTCAAAATCAATCAAGTTGTATGTGCAACTGGGCAGCTCCTTCTGTGTTTGGACTTCCGCCTCGGTTTTGCAAAAGCAGGTGGCCCTTTCTTGAAAATGAGGAGCATGACTCCTCCTGCTGAAATGACTACACCTCCCCCACACCCTTGTGTGGGCCAGGCAGTGGCCTCTGATGCTGTGGCAGGGTGGCTGTGGCATCCCGTCCTCCAGTGCAACCCGTGCCTCAGGACGCCCTGCACACTGACAGTCAAGGTGTGCACAGCACAGCACCCAGCGGGTTTCACTGACAGGGGATGGGAGCCGCAGCCCCCAACCCTCAGAGTTCACAGCAACAGAAGCAAGATGACAGCCAGATAATCCACAATGCCAGGGGCTTTTGAGAGTAATGAGTCCTTTCTGTCTTTGGATGGGTGACACTGGTGGCTCACTTCACAGGACAGAGAAGTAAGTGCCTACGTCTTTCATTTGGGAAGGTTTAGCGCCCATCGGTGTAGGAGGCAAAGCAGGCTTGTGAGACGTGTTCCATGGCCACTAAGAAAGGTGGATGTTGGCTTGGGGTCGGTTGCACAGAACGATGACAAGCTGGGCCTCTCTCCCACAGGCCACCTGAGAGCATGGGAAAGGCCCCACAGCAGAGAGGGCTTCAGAACGAGAAACCCCAGCATCCAAGGAGAATGTGATACAGGACTCTGTGGCCACGGGATTCCAGATGATGGCAGGGGCTGAGGGAGGAGGGTGCATCCCCGGGGCTGGAAGGTTAAGGGCCCTCTGAAGCAGAAGCCCCTGGGTCTATGGAGTGATCCAGAGCCATGCTGCTCTCTTCTGCTCCTGTTCCCCAGAAACCTGGGTACCTCAAGACCTCATGTATTTCCCACAGAGAAATACATGTCTCCTGCACCCCCACCCCTGAGAGCAAGGCTGATGCAATTCCAGGGCCCAGAGCTGGACTGGGAAACTGAGGGTGCTAAAGGTACAAGGTTTGGGCCCCTGAGCACGTGGACCCCAAAAATACATTAGCTTCAGGACGAGCTACATACTTTGCAGATCCCAGTACAAAAAGGAAATGAAACCTCCTTGTTCAAAATTATTACAAATTTCAAGATGGTAACACATAGCATTAAATCAAGTGCCAGGACCCTTCTGCATTTGGGACCTGTGCAGCACATGCCCATAAACCTGGCACTGCCTGGATCTGCCACAGCCCCGCCGGTGATGCTGGAGCAGAATCAGTATCAGAATACTTAGAAGAGACTAGAATAATCAATAAGCACCTAGCCCAAATCAGTTCATGACACCTCCTCTATCACCATGTCCAAGGTGAGGCAGCATCCGGGCCGGTGGGGGACACTGGACACCCATCCCATTCATCTCTCCAGGTACACAGCTGACCACAGTTCCCAGCCTCACTTCAGCTGGACTGAGACCACGTAACCAGGCCTGGGGGATGGAATGAAGGCAGAAGTTACGTCCTGCCCAGCCAGAAACCATCCTACTCAATCTGCCTTCCTCTGAGTGCTGACGAGAGTCTTCAAGGTGACCTTCAGCCGTGGGATGGTGGAGGCTTGGAAGGAAGCAGCCTGGGACCCCAGGCCCTCTTTGGGAGGAGGGCAGGATGTGCTACCCAGCGTCCAGACACCTGGTTTGGGCTGTCTACTGGATTTCACCCCAACCTGCCTATTCTGATTAATATGCTAATAAAGCGTGAGCAGTAGAAATCAGCTTGGCTTCCAGGACGGAGGGGCGAGGGTGAGCAGAGAAGTTTCGGATCATGCAGAGGCACCACCAAGGACCCTCTGGGAGGAGCCTTCCCAGAGAATGAGGTGCAGCAGCACCAGACCAGCCTCCCCAAGCAACATTGGGACTTCCCACCCCCAGTCCTGCCTGGTGGCCTCCCAAAAAGCAGGTATCCACCAGGGCAGCCCATCCATCCTGTCTCCTAGGAGCAGAGAGTCAAGGCTTCCATGCAACTTGGAGCAGGCAGCTGACCCCTGAGGTTGGCTTCGCATCAAAAAGTGGAGATAACAATAATATCCATGATAAGCCTTCATGTTGCTGATGAGGTCAAGTGAGAAAACATGTGCAGGATTCTCTGGGAATTGCACACCACTGTCCCGTCAGCAATCATGAGAGAGACAAAATAGGCTGGGCCCTGGCCCACAGTCCTCTGCACAGCTGCAACTGTGCGGGAGCCAGTATCCTTTCGGGAAGGAGTCCTGCCCCTCTTCCCCACAGAGGCCAGTACAGATCTCTGCCCTGGGTGCTGTGGTCCCAGGGAGGGCACGGGGCCTGTGGTAAACTGATAATGGCCCCTGAAGACATCAGGGTCTAACCCCTAGAACCTGTGAATGTTCATTATTTGGTAGACTTTGCAGACACGGCTAAGCTAATGATCTCCAAGTGGGGAGATTTTCCTGGATTTTGTGGGTGAACTCTAAATGCAATGACAGTGTCCTTGTGAGAGAGGGAGATTCGATGGCACACGATGGAGGAAAAGGCAGTGTAACCTCTGAGGCAGAGATCAGATTGAATCAGCCACAAGCCAGGGAACACCAGCAGCCCCCAGAAACTGGAAGAGGCAGGGAAGGATCCCCCACACCCAGAGCTTCAGAAAGCCCCACAACACGTTGACCTCAGCCTTCTGGCCTCAGAGAGAGTGCATTTTTGTTGTCCTAAGCCACCAGGTTGTTGTAATTTGCTACTGCAGCCACAAGAAATGTATACAGGGCCTAAGCTCCATCAGCCAAGGCCCTGCCTGCTTTCTTCAAAATGAAACCAGGAGCATTTTGTTCCTGTCTCATTCCAGGCTGGAAGGATGAAGGGCTCACCCACCTAAGCCAGCATGCTGCCCGCAGAAAGGACCTGTTGCACCAGGAAAGAAGGAGACCAAGGCTTAAGGAGAAGCCGAACCCAGAAGTGGGAAGGAATCCCACAGAGACTCCGGAACCCAGTATCCCGCAGCCTGCAGGCCCTGGCCAGGGCACTGTCCTTGGGCCCTAAGGAGCCGCCATTCATGGACTAGCACTCAGAGGACCCCAGCAGAGGACCTGAGGGGTGACACTCTCTGCAGACAAGCAGGTTCCTGTCCTAGAGAAAGACCTCACTGGGAATAGCCGCCCTCAGAGACCTGTGCAGAAGCCAGGCAGGAAGCCTGGGACGGTGGCAGATGCTTCAGGAAGAGCGAGCCCGGCCTGAGAAGTGAGAGCAGGACAAGGATGTCACCGGGAAGCCACAGTGTGAGCTGAGGAGGGAAGGAGGGACGAAGGTGGCAAGAAGGGGAGCCAGGCAGCGTGAGAGAGGGACGTGAGGAAATGAAACGCCTTCTGCTCACACAGAGAGAGCCGGCCACTAATGAGGAGGCGTGTGCTGCTTACCGAGCCTGGAAATGCCTAAGTGTGAATTCCTCCTCTCCTATTTCATTTCAGATGAAAACTGAGACTCTAGAAGTTTCCAGAATGGCGCTCAGTAAGCTGTAACCCAGTTACCATGTCTATCTTGGGCAGAGTGGGAGGATGCAGCATTTTAAGTAAAAAGAAAATCAACCCCAGTCTGGCCAATGGGCTGTTTGTTAGGGTGATCCCATGAGATACTGTCAGATACAGTCTGGCCAGTGGGCTGTTAGGGTGATCCCGTGAGATACTGAGCCACTGTCCTCCCTAGTGGTGGGTCTAGGCCTTGCAGGATGGGTGGGACAGGAACCATGGCCTCTTTCCTCAGGGTGGGCCTGAGCAGTCTGCACCCTCATGCAGAGCAAGAGCAGGGAGAAGTCAGGGCCTCCCAGGTCCAGAGACCCTGCCCCTATGAGTCACACACAAGCACGTGGGCTTTCAGGGCCTTCAAAGAGCATCTCTTCAGGACACTCCCCACCCACAGACCACATCTGATTTGTCCCCCACTGTAACCTGAGTGCCTTGCACAGCATCTGGCACAGGGAAGGACTCAGGAACACCCACTGAAAGGTTGAATGGAGAGGGACAGACAGCAAAATGAAGAAAGAAAACGCAATACTTGAGTGATGTTCTTTATAAAAACACGGAGCAACCATCCAGGCAGTGGGAGGACCAGGAGCAGGTGACCCGTGCTGCACAGCATCTTGGCCACCCGGCCCTGGGAGCCTGGAGTATCGGGTTTCAGCAAAGAGCTGCCAGGTTCTCTCTGAGAAGCCCAAGTAACTGCCCCTCCAGGGGCCTCACAGAGCACCCCCTCGGCGCCGTGTGCGTCTGCTGAGAACAGGAAGAAGGCAGAACGGTGATTCCGACTCCAGCTGTTCATCGTGGCCTCCTTCACGAAAGGCAGAGTGAGTGCCACCAGCGCACTGTAATGCCCTATTCATAAAACACCCTAATGAGGAATAAGTGTTTACTCAATTTTGCCGCACGATGGGGAGCAATACAGAGCTATCTGCAGTCAGTGTGGTTGTTAATATTCATTGAAAAGGGACCGGGATGAGCTGCTCCAGTTAATTGTCAGTGGATCCCATAGAGGCAGAAATCGCCTCATTCCACTTTCCTTTCATCTTGAATGATGACAATGCCAGGAAATGCTTATTTTGTGATTGTTTTCTATTGTCAGATTTAACTTGGATCACACAAAGATACACAAATTGTGTAATGTCAAGGACAGGCAAACAGCATTCAGATGACTTCAAGTGCTAACTCAGGGTATGCATCCTCCAAGCCTCTCATGTGTCAATACTATGCAAAGAAACAGGGAGCAGCAATCTTCTGGTGAACTGAGTTAGCAGTCATCGTTCCCCGCACAGCCATCCTTGGATGATGACAGCAGCGTAAAGACTGTCTGCGCAGAGCTCACATATGATGTGTGTTAACTGTGGATGAGCTTCCTGTGGGTACCATTACAAACAACCACAAACCTCGTGGCCTCAAACAACAGAAATGTATTGTCTCACAGTTCTGGAGGCCAGAAGTCCACAATTGAGGTGTCAGTGGGGTTGGTTCCTTCCAGAGGCTCAGAGGGAGACCCATTCCATGCCTCTCTCCTGGCTTCCAGCGGCTGCCAGTCAGTCTTGTTGCTTGGCTGGTTGACTGGAGTTGCGCCGCTGCAGTCTCTGCCTCTGTCTTTACATGTGGCTCACTTGGGTGTCTGTGTGTCCTCTCCTCTTCTTATAAGGATGCCAGTCATTGGACTTAGAGCCTGCCCTAAATCCAACAGGATCTCATCTTGAGACTGTTAGCTTAATTACCTCTGCTAAGACCCTGTTTCCAAATAAAGTCACATTTACATGTCCTGGGAGTTAGGACTTGGACATAGTTTGGGAGAACACTATTTAACCAACTACAACCTGCATTTATAAGAACGTGCAGAGAAAGGTTAAGGTGGGCCATCCCTGAGCTCTCACCTTTAGGCACTGCTGATAGTGTATGTCTTTGCTCCCACTGACCCACCACCACTAAGTCCCACGGCCAGCACCCTGCCTTCTGCCCCGCCCTTGGCTTTGCATAAGTGCATCTAGAACATCAGTTTTCCACTTTGATATGAACCAAGACTCAGAAGAAGAGACTTCTGGTGGGGATAGGGGGGACTCAGAAGGAGCCTCCATAAAGGGCACACAAAGGAACCGAGACAGAAGCCTGACTTAGCATCACTCCTGGAACAGGACAGAAGTGACGTGAGCTGTCACTTCTCCAGCAGGCTGTCACTTGTTACTTCCCTCCTCTGATCCAGGCTGCTCTGTCCTGGAGCAGTTCCAGAAGCCTGGAAGGTGGCAAAGAAGTAGAAAGGCTAAGCTGTGAACTCTCAGCAGGATTCACAGGCTGCTCTTGGGCAAAACATCAGAGTGTGATAATATTCCCAACCAATGAGTCCCTCTCCAGGTATTTGAAGGAAATCTCATAGCCAGGTGGTAAGAGATGTTGCTGCCACTTTTAGCCTCTGCACAGTGAAACTGAGAAACTTGACAAAAAGGAGTCCACACCTGTATGGGTGTTACCCAAAAAGAAATCACGAGAGTGACCTTGATATGGTTTGGCTGTGTCCCCATTCAAATCTCAACTTCAATTGTATCTCCCAGAATTCCCACGTGTTATGGGACGGACCCAGCGGGAGGTAATTGAATCATGGGGGTGGTCTCTTCCATGCTATTCTCGTGATAGTGAATAAGTCTCACAACATCTGATGGGTTTATCAGGGGGTTCTGCTTTTGCTTCTTCCTCATTCTCTCTTGCTGCTACCATGTATAAAGTGCCTTTTGCCTTCCGTCATGATCACGAGATCTCCCCAGCCATGTGGAACCATAAGTCAAATTAAACCTCCTTTTCTCCCCAGTCTTGGGTTTGTCTTTATCAGCAGCTTAAAAACGGACTAATACAGACCTGCTTCAAAATTTTCACAAATCAGCTGGGGAAAAAAAGCAGAACCATGGGAGCACAATTTAATATATGGTATAACAGAAAACAACTGCAGAAACACACTTTTTAAATAATTCTTTTAAAATACCTGCACAACTCTATGATAAATATGTTTGAGAACCTGGATTTAAGGGACAATTTTCTAGGCAAGTACAAATGATAAAGCTGACCTAAGAAGAAACAGAAAACCTAAACCAGAGGTTCTCAAACTTGACTGTGCATCAGAATCACCTGGAAGGCAGCCAGGCACAATGGCTGATGCCTGTAATCCCAGCTCTTTGGGAGGCTGAGGCAGGTGGATCGCTTGAGGCCAGGAGTTCAAGACCAGCCTGGCCAATATGGTGAAACCCTGTCTCTACTAAAAATACAAAAATTAGCAGGCTGTTGTGGTGCATGTCCATAATCCCAGCTACTCGGCTGGCTGAGGCATGAGAATTACATGAACCTGGGGGCAGAAGTCTCAGTGAGCCAAGATCGTGCCACTGTACTTCAGGCCGGGCAACAGAGTAAGACTGCCTCAAAAAAAAAAAAAAAAAAAAAAATGACCCGAAAGGCTTATTAAAACACAGATGGCTAGTCCCAGCCTCAGAGTTTCTAATTTTGTTAGGTCTGCAGGCTGGGCAGGAGAAAAGAAGGTGAGGTTGCCAAATATTTGAATTTCTAACAAGTTCCCAGATGATGCTGGTGCTACTGGTACAGGGACCATACTTTGAGACACAGATGCAAAGCCCCATGAAAGCAAGGATCATATCTATGTAGGAAGCTCTTATTGCAATTGGTTGAATGAATAAATAATTCAATATTATAAAAATTAATACAATTCACCACCATAATAAAGGAGAAAACTCATGTGTTCTAAAATCGTTAATGTCTGGAGGACTTTTGTAGCTGGAGGAGAGACACTCATACTCCTCCTATTACCAGTGTATTGAACTTACTACCTCATAAACAAAACTTAGATAATAATTGCTTTAAACAACGTTTACAAACGTAACTAATCCAATGCCTTCAAGAATTTAATCCACATCTGTGAATATAATGGCAGACAATATGACTATTTTGAAGCTCTCGAACATGCAAATGGCAGAAAAGCATTCAAAAATGAAGTGATTGTACAAGTTATTAAAATATTCACTCAATTCTATTCTAACAGCATGGATTTATTTTGTGATACATAGCCTGAAGCTTGGGGTTACAATAATCCTACAAGATATTTATTTCTCTACCTTCCTAGGGTTAAGGCCCAAAGGGAAAAAGAGTAAGAGCATCTCAGCCCAGCATAGGCTGCAGGTTCCGGGCTACTGCTCAGCCGATTCCTGGTCATCATAGGGACCAGCTGTGCCTCCAAGGTGGCTAAAGTAGGGTCTGATCCCAAGCTCAGATTTGCTGTGCAGGGCAAGCTTCACTTTGGACATAAGTTATATTTTTCATGGCCAGACTTCTTGTACATGTTTAAATTTTCCAAACCCTGATGCTCTTCTTCGAAAGTGTGTGCTTGTAAATCCCACTTGGCCCTCATTACACAGTGAGTGGAAACTTACACATGCTTCATTGACATCTCATTCCAGGGAACAGGGTCGTTTGGAGTTCTTCCTCCCAGTCAAGGGTCTCAGGTGAAAGTAAATTTGGCCAACGCTGTTGTCTGTAAGTGATCGGCTTCTGTGCTGTGTCGAATATTTCACTGTGGTTGCTCTCACCTAACATTAGAGCAGTTTGTAAAGACAAACTGCTCCGAGGCTCTAATTTGTAATGATGTGCCATCCAGACCAAACCATCTTATGTTTCCTGGCGTTTCCCCTAGTCCTGTTGGAAAGTAGGCCATTTCCTGTGCTGTCCCTGTGCCTGAAGCCTCCTTCCTCCTCTCTCCCCCTAAGCTCTGCAACCACCATTCTATGAGGACAGCTACAGGGCCTGCCTTGTTCATCATTCTGTTCCTGGGTTCTAGCCCAGTAACTAGCATTTAGTAGATGCTATTAATAAATAAACATTTCTTGAATGAGTGAACAAGTGATTGCAGTATTTCCAGACCCAGGGCAAAGGGCAGTAGGTGCATGAAGCCTGCCCCAGGACTTCGGAGGACAGGAACCTCTCCCCTCCTATGTCCTGGGGGACATCTTGGCACCTCTCATCCAGCACTCAGTACACCCTGCCTGGTGTTGGTGTGGGCACGCACCCTGAGATCATCCCAACTGTGAGGGCAAAGAGTACCTGTGCCCTTGTGGGTCCCCAGAATGAATGAAAAACATTAGTGAAAGAAGGAAGCCACAAGAAGACTTTTTTACACAGTCCCCTCAATCAGACAAAATCACAAGGAGGCCAGATGGCAATAATGACTTGGGGACAGGGGAAGTCTCTCCAGGGTGCTAGGCTGCCAATCACAGTCCCCAACACTGAGCCCAGGCCCTCCATGGCCTCGCCTCCCCACAGGGATGGGGCAGGCCCTGAATATTACTCCCAGGAGAGCAGTGGCCAGCAGGAACTCTGTAGGGTTCCCCTAGAAAGAAACTCGGAGCTCTGAAGACAGAGACTAAGGCTCCCCTATAGACTAGGGCTCTCAAGATAGAGACTAAGCTCCCCTTACACGCTAGCCTTACAGACTAGTCCCATTACAGGCTTTGGTCTAGATTTACATCTAGACCAAAAATCCCATTATCTCCTAACTAGTTTTAACACACTGTCCCTTAGACAACTCAACTCCTACACTGCCAAATATTTAGTTACCAGGTGTAACAGTCAGGTGTTGCTGTGGAACGACCCACTGCAAAATCTCAGAGGAACACAGCAGGAAGCACTGACTTCTCACTACCGAATATGAGGGATGACTGGGGAAGTGCTGCGTGACGCTAGGTGTCAAGTTCAGGTTGCTCCATGTCTCATCCACAGGGGCAGCTACCTGGACAAACTTTCCATGTCTCATCCGCAGGGGCAGCTACCTGGACAAACTTCCCCAGGGGGAGAGCACAAACACACCATGCCCATTAGAGGCCCGCCTCCAAACTGACACATCGTCACTTCCTCCCACATTCCACAGGCCAAAGCTGGCCCCACAGCCAAGCCCAGCATAAAAGGCAGCCAAGGGGTGACCCTGGAGGTAGAGAGGAGAGGGAACAAACATTGGCTGGACAGCGACGAACGGGCCCAACCTGCCAGCCCTGCCTGGGGCTTCACCATCCCTCCGAGCATTGGACCCTGTTCTTTCTCACAAGCCCAGTGTCTGAAGGCTCTTTCATTATTTAAATAAACCAAACTATAACTTAATACTGATTTTTAAAAGACATAACATCAACAACAACGATTGTTTGCAGGTGAGCATCATTAAAAAGCACTGACTTTGGAACTGGACAGGATGGGCTTGGACCCCAGCCCTAGGACTCAGCAGCTGAGGTGTGCGGGCAGGGCCCGTGGCCTCCCTAGGCATCCACTTCAATGTCTTTAAAATGGGAGTAACGACAGTCCTGACATCGCAGAGTTCTTGTGCAGGCGGTGCCCTCAGCCCAAGGCCTGCCCGCTAGGAAACTCATCTCAGTGCCAGCTCTGCACCACATCAGCGGCACTTCCGGACGTGACCCCGCCTTGGCTGCAGATGACACGCAATCTTGGTCTGGTGAAGACAGCCTCTGACTTCCTATGGCCTCCCAGCACCAAGGACACAGGCTGGCACCACAGCAGCCCCGGAGGAGGAGACAGGCCCCACGCTGGTTAATGTGACCTGGCAGCATCACTCCCATGGCTGCCCATCATAGCTGGCACTCTGAGCCTGGTCTCCCTGCACACTGCGGTGCCGTGTCTACTGTTTACAGAATAACACCACCAGAGCATGTGTTTACCAAGTCCTCTGCCAGCCTTGCTCCAGCCCCAGATCTCCAGGGACCAGCCCTGCCCATGCAGTGCTCAGAGGATCCTATGACACTAGGGATACCCAGGAACTGCTGTTTGAGTGAATATTCCCACTCTGGGAGGTCCCCTCATTTGGACTCTTCTTCTTCTTGCCTAATCATCTCAACTCTGGATTAGACCCCTTGTGACAGAGCCTGTCTGTTCACTCGCGTCTCCAGTAGGAGTCGAAGAGAAGCCATGTGCATCTGTGGCTCGGATATTTCTGGAATGCCTGAGATAAATCACACAGGTAACGAGCTGGACTTGGGCCATGCCGGGCGGCTCGCGCGGCAGGGGGAAGAGGCTTTAGAGTGAGCAGCAGGTGTGTCTGTCCCCTGCAGCCGTGCCAGGCTCCACGACGCCCCCACTAAAGAATGTTCCATGCAGCCCCTGTCCTGACAGGCACCTTTCATTCCCATCGCCCTAAGCACTGCTGATAGTGATTATCTGGGCAGACCTCAAACATTTGCTTAGCGAGATCCAGCTTCCCTTTCCTGTCACAGTCGTGGGCTGACCTGCTTCTGGTGAGAGTGTCTGAATATTCTAATCAGAAGGAGGGACTAGTCAGCTCAGGAGCCCTGATTTCATGAGCCTGGGAGAAGCATGTTTTAGCAGAGACATGACAGTAAACTGGCCAATTTTAAATTATATCATGCCCCAAAGTCCCCTTAGCACAAACTACATGCATTTCTGCAGCTCACAGGATAGTCTTGATTCCACCAGGCCCTCGGCCTTGCTACTCTCCCCACCTTATCCCCTTAGCAAACAGGAGCAGCTGCCACCCTGGCTGGGTTTTGGGGATGGAGGCAGAGCTGGTGCCTGTATCCCTGGGGCATGAAGGGAAGGCACATTATAGCAAACCCCAGAGAAGGGGCCTCACCTATAGTCAAATTCGGGCCAGCCGGGTGTCCCAGGGACTAGAAGGCATCAAGCTCCGTGTGACGATGACAAGTGGTAAATCCTGCATCCCACTTCCTGGCTCAGTCCAGGTCCCACTTTCAGGGGCTGCTGAGAGGAAGCACCTCAAGCTGAAAGCGTCCCTGCCCCACTGAGTGAGGTCCCCCTCGGAGGGGTCCCCCACAGGAGTAGCCAGCAAGACCCTGGTGGTTCTTAGGGTGCTGCTGGCTCCTCCCACAGGACCACAGATGAGGTTCTCTCCATGCCTATCCTCCACACACAAACGGGGATCCAGGATTCACCACCTGCCTGTCGGAGAATTAGCGAGTTGCTTCACAGCAGTTTTGCAGAAAGGCACCATAAAAGGACGAAGAATTGCTCCTACTAATCAAACATAGACACCTCAAGGGGGGGGCTGCTTTGGTTGCTGAACTATGAACAGCAGATAACTTGCTCAACTCATTTTTTCAAGAGTTTACACCAACGACTGCACAAAGGACGAGGTGCGTCTGCCCATTGTGAAGACGCTGGCAGAACCCGGGAATAAAGAGGGCTTCACCTCGAAACTGCTTTTCTTTTGGCATCTCTAAGCTGAGCAGGGACCATAAAAAAAAGTCTCCCCAGAAACCCAGGCCAGCTCTTGCTGAAGAGGCCAACAGGGAAGAAGGCAGGTGTGTAAATCTCTGTCAGGCTGCAAGAGCAAGACCACACATCAGCCCCACAGGCTCCCAGAGCAGAGGTCCCAGTGGCCAGAAATCTGGGTTGCTGAAATTTGCATAAATGCATACATTTGCATACTATGTTCAGGTAGCCTTAGGCCAGGTAGGCTGTGTTAAAATTATCATTTTTAGGGCAGCTCAGGATGACTGTGTCACAGCCAGTCTTGCTGGCTTGTACCTGGTAAGTGTGGTCCATCTGACAGCATGGAGCCACAGCAGAGCTGGCTTCCTGAGGGTCACAATTGCCCATCCACCACAAGCTAAGGACTGGCTCTGCAGTCTCTGCTTCTGAGGGGCCAGAGAAGGATGCACAGCCACCCTGCTTCCTGCCAGGCCCCCTCCCCTGCCAGGGCTCTCCCTCCTCTCCACCTCTGCAGGGGGCCTGTCTGCAGGCACCTATGAGATGGAGGCTGAAGCAGTCTTCCGAATGGAGCACAAGGTGGCCAAGGTTGAAACCCATGGGCAGAGGCCTCCTGCCCCGAGAGCCATGTCCTCATCATCTCTGCATCCTGGGTCACAGCAAAGACCTGGGAAATTGTAGCATCGGACTCTGGTGGGCAGCCTGGCCCCTCCATGACAGCCCCAGGATCCTGGAGGGGTGTGGACGGCACTTCAGAACAGCTGCCAGGGGAGCCAGGGGATCCACGTGTCTCACGGATGAGGGTGGTCACTCTAATGTATTGTCAGAAAACAGTGGCTCCTCCTGTGCCATGCTCCACCCCATGAAGGCAACAGCAAGCCAGCTGGGGTGGGGATGGTGCCAGACCTTCCTTGCTAGGGACGGGAGGGCAGCGGGGAAAAAGATTTGCAGAGGACGAGACGTTGCCTGCATGCCCTGGCTAAGCTAGAACTGTGGTTCCCGTCCACAAAATGGAAGAACCACAGAATCATGACCAAGCCTCCTGCCATGTGTGCGTGTCTGGGGCTCAACAGTCGGTTGTCTGAGGGAGATTCCCTCATGGCGTTTCCTGGGAGTCTCCCTCCCCACTCAGGGTCCCGGTGGGTCACAGGCACGTGTTGAAGTGAGCCTTGATCCCCTCCTCTCCTTCCATCTACACCCAGGCTCTCCCAGCCTCTCCTCTAGTGGCCTGCTGCTGTGCAGGACACGGTCCTGTCTCATCTGCACGGTGGCCTCAGCCTCCTAAAGGGTCTCCCTGCCCCTCTATGTCCTGTGCTGGCCACGTTCCACCCAGCAGCCAGAACGGCGCTTTCACACTTTCATCAAGACAATTCCCTATTCAGCAGCCTCCCGTGGCTCCCCTTTAGCAGAACAAATACAAAGTCACCCATGGCCCTTGGACCTCTTTGCCCACCGCCCTCCCTCCTGCTCCCTCTTCCCCAGCCTCTGACCTCTTTCTGTTCCCACAACATGCCAGAAACTAGGGACTTCGCAACGCAGTTCCATCTTCCGGGAATGCACTTTCCCCAGGTCGCTGCACCTCCCACAGTCTTTGTCCAAAGGTCACCTTCTCCACAGGGCCTATCCTGAGTGCAAGACTGCGCACTGCGAATGGCACGCTCCACACTGGCCGTCTCCCTGACCCTGCTTTCCTTTTCCTTTCCCTTCTAGCAAGCACTGTAATTAATGTGTGCCTTGTGTACTTTTTATACATTTTTCTTCTGTCTTCTGTCTGTTCTCTACATGCTCCAAACCCCAACAGCAGGGCCCTGCACACAGCCAGTGCCCATGCACGTCTGGTGAATGAGGTGCACAACATGAGGAATCAAAGATCAAATATGCTTTTTTGGGTGTTCGACCTTCTCAGGTGAAGCTGATAAATCAGCATGCGAGAGCTGGCTTCACTTTCCCCGGCACGAGTAGCACAGACAGGTGGATTTGCTAAAGGATGTTTTCTGCTCTGGCTTTTACCCAGTATTTAACCTTTAGACAAATGACCCACTCAGATAACTATCATACCAATTTCTAGTTAAAATAAGTTGGTTTTAAGGGGATTTTGAAGCCTCGATGCCTATTTGCAAAGGCAGGCTGGCATTGCTTTACTGAGACTTACACTCAGAGGCACCGGATCACTCGTAGCTCTAGACGATGCCTCCAGATGCCTTCAGCCTAACCCCACAGGGCAACTATGAACCCAACCTGTTCAAAACCCAACCAGAACCTCCCCTGGCCCCCTCAGTCCCTCCTTCTTCTGAATCCCTGTCTCAGCCAACACTGTGCTCCGGTAACCATGCCAGGGCTTTCTGCATGGCCAGACTCAGACCCCACGACCACCCTATCCTCCTCATCTCTGGGAAGTGGTTTTGACTCTGGAGTTGGGCTTCAGCTTTTACCGGAAACAAAGGAAGGAAAGAAGAGGTCAAGAAACACAGACCCTGGCTACCAGCCTGAACCAAGGAAAGGAAAAGGGATAACAATGGGGGAAACATAATTTCCCAACAGGTTCCTAGCAATGAAAATCTGCACCAGGGTCTTAGGGCTGCTGAACCAATTACTGCAAACTTGGGCCTTAAAACCACAGAAACGTATCCTCTCACAGTTCTGGAAGTTAGAAATCCAAAATCAATGTGTTGAAAAGACCACGCTGCCTCCAAAGTCTCTGGCAGAAACTTACTGCCGGCTTCTCCCAGGTTCCGGTGGCTGCTGGCGGCCCTCAGTGTTCCTTGGTTTGGGGCTGCCCCCTAATTCCTGTCTTCATTGTCACACGGCCTTTCCCTCTGTGCATTCGTGTCTGTTTCCCCTTCTTTTCCCTTGTAAGGACTTGTCCTTGGATTTCGAACCCACCCTAATCCAGGAGGGCCTCGTCTTGAGATCCCAGCTTCAAGTATATCCGCAGTTCAAATAAGGTCACATCCTGAGTTTCCAGGCAGACATACATTTTGGGGGCCACAACTTAATGAATGATAGTTCATCCTCTGGCCCCCAGAACTTTATGTCCATCCTAGGTGTTAGCTGATGGCTGTCTTAGTCCCTTTAGTCCCAGAATGCCACTGACTGGGTAATTTACAAAGAACAAAAATTTAGGATGGGCATGGTGTCTCATGCGTGTAATCCCAGCACTTTGGGAGGTGGGTAGATCGCTTGAGCTCAGGAGTTTGAGACCAGCCTGGGCAACATGGTGAAACCTCATCTCCGTTAAAAAATTTTAAAAATTATCCAGGTTTGGTGGCTCGCACCTATTGTCCCAGCTACTCAGGAGGCTGAGGTGGGAGGATGGCTTGATCCTGAAAGATCAAGTCTGCAGTGAGCCAAGATCACACCACTGCACTCCATCCTCAGTGACAGAGCCACGTCCTGTCTCAAAAAAAAAAAAAAAACTATAATAACAACAAGAATTTCTTTCCTCACAGTTCTGGAAGCTGGGAAGTCCAAGATCAAGGCACCCGCATCTGGCGAGGGCCTTCCTGCCACCTCATCACATGGCAGAGGGACAAGAGGAAGCCAACCCTCTAGCCAAGCCTCTTTCTAAGGGTACTAATCCCACCCACAAGGGAAGACCTCATGGCCCAGTCACCTCTTAAAGGCCCCACCTCCTAATACTATCCCATTGGCAACACCTGAATTTTAGAGGGGACACATTCAAATCATAGCAGTGGCACAGCAACCTGCCTGAGAAATCCACTGTGGTCTTTGTCTGCTCCGGGATCATCGCAAAGAATGAGAGTGATTCCTCCCCCAGCCTTCCTGGTGGCCTTCCTAACGTCCACCACTCTCTAACCCTCCCCTTCTTGGGGCACAGCCTTAGGGTTTAATCTGTCCTTCCCCCAAAGCTAGGAGCAATCATGCATCTGGCTCTACTGATGAAATGTGAGCACACATGTTCTGTGTCACTTCTCAGCCAAAATGCTTCGTGGTGAGCATTGACTGTGCCGGTACTCACTTCCCCAGTGGCTAAGTTGGGGACTCAGCAGGTGGTAGAGCTTGGGTGCTGGGAGAGCCCACCCCAGTGTCTGATGGAGAAGGGGAGTGAGGGAATAAAACCTTTATGGTTTTAAGCCACTAAAATTTGGGGGTTGTTTATCACCATGGGCCTCACCCTCCCCTACAACAAGATAGCACTGAAGCCGTGTTGTCCTGGGCTGGCTTTTCTTCTCCCCATGCAAGAAGTAACAGCCCTTAAAAGAAGACATGTGTGTGGCCAACAAACATATGAAAAGAAGCTCACCATCACTGGCCATTAGAGCAATGCAAATCAAAACCACAATGAGATACCATCTCATGCCAGTTAGAATGGCGATCATTAAAAAGTCAGGAAACAACAGATGCTGGTGAGGCTGTGGAGAAATAGGAATGCTTTTACACTGTTGGTGGGAGTGTAAATTAGTTCAACCATTGTGGAAGACAGTGTGGCAATTCCTCAAGGATCTATAACCAGAAATACCATTTGACCTAGCAATCCCATTACTGGGTATATAGCCAAAGGATTATAAATCATTCTACTATAAAGACACATGCACACATATGTTTATTGCAGCACAATTTACAATAGCAAAGACTTGGAACCAACCCAAATGCCCATCAATGATAGACTGGATAAAGAAAGTGTGCCACATATATATACCATGGAATACTATGCAGCCATAAAAAAGAATGAGTTTGTCTTTTGCAGGGACATGGATGAAGCCGGAAACCATCATTCTCAGCAAACTTACACAGGAACAGAAAACCAAACACCAAATGCTCTCACTCATAAGTGGGAAGTGAACAATGAGAACACATGGACACAGGGAGGGGAACATCACACACCGGGGCCTGTCGGGCAGAGGGGGGTGGGGTGCAAGGGGAGGAGAGCATTAGGACAAATACCAAATGCATGCGGGGCTTAAAACCTAGATGATGGGTTTATAGGTGCAGCAAACCACCATGGCACATGCGTACCTACGTAACAAACCCGCACATCCTGCATGTGTATCCCAGAATGTAAAGTAAAATAAAATAAAATAAATTTTTTTTTAAAAAGAAGTAACAGGCCTTTTCTTCCCCAGTATCCAGGTATTTTTGGACACAAGAACCAATCTACACATATTTGTATATTCACACATACAGTTAAGGGAATGCAAGTAAATGTGGATTATCACAGAATCCCTCAATATTTGAGGGCTGAGAAACCTTCAATATTAATGTCCTCATTGAGAAAAATATTTACATCTCCATATTCTTGCTGCAGGATATTCACAATGATTTTTTTCCCAACTGCCATTAAATCCCACAGCAGAGATAAATCCAGGGGAAGCCCTCCCTGGCATCAGATGGGACCAGGATAACAGCGGAGCCTGTGGGGTCAGAGGTCCCAAGGCATTTATGGCCAATAAGCTGTTTCCTTCTCCTTCTGCAGGCTTCATTAGCTCCAGCAGATTCAATGAACGACCAGATTTCCCAATTCTTCGCCTCTGTCTCAGCCTCTTCCTGCCTGTCCAGATTGATCTGACAGTAAATCACATGTCATCGTTGCATGACTCCACAGCCATGAATGTGTTTTATTCATTGCCTCTGCCTTCTGACATCCAGACTATTAATTACAGAATGAAAGTTTGAAGGCCTGTCCCCGCCAACCGCATCACCTGGTGATAACACTGGCGCCATGCATGTAAAGAGTGTCTTTGTAAAGGGGAAGGCAGTTATTATACCTGCTTCATCATAACAATGCTTTGCACTTACAAAGAACTTCACTACACACCATGTTAGGCAGAATTCTACAGACGTGCCCTCCAGACTCCAGGGAGCACCCACTTAGCATTGCCGCTGCATCTGCTTCCTAGAACTGCCATCACGAACTGCCGCACGCTGGAGGCCCGAAAACACAGACACTTATTCTCTCCCAGTTCCAGGGGCTAGAAGTCAAGACAGAGCTCTGGGCGGGGCCACACTCCCTCTGAAGGCTAAGCAATCACCCCCTACCCTCTTCCCAGCTTCTGCAGCTACTGGCCATCCGTGCCTTCCTCCATCATTCCAGCCTCCACTTCCGCCTTCACGTTGCCACTTTCTCTGCATCTCTGTCTTTTCCTCTTCTTATGAGGGTCTCAGTCATTGGATTTAGGACCCACCCTAATCTAGTAAGATATCACTTCTTAACTAATCATTTCTACAGAAACCTATGTTCAAACACCACCCCATGATGAGGTTCTGGATGGCCATCAATTTGGGGGACACTATCCAACCCACTGTTCATACAAAGGGACTCTGCAGACGGAACCAGATCTGCTAATCAGCTGACTGTAAAATAGGGGGATAACTGGGTGGACAAGGGTCATCACATGAGCCCTTAAAGGCAGACAAGGGACAGAAGAGCCATAGACTTGAGGGGGAAAGGTGGTGAGAGAGACTGGGAGCACCTGGCCTGCTCTGGAGAAGGAGCAAGGGGCCACCCATCAAGGGCTGAGGCAGCCTGTAGCCCTGAGGACCTCCCCCCACTGACAGTCAGTGTGGACACAGGGACCTCAGTCCTACAGCTGCATGAACTACATCCTGCCAACACCTGAGTGAGCTTGGGAGTAGATTCATCCCGAGCCTCTGGAAAGGAAGATGGCCCCGCAGTGCATCAACTTTGTCCAGTGCCACACTAAGCCGAGAACCAGCGAAGCACACCAGGCCCGGGCTTCTGACGCACAGACACAGCGAGGTAAGAAATGGTTATTGTTCATTTTAAGATACTAAGTTTGCTAAGACACCGGTAGAAAACTCTTATACACATCAAGTGAAAAAGCAAGATACTCAACCATTTATATAGTATAATCCCACTTATGAAAAATGAGATACCCATAAAAAATTCTGGAAAAAAAAATTCCAAGCTCTTAGCAGCGATTACCTCTAGTGGAAAAAGTAAAATCAGCAGGTTGGAGGAGGGGAGATGATGAGGTGTGGGAGGTGTACGTCCTTCTAGAGCGGACATCCTTCTATACGTCCTTCTGTATTGTTTGAAGGTTTAGAACAAGCATGTATGCATATGCTGTATATGTAATTAATTTTTGAATTTACAAAGCAATAGCAAATGCTTAGGGCTCCATACGCCAGGTACTATTACCACCACTATTTAACAGATGGGGAAACTGAGGCACACGGTGACAAAGTGGCTTGCCCAGGGTCAGCAGCAGGAGTTAAACCTGAGCCCGTACTCCTGGGCACTGTGTCATGGTCCCTCTCTCCCTGCATACTGCATTTCCCCTAAGGATATGCCGCAGCTCCTGGCAACTTGCCCACTGTCAAAGCAGGAGGCAGCCAGGGATGGCAGGTACCTTCTCCTCCTGCTGTGCTTGCCCCTTGTCAAGGAGGGAAGCCTTCTCCAGAAGACCCCAGAACAGCCTCACTTTGCCGGGAGATCAAGGCCACCACCACCTGCCCCACAAATAAACCTATAAGCAGGAAGAAGACGGAACACACCTACCCTGGGAGGCTGCCATGGTGCTGGCCAGGGTCCGGAGAAGAGATGCTTCCCACTTACCCAAACACCAAGTAAGGCTCAGCGAGGCTAAGGAAGGGGCTCAGGATCTGTCCCCAGAATCCTCCCTCCCACCCCCCATGCTGCCTGTCCCAGCCTCTGCACCCCCTCCCATCAGGAGGAACAGAGATCACCCTCCCCGAGAAGCTCACTAGGGCACCATCAAGTTGCTACTTGCCCAGGAGCACCTGGTTAATGCAACTTCTAAGAACCGGGCAACCCAAAAGCCCAGAAGTCTCCTAGGAAAGCACTGGCCAGACACCCCCAGACAGATTCTGCCCACTTCTGTGGCACATAGATCCCCAACAGCCAGGCCCTGAAGCCTGTCCCAGATGGCAGAGCAAGATTCTCATCTCAACATTGGCAACAGCCTCTCCATTTCATTCCCAGGACCTGCCACTTCAGGAGGTGAAGAGTCTGGAAGGCGGAGGACCTGAAGGCGGAGGACCTGCTGTCCCTGAGCAGCACCCTGTGGGACACACAGCCCTCTCCCGGGACCAGGCCTTGGAAGCACATGCACAGCCACCTGGAGAGCTTGTTCATGCACTCAGCACCCAGGCTCCAAGAACTGTGCAGTTAACCTGGGGTGGCTCTGCATTCCTTTGAAGTAGGGAGAGCCACCTGCAATGCCATTGGCAAGGCACGGGGAGTGCAGCTCTGTGTGCTGAGCTCGTGGGAGCGCTGGAGCGCGGCATGCACATCTGACTCCCTGCTTGACACACAACAGGATTGTGTCTGTTTCACTTACTACTGTCATCGCTAATGATTTACAGGCCACCCCCGGTGGCTGCTGCAGCCTGCTCTGGCCTCTGTGAGAACAGCCAAGAAAAAAAGCTGGGGGCCTGATAGCATGCTTATCCAGAGACCAGTGACTGACAGAGGGCAGAAGACACCAACTCACACACACTTCCAGTAAATTCCCGACAGTGACGAGTCCATGTTATGAAGCTTGTTTCTACACACATTTTACATTTTTCACATTTTTGTAAAGTTGAAACACTAAATCAGAGGCACAGATAAGGAAACAAGACCAAGAATATGGCCCAAAACCCATCCTCCACAGCAGGTAACTGGCTGGGCATCCACATAATTTCATCTTTTCTGGCATGTTGTCAAAGCTATCCAATTGAGATGCCATTTAGACTGGGTATATTTCTTGCTATTTTTTTCTCCCTCCCTATCTCCCTTCCTCCTTCCCTCCCTCTCTCTTTCTCCTCCTCTTTTCTTCTTTCTCTCTGCAAACATGCAGCCTCACCAGGGCGGGCAATAGCCTAATCTGCCTTGTCACTCACTCTTTTACCTCCAGTGCCAAGCTCGGTGCCCTGCAGACAGTCAATGCTCAAAGATAGTTTTAAAATAAACAAATGACACTACACTCAGAAGACTCTGCATGCAGATGGACAATGGGCTTTTCTTGGGGGAGGCTGGACATCAGTCTCTGTGAGGCCCAGGCAGCCCCAGCATCTGCTCGTGGCCCATCTCAGACTACAGGTGTGCACGGCTTCGCCAGCAGCCCTCACCTTTGCTAAGGAGAGCTGCTTCACCAGGCCACCACCCTCCCCAGGGCAGCCACATCCAGGGCCTAACCCACACAGGTGAACAACAGCCCAGCCTTGTCCCAAGTCAGTGCCTCGGAAGGCCATCCAGCACCACAGTTCTGCAGGGTAAACCTCCACTGCCACGCACCTCTCACGCCTCCCCTCCTGCTCCTTCCCCTCCCTTACATGGACACAGACCCCAGGTGCGCCTTAACAAGCTCCTGTCCCTAACCTCCTGCAGAGTCCCCTTCCCAGGGACCCCCTCCAGGCTGGTGCGGGAGAGTCAGGCCTGCAGGAGAACAGCACCTGCTCCAGAATAGAGCGTCCATCCGGCACACTCCTCCTGCGCGGCTTTGGTGCCAGAACATCCCCAACACACCCCCCTGGACAGCAGCAGAGGACCCAGGGCAGTCCCCAGACAAAGCTCCGGAGGTGTCAGCCTGTGCTTTTGACCCGGACCAAGACCAGACACTGGGCACAGAGAGCAAGCCCACGGGAAGTGTGCCAGCAGATCTGCGGGTTTGAGCATGGGTACAGGCAGCAACAGCTGTATCAACAAAGAGCTGTTTCTCTGAGCCCGGGTCCTGGACGAGGTGACTGCAAACGCAGATGCCTCTAGAACCTGGTCTTCGATGTCTACAAGCCGAGCACAGCACATGCAATCTGGCTGTCAGTCCACAGAGAGGTGGGCGCTGGCTGAGCCTCTGTACTCTGGTGTCCTACCTCCCTGCCCTCATGGGCATCTGTACTGCAGATCAGCCCCCTCCTGCTGGGCAGCAGCTGCGGGTGAGTGTGTCACCTGCTCAGGCTGGCAGAGAAAAACAGCTAGGAGGTCTCTTCCTTCCCAGTGCAAAATCCACAAGACTGGCTCAAAGAAATCAAGTCTCATAGGGGAAGGGAACTCCCAACCAACCAAACTACCCAGAGGGCACATGCCAAAATCCTCCACGAGAGAGAGCGAGAGAGAGAGCGAGAGAGAGAGAGCGAGAGAGAGAGCGAGAGAGAGAGAGCGAGAGAGAGAGAGAGAGAGAGAGCGAGAGAGAGAGAGCGAGAGAGAGAGAGCGAGAGAGCGAGAGAGAGAGAGCGAGAGAGAGCGAGAGCGAGAGAGCGAGAGCGAGAGCGAGAGAGAGAGCGAGAGAGCGAGAGAGAGCGAGAGAGAGCGAGAGAGCGAGAGAGCGAGAGAGAGAGAGAGAGCGAGAGAGCGAGAGAGAGCGAGAGAGAGAGCGAGAGAGAGAGAGCAAGAGAGAGAGAGAGAGAGAGAGCGAGAGAGAGAGAGCGAGAGAGAGAGAGCGAGAGAGAGAGAGCGAGAGAGCGAGAGAGAGAGAGAGAGCGAGAGAGAGAGAGCGAGAGCGAGAGAGCGAGAGAGCGAGAGAGAGAGCGAGAGAGAGAGCGAGAGAGAGCGAGAGAGAGAGAGCGAGAGAGCGAGAGAGCGAGAGAGAGAGAGCGAGAGAGCGAGAGAGAGCGAGAGAGCGAGAGAGAGAGAGAGCGAGAGAGCGAGAGCAGCCTTTCCGCCAGCCCCACGATGGCAGTTAGTGAACTATGAGAAGAGGATCCTTTTCCTGCCCATGCAGCCCTCTTGGGCCTTCGCCGACCCTGCGTGCATGGCAGGCTGGAAGCTGGTCAGGGCAGGAAGCCCCGCTCCCCCAGCCAGCACAGCACCCGTCACTGTAAACCTTCGAGGAGAAGCACAGCCTTGGATTCAGGCCTCTGGGTTCCAACAGCCCTGGCTGGGGTCCTGGGTCAGTCACTTCACAGCTCAGCTCAGGGGCCAGAAGAACATGCATGAAGAAAAAGCTCAGGGAACCGGTAAGTACTCCATGGGCTCCCTGCGTCACCAGCACCTCTGCATTTGCGGGGGCCACGGACTGAGTTTCCACTTCAGCTGAGGTAAAGACAAAGACAGAATCCTGTGCCACAACTCGGAAAACTGTCCACACTTACGCAAAGCTCACTGCACCTTGTTTCAACGTGGCCTCAGGTTTGGTCCAGGTGAGTTTGGTTTTGAACTCTAAGGGATGGGTCGTGTTGGGCAGAGGAGGTTTTTCATCTAAAAACAGGCATATTGTTAGGCCAAGCTACACGGATGGCGGTGCATCTTATGGGAGAGTCTTCTGCGAACCACGGCCGCTGGGGCTCTCCACTAAGTTTTGGTTTCTGAGCGGAAATGGAGTGCGCTGAATTGGTAGAATAAGTGGGCGTGTCTCAGTCGGCAGCTAGAACACGCTGGGCGGGCAAGGTGCTTGGAGACGGAAGTGATGAAGACAGAGGCCGTTCTGTTCCTGCCCAGTGTGACCACTGGGGAAGGATTCAGCTGAAGGGGCTGGGAGGAGTTTGGCCCAGATGCTGAGACCACACGGGAGGATTGAAGGATGAGAGGGATGCTCCTACCTGTGAGCCTGGAGCACCCCGAGCAGCTCCAGCCTGTCTCTCCCTCTGTCGCAGCTGCCGTGCCCGAGGCCCACGTGGCCCGCCCTCCTTCCCTCACTTGGGCAGAGTGCTGGTGGAGCGAGACATCCTGCTGCAGGGAAGACCCAGGCATCCAGAGGAGGTGGGACAGGGGCCAACTCTTTAAAACCAAAACCCGATAAAATCAGAAGTAAAATAAGCTTTCATTTCAAAAAGCCAAGAGCTAAAACTGAGATGGGAGGGGCCTCCTCTGTCACTGGGAGGTTTCTCATGCAGAGGCAGGGACACTCTGTCCTGGTTTCCCCCTCGGTGTCTGCCACGATGAAAGGCAGGGGGCCAGGAGCTCTCAGAAAGCCCAGGAGTCAGGGTCTCAGAGGACAACAAAGAGGACAGAGGCAGGGTCCGCCCTGGAAGGCACAGGGAGGTGTGGCTGACTGCCACTGTTACTACTTGAAACCATCATTACAGAAGTTACTACTGTTACCACTTGAGACCATCATTATGACTGAACGAAGGGACAAACATAGAAATGATAACAAAAAACAAAAGAAACTGTTTTAAGGAAAGGTTAGCTTGGGGAAGAAGACAGCTCCCCACTTCTAGTGAGCAAAGGCACCTCCCCAACCTTCTACAGCCCTTCATATTTATTCGGTAACAAGGACAGGGAGGAGGAGGTAATGATTGGTCAGCTGCTTAATTGATCGCAGGTTCATATTGTTACTGACAGGCTGTTACTGACAGGCTTCAATTATGCCTAATCATAAGAAACATTTGTGTGGCCTCCAACAGGGAGGGGCCCAGAGGGCCAAGAGCAGGGTGATCTCCAGCAGCTGGATCTAAAAACAAGGAAAATGCGAGTGGATTCCAAAACTGGCTGACTCAGTGTTGCAGAAGCCTTGGTGATTCCCTAAGCCTTGCTCTTACAACGCCACTTCTTTATTTTCGGAAGAGAAGTCGCCATCTTGAGATGTGGCCTCAGCTGAGCACGACTCCAGAGGGCCACCTGTGGCTCCATCCCAGACAGAACAGCCTCACCAGGCCCACCAGGGTGCCAGTACTGCAGTGCAATGAGAGGAAGCGTGTGCCACTTCCACCCACTCGACGGCCGCGGCTCCTGCCTCCGAAGGGAGGAAAGGCTTCTCTCAGAAGGAGACTGCATGGATTTGCAGAGCACCTTGAAAGCCACCTTGGCTTTGGAGAGAACAGCCAGCCACGGGGCAGAGCCCGGAGACATGACTGAGGGAGAGAGAGTGACTCAGGTATTTAAAAAAAAAAAAAAAAAAAAAACACTTCAGCTGAATTAAATTTATCAGAGTTTAATTGAGCAAAGAACGATTCTCAATCAGGCCACCTCCTGAGCCACAGCAGACTCAGAGACGCCAACGTAGCCACATGGTGGAAGATTTATGAACAGAAGAAGAAAAGTGATGTACAGAAAATAGAAGTGAGATACAGAAACAGCTCAGCATTTACTGTATTTGAACACAGTTTGAACAGTCAGCCACCTTTGATTGGCCAAAACTTGGTGATTGGCGCAAGAGTAGGATACAGTCTGTTTACAACTCTGTTTAGGTTATAGTTCCCAATGTACAGAGAAAACTTTAGGCCAAACTTAAAATAGGTAAGAAGGCAGCTTTACGCTAACCTTGATTTAACATAGGGAAGAGCTAAATGTGTCTGGGGAGGGGCTGGAACCAGCAAGCTGGGAGCCGGCTACGCAGCGGCCAGCACTCTTAAGAAGAGGGATGCACAGGTTTCCATTGCTCAAGGAGCTGGCTGAGGCCCTGCAGTGGCCCCTTCAGCCGACATGGCCTCCCACTCCATGCTGGGGGAGCCAAAGGGAGGAACAGCAGGCCAGGCGTCCAGCCCAGGAGGAAGCGCCACATCCAGGTGACATGGAACTCACTCAGCAAAAGTGCAGCCACCTTTTCCTGTAAAGGCCAGGTGGTAAATCGTGTCCACTTCACAGCCCCTGGGGTATCTGCTGCAGCTCTTCAACTCAACTCAGGCATCACCAAAGCAGCCGTAGACCACCCGGAAACAAAGGGGTGCCACTGTGCCCCAATAATTGTTTTTTAATGTAAAAACAGGTGTTGAGCCAGAATTTGACCTGTGACCTGGTTTGCTGACTGTGCTTTAGAAAGACTGGGAAGGATAGTGATGATGGGTTTTGACCACAGAGATATGGGTGTGTGTGTGTGTGTGTGTGTGTGCCCGTGTGTGTGGCTCTGTGTACGTGTCTGTATCTGTACTGGGAGTGGGGATGCCCATTGATTTTCTTACCGGGGGATCCTTGTTCTTAGAGCTCCCAAGATGGTGGCAGGCCACTTCCAAGACGGCAGCAAGCCTCTTGTTCTCTGACCTGGGGTTCTTGGCCTCACGGATTCCAAAGAATGGAATCTTGGGCCATGCGGTGAGTGTTATAGCTCTATTAGAAGCCGTGGGTCACAGAAGAGAACCGTGGAACCCAGCAACTAGTGTTCAGCTCCATTAGGACGAACCCCAGACACTTAGCCGTGCAGGAACGATGGTGAACCTTTAGCCCGATCAGGAGCAGCAATGGGCACCTCGCTGGATCAGGAGCACAGCAGACACCCTGCCGGATCCGGAGGGTCCAAGTCAGCGGCGGGTCTGCTACGCCGGCAAACAGCAGTGGTGGACGGCGAGCGAAAGCTCAGCTCGAGCTGTAACAAACACGGACCAGAAGAGTGTGCAGTTGCAAGATTTAATAGAGTGAAAACAGAGCTCCCATACAATGGGAGGGAACCCAAAGTGGGTCGCCGTTGCTGGCTCGAATGCCGGGGTTTATATCCCGATCATTGTCCCTCCTGCCGTGCTCTCAGGCGACAGATGATTGGCTAATTCTTTACCTCCTGTTTTTGCCTAATGAACATTTTAGTGAGCTCTCTTTACTACCTGATTGGTCGTGTGTGAGCTCAGTTGCAAGCCCCGTGTTTAAAGGTGGATGCGGTCACCTTCCCAGCTAAGCTTAGGGATTCTTAGTCAGCCTAGGAAATCCAGCTAGTCCGTCTCTATTTCATTTGAAACTTAAAGAACAGAGTCTCCCAGGTAATGTCTGGGTTACAAAAGCAGGCTGGGCACAGTGGCTCATGCCTATAATCCCAGCACTTTAGGAGGCCAAGGCAGGAGAACCCCTTGAGCCCAGGAGTTCAAGAGAGCCTGGGCAACATAGTAAGACCTCGTCTCTACAAAAAAATAAACAAAATTAGCCAGGCATGGTGGCTTGCACCTGTAGTCCCAGCTATGCAAGAGGCTGAGGCAGGAGGATCTCTTGAGCATGGGAGGCAGAGGTTGCAGTAAGCCAAAACTGTGCCACTGTACTCCAGCCTAGGTGACAGAGTGAGACCCTATCTCAAAAACATTAAATAAAAGCAAAGCATAAACCTTCAGAGAAATGAAGATTCCTCCAAATCATCTCCTTTAAGGTCTCATTTAGAAAATGTTCGAGTGCTTTCGATTTTCATTTGTTTGTTCTGTTTTTCATAGCTAAGTGTGTGAAGCATGAATTCAAACATTTCTTGACGCTGCATCTTGAGGCCTGCAGTGAGGCAGCCAGCAGAGCCCCAGGTCCTGGCCCTTAGACACGGCATCGCAGGGCCTGACTCTAAGGCAGAACGAGTTAGGAGCGAGCTGAAGCCCTCGTGCAACTAAGCTACGTCTCAGCGGAGCGGCATTCCCCGGGGGCGCTTAAGCCGGTCACTTCTGGCCAAGGCATGGCCAGCAGCTATGAGCACACAGCCTTGATAAGGGTTCAGCCACTTTGCCCACAACTGCCTGTGTATAAAAAATAGATGTGGTCTTTGCCCCCACTTCCTGGCACAGAGCTTCAGTCCCTGCTGGGATTTCTAGAGCCTGGGACTGTTTTTGTGATGCTAATGAATCCTGGACAGGAGGGATGGACAGCTTCAGGGTGAGGCTGCTCTGCAGAAAGCCACCCGCAGGCCTAGAGGGCTGCAGCGTTCAGCCTCCTGACCCAGGGAAGGAAGGGGTGCTGGGGACTGAGTTGCATCATGTGACCATGACTTAGCTGTGTCTATGTAATGGAACCCCTATAAAACTCTGGACAACGAGGCTGGGGGCGCTTCCTGGCTGGTGAAGGTGTAGATGCACCAGGCGGGCAGTACCCACCAGGCAGGCAGCACCCACCTCTGCAGCACAGAGCCTCTAGACCTTCCCTGGGCACCTCCTCTGTGCCCTTTGTAATAAAGTGGTCATTGTCGTGTGGTACTTTCCTGAGTCTCCTGAGTCATTCTAGTGAATTATCAAAGTGGAGGTGGGGGTTAGGGACCCTCCAATTTGTAACCAAGTCAGACAGAAGTGTGGGAAGCCTGGGATCCCATTTGTAGCTGGCATCTGAAATGAGAGCAGTCTCAGAGGACCTTGCTCTTTAGCATGCGGGGTCTGCGCTAGCTCCGGTGTTTAGTGTGAGAGTCGAGTTGAATGGCAGGACCCCCAGCTGGTGCTGGTGAAGGCACAGTGGGCGAGCAGAACCCCCATCTCTCTCTGCTCCTCGCATTCGGTCTCCAGCCACTCTCCTGAGAGATGGATGCTTCACCCAGGGTCCGGGTCTCATCCTTCAAGCAGACTTTTAGAACCTGCCACAAAATCAGGATTCTTTGAAGGTTTCTACCTTCTGGCATCAAGGATCCAAAGACTCATTTCAGTGATATGTGAAATGCGGGATCAAAGCTTCATTTCAATGATCAAAGGATAATAGAGCAAAGGAGACACGATTCTATTGTCAAAGTGATAAAAGACATTAATAATAGATCTGTGAGATAGCAGCAAGGAGGCGGGGAAGTGCCACGTGGGGGACTGCCATGCTTTCCATGCAAGCCCACAAGGTTTTCCACTAGTTATTCCTGGAATTGGTTAATTAAACCTAATTAGTTCTATCAACCCAGAGGAGGCCATGCCTCAGAATTCTCAGTGTTAGCCTAAGGGCTAGAAAGCTCACAGTGTTAATTATGGACCCCACCCCTGTGGGAAGAGAGATTACAGGATTTCTGAAGGAGCAGTCAAAATGCACCTGCAGGGAGCTGGGATGAAAGATGACCACAGAGCCACCGTCACTGCCCTGCCACCCATGGGCAAGTCACTTAGCCCTCTTTGAAAAAGATCCAAACCCAGGAAAACATTGATTCTCAAAAAACAGCACCGAGGTCTTCCAAGTTGCCTATTAATTATCAGGTTGTCCATCAGCACCCCCGGGATGGAGGAACAGGGAATGAACAGCTGCAGAACTGGAGCAGGTCACCTGCGGTGGCTCTGAGCCCAACACCGCCTCTCATTTTCCGCTGTAAATTATTATCCATGTCATCGATTTTACAGATTGTTAAATACTCAATTGGTCTAAATAATACACATTTCACTGTATACCAAGTCGCATATCAACAATGAACCTTCATTAATAGTAATTAAAACAAATATAGGGCAAGAGGCCTTCAGTCATCTAGAACTTAAACTCTTCAGATAATGAAATGGTTTCTTCCAAATCCTAGAATGGTTGGAGAAGTGGAATAATGAGCACACAATGCAATTTCTCATAGAACATGACAACCTACGTTTCCAGGATTTCTGTAAACCTACTGATTGTAAATAATAATAATAATATAATAATAATAATAATAATAGATCTGCAGACTCAAAAAACAAAAGTAGATATCGGATCTGTTTTTTTGTTTGTTTGTTTTTTGAGATGGAGTCTCGCACCGTCTCCTGGGCTGGAGTGCAGTGGCGCGATCTCGGCTCATTGCAACCTCTGCCTCCCAGGTTCAAGCGATTCTCCTGCCTCAGCCTCCCAAGTAGCTGGGACTACAGACGCCTGCCACCATGCCTAGTTAATTTTTTGTATTTTTTGTAGAGACAGGGTATCACTATGTTAGCCAGGCTGGTCTCAAACTCCTGACCTCATGATCCACCTGCCTCAGCCTCCCAAAGTGCTGGGATTACAGGCATATGAGCCACCACGCCCGGTCCAGATCCGTTTTTAAAGTTTATGGTATTAATTATTTAATCAAAATAATGATGTGATCACAGAAGCTCCAGATCAATGATCATTTGCACCTAACTGTTTGTTTCTGAGTAAAATAAAAACACCCAGGTCATATCTTTTCTAAAAATGTTTTAATCATAAATTAATCTTCAATTGAAAAAAATGGGGATTTTAAAACACTTTTTTTTTTCTTTTTGAGACAGGGTCTCGCTTTGTCACCCAGGCTGGAGTGCAGAGGCACTATCTCAGCTCACTGCAGCCTCGACCTCCCGGGCCCAAGTGATTCTCCCGCCTCAGCCTCCTGAGTAGCTGGATCTACAGGCACACACTACCATGCTCAGTTAATTTTTGTATTTTTGTAGAGATGGGGTTTTGCCATGTTGGCCAGGCTGGTCTTGAACTCCTAGGCTCAAGTGATCCGCCCACCTCAGCCTCCCAGAATGCTGGGATTACAGGCATGAGCCACTGCCCCCAGCCCAATTTTAAAATACTTTTAAGAGCTTTTTCTACTGGCATAATAAAACTTTTTTTTTTACAGGAAAACACTACATCTTTAATTTTTAGATCAAAGTATTAACCTTAAATACATTTTGTTTTTATTCTGCCATTAGGCTAAAGGAAAGTAAGTAAATCAGGTTGGTGAGTTACTCACAAGAGCCGCTACTCAACACTGATCTCCAGTGGCCACCGTGGGGCAGCCTCCTAATAATGGGAAAGGGCAGGTTTCCAAACAGAAAACCCGAGGGACTGCAGGCAATGGCCAGGCCAGAGGGGACCGGCAGAGACAGCCACACAAAGCTGGGATGGGGGCCTGACGCCTGGGCCGCCTCAGCTCTGAGAGGCTGCCTCCGAGCAAGCAAGCAGGATCTGTGATGGATTGAAAGCGACTGAGACCCTTGTCCAAGGTGCCCTGGAAAAAGCGCTTTGTTTCCCCCTAACTGGGCAGCCTTGGAAGGAGGGGTGGGCTCATTCTAGCACTCAACCCTCCTGCTGAACTCAGTTCTTTCCCTTCCCATTCGAATCGCTGGCTGAATAATGTTCCACCGTCAGATGATCAGGGCCAGGCTCCTGCCTGGGACACTGTTATTTCCATTACTGAGTTTCACTCTTCAGCTGAAGTCCCCACTACCTTTTCTCTGCCTGCGATGAGCCCCACAAAGGAACCTCAGGCAAGTCCAAAATGTGGCAGAGAAATGATCTGAATGCACTCTGCAACCAGTGACACCATATGTGCCCCCGGGGCCTCTGCTCCAGGCTGCTGCTCTAGGGTGGCCAGGCAGAGGCTCTGTGGGGCGGTGCCGGGCGGTGCCAGAACCCAGGAAAGCACAAAGCAACCTGGGCTGGGGATGCCTTTCATTGCCTGGAAGAGGCCAACAGCCTATGGATTTAAAGTCTGCACCGAGCAAAGCAACAGGCTCTCTGCAGACCCTGCACAGGCCACTCTCTTAGCACAAACCACACTCACGTACCCTGGCTCTTGGGCTTTCAGCAGCAGGCCTGGCCCTGCATCCCAGCTGGCAGAATGTGTGCACCGCTTCACACACACAGGCACACATGCGGGTACAGGCAAGTGCACACATAGAAGCCACAGGTCCAGTCTCAACGGATCCCAGTGGGAGGCCTTGCCCAGTTCCCAGACCACGACTGGAAGAGACCAGACAAACTAGAACAGACCGTGGGGCGGGGGGCCTGGGGCTCTCAGCAATCCAGGCCTCTTGCCCCAGCGGTCCTGGGTGAGGGAACATACATGGGTTAACCAATGGGAGACAATGATCATCAGCACCTCCACTCGTCAGAAGAGGCAGGCAGGGAGCAGAGAGGAGTCAGTTTTAATACCAGTAACTCACAAATGGTGACCAGAAAAGAGCTAAGATATTTTCTGCCACCCCCACCCCCTGCAGCCATGACTGCCACCCACCCACAGTGACCTTTCCAAAGCGGAGCATTTGCTCCAGTCCAAGCCACCTGTCCTCACCCCAGAAGGAAGTCCACTGCATGGCAAAGAAGCCCCCATGGGCTCTGGCTCACCTGCAGCTTCCCCACCCTCATCTCTGCCCCCACCCTGTGTGGCCTGATCTGCAGCCCTGCAGCTTCCCCAACACAGCAAGTGGCCTGTATGTTGTGGGTCCTGC